>NC_000003.12:120069210-120372240 GCF_000001405.40 Homo sapiens | reverse complement strand
CAAACTGAATCTACCAACATAGAAAAAGACTTACATACCATGACCAAGTAGGGTTTATCCCAGGAATACAAAGTTGGCTCAATATACAAAAATTAATTAGTGCAATATATCATATTAATAGAATAAAGGACAAAGCCCACATGATCATCTCAACAGATGCAGAAAATACATTTGGCAAAATCCTAAATTTATTCATGATAAAAACACTCAGAAAACAAGCAACGGAAGAGAACTTTCTCAACCTGATATTGTTCATTTACAGTAATAACAACCTACAGCTAACATCATAGTTGATGATGAAAGATTGAATGCTTTCTCCCAGAGATCTACTCTTAGTTTTTCTATTCAGCATTGTACTGGAGGTTCTAGCCAGGGCAATTAGAAAGAAAATTAAATACAAGTAATCAAGATTGGAAAGGAAGAAGTAAAACTATTTCTATTCATAGATAACGTGGTCTTCTATATAGAAAATACTAAGGAATCCACAAAAATCTACTGTTATTTCTTTCTATTAGCAATAAGCATTCTAAAATGAAATTAAGAAAACAATTACATTTCCAAAGCATGAAAAAGAATAAAATACTTAGGAATAAATTTAACAAAAGAATTGTAAGACTTATACATGGAAAACTGCCAAACATCATTGAAGATAATTTAAAAAGACCTAAACAAATGGAAAGACATCTGTGTTCATAGATAGAAGACTTAGTATCATTAAAATGCCAATACTCCCAAAATGAATCTATAGATTCCATACATTCCTTATTGAAACCCCAGGTGCCTGTTTGGCAGAAATTGACAAGTTCATCCTAAAATTCATATGAAAATGCTGAAATAGGAATAATCAAAGCTATCTTCAAAAAGAAGAACAATGTTAAAAGAACACACTCCTCTGTGACAAAACTTACTAAAAAGCTATAGTAGTCAAGACAGTGTGGTACTGGCATAAGTACAGACACATAGATCAATGGAATATAATTGAAAGCCCAGAAATAAACCTTTACATTTATAGTAACTTGATTTTCAATAAGGCCATCAAGACAATTCCATGGGGGAAAGAATAGCCTTTTGAATAAATGGTCCTGGGATGTTGGACACCTATCTCATGCCAAAAACAAAAATTAATTTAAAGGAATCATAAGCCTGGAGGTAGGAGCTAACATTATAAAACTCTTAGAAGAAAACATATGAGTAAATCTTTGTGACTTAGATTAGGCAATAATTTTTTAGATATAACACCAAAAGCACAAGTGACAAAAAAAAAGATAAATTGTACTTCATCAAAATCAGAAAATTTACTGCTTCAAATGACATCATCAAGAAGTGAAAAGACAACTCAGAAGGGGAGAAAATTTCTGCAAGTCAAATATTTGATAAGGAATTGGTATTCAAAATATATCAACTCTTACAACTCAATAATAAAAAGATAAATAACCCATTTTTAATGGAGAAAGAATTTGAATAGACATTTCTCCAAAGAAGATGTACAAATAACCAGTAAGCATATTGAAAGATGCCCAAGATTAGCCACCAGAGAGATGCAAATCAAAACCACAAATGTCACTCACATCTACTAGAATGACTAGAATAAAAAAGATCATGAGTGCTGGCAAGGATGTTGACAAATCAGTAACCTCATACATTGCTGGTAGGAATGTAAAATTGTGCAGCTGCTTTGGAAAATAGTCTGGCAGTTCCTCAAAGGGTTAAAAAATAGTTACCATATGACCCAGCAATTCCACTCATAGGTATATACCCAAGATAAATGAAATTTAACATAAATTTCCACATAAAAACATATATGTGAATGTTCACAGCAACATCATTCATCAGAGACAAAAAGTGAAATCAACCCAAATCTTCATCAACTGATGAATGGATAAATAAAATGTGGTAATATCCATATAATGGAATAAACTATTATCCAGAAATAAAAAGAAATGAAGTGCTAACATATGCTACAACATGGATGAACCTTTAAAACATTATGCCAAGTAAAAGAAGCCAGTTTAAAAAGACCACATATTGTATAATTTCAGTTATATGAAAGATCTAAAATAGGCAAATCTATATAGCTAGAAAGTAGGTTAGTGGTTGCCTAGGACTGGGGGATATGGTGAAGGGAATGGAGAGTGACTGTGAATGAGCATGAGGTTTATTTTTAGGGTAATTAAAATGTTCTAAATGATAAGAGTGGTGACGATTTCACAATTTTGTGAATATACTAAAACAATTAAATTGTACACTTCAAATGGGTGAATTTTATGGCATGTAAACCATTTTTCATAAAGATATTTTTTAAAGATTTAAAAAATATAGCTTTTTTGGACTAAAAATAATATATGTTCATTATAGAATGTTGCATAAAACACAAGTACAAAAGAGAAAACAAAAAATGCCTACAATCCTATCATTCAGAGGTTACCAGTAATTACTGTTCATATTATGATAATAATAATAATAATACATCCTATCTTTTAAATCTCCATATAGTTAAACAACTGGGGCTCATGCTACACATACAAGCTACTATTTTGCTTTTTAAAATTTTAACATGATAGTGCGGGTATTTTCCCAAGTCATTAAAAATTTAAATAAATACTCTTAACGGTTGTAAATATTTACGGCTAGTTACTGGGAGATCCAGGATTGCAATAGTGTTTTGAATGCTTTGATTAATTGCCAGGCCCCTACAGACTAGACCTGAAAGGTAACTGCCCAACCTTTGCATGAAGTCAGACTCCATTAATACTTCTTGTATAGAGTGTGTATTACCTTGGACAATTATCTCACCTCTCTGGACTTCTGTTTAGTCACCCCTATATGCTGTGATTGGTAGATGATGGCCAAAGTCCCTGCCAGAGCTAACCCTCCAAAGAAGTCTTAATAAGATCTCTAAGTCAGGGATACAGGAAAGTAGAAGGAATTAGCTCACCGTGCAAGTGTATTCATCACCATCCCTTCCTTCTTGATGGAGAGGCAGGTGAGGTCACAGGTGGCAGAATAAATCAATGACCTCAGCCTGAGGCTACAGATACTTTGACACAAGGAACTTAAGGCCCACGAGTCAACCACATAGTGGAATGTGCCCAGGCCTTTGTTAATAATTAGACCCAAGTTCAAGTCCTGGGTTGTAAGACTGTCAGCTGTGTAGCCTTTGGTAAATACTTAACCTTCTCTCAGCCTTGGTTTCCTCCTCTGCTAAATACTGTAATGTTAGTATCTAACTCAGAGGTCATTGTGGGGTTAAATACCTTATGCAAAAGTACCTGGGTCCACCCTAGCATATGGTATGTGTTCAGTAAATACCTGTTCTTTTTCTAACATGCTTTTTTTTTTCAAATTCCTAACTTGAAAAAGTTTAGACAGTTTAGAAGTAATAGAACAGCTACACAAAAAAGTATCCATCAAAATTTCTCTGGAGGACTCAATTAAGATTCCCCAGAATGTAGACAGCCTTTGATACGGCAACTTAAAGACTGCTCAGAATTTGAGTGGGAGCAGTGACTCTATTTCTTGCCTCCTTGCTTATTACACAGGGAATCCCCTTCTCCAAACATATATGACTTAGATCTATTCATGCAGTCTATAGTCTTAGATCTGTAAGTGCAGTGTGGTATATGCATAAGAAAAATGAAGTGCATGAACTTTAGATTCAGAAAGAATGGGTTTGAATCCTGAGTCTTGTGCTTGTTAGCTATGTCCTTAGTCAAATTATTTAACTTGTTGGTTTTCTCATATAGAAGAGGGGCAGTAATAACAATTAAAATAGAGGTAAAGATTAAAGTGACATATGTAAAGTGCCAGGCACATGGTGAGAGGCTAATAAATGGCCACTATGACTACTCAGCCTGCCACGTCATAAAGCTGATGTTCTGTGCAGAGGAAAAGAAACCTCATCAATAGTAAGAGCCACATCTATCAGGAGAAAGCTGTCAGTCTCTGAAGCATGTTCTTTTTTCAAGCCCAGAGAGACTCCACTTCACCACCTTATCTTGCCCAAGGCTCCAAGCGTATGTTCCTGATGCTTCTTTAAATCCCCAAAGTGCGAAGGCATGCCTGATATATTTGACATTCAGTAAATATTAATGAATGATGACTTTTCTGTGGTGAAATGCACCCCACTTTCACTGTTCCTTTCGGATTTGCACTTACTTGGATACTTGTGGATGATTCTGAAGAGCTGGTTGTTCACATCTGTCTCTGTTATGTGGCAGAGATATTTCTCATTTAACTTGACAGGGTATTTCAGGATGGAGAACACCCTGTAGAAGCCATTCATCTGCTCCTCCAGGATTTCCACGATGCTGTGGTTGCTCAGGTCCCTCTCTGTCCGGTCCAGCCATGTCACAATGGGCGTGAGGTACTAGTCCTTTGAGATGCATGTGGCCACATCCTCATCATCAATCCTGTCAAATTGCACCTGGGGCATTTCAGAGTCTGATTGGAAAAAATAACAAAACAATTAGTTCCTTTTTTATTTCAGCCCCAAGAGGCTCAGGCTAGCAGAATACATGCTCTCGCTTTTTACATTAACCCGTTATGTAGGCAATATATCTTGAGATTCACTGTAGTTAAAATTTTGATCCAAGCATAGTAAGAGAAGAACAGGATACATGTATGCTCCTGCCTTTCAGTTCTCATCTATCACTGCTGCCTTTATCTTTTGGAATCTTCCCCTCTTTGAGTGGATTCATTCCAGATTCACCACTGAACTCCACATACCCTGCTGAGAACCACAGAAGATAACGAATTATTCTCACAACCACCACCTTCTCATGTCTTCCAACTCTTATCCTGGAGGAATTCTGCCATGCCTTCCCCAATCCCTGAAAGTCTCTGATGGGGGAAAAGCTCTTCATGCAATCCTGTGAAGGGTAAGGATCCCTGGATCACTACGGAGATCCACTGATCCAGTCCAACCTACATTTTAATAGTGAGAAAAGTGAAGCCTAGAAAAGCTAAATGAGTTACCCAAAGTCATCCAAAATTAGAATATGGGCCTCCTGACTCCCAATGCGGGGCTCTTCTCACTAAACCATATGTCATATCT
The DNA here is from genome assembly GCF_000001405.40 of Homo sapiens. NCBI lineage: Eukaryota > Metazoa > Chordata > Mammalia > Primates > Hominidae > Homo > Homo sapiens. The sequence goes on along the minus strand of NC_000003.12, from coordinate 120,367,187 downwards.
CAGCGTTTTCATGTAAGACTGTTATATCATATTTTGATTTTTCAGTGTTACAACTTGTTTGGAGAGTTTTTGATAGACCAGTGCTTGTTGTTGTTGTTGTTGTTAATGTTTTGTTTGTCTGTGTGAATGAATAATGTATACAGGTATAGATACAGCATCTTTCGCTCAGGGCAATATTTTTAGCTAAGACGAATTGACGTGTTGGGAATAAGAAGAACTGATAATAATTTGAGTAAAAGGGGAAAAGTGAGAGAACTAGATAAGTTGTCACTGTTATAACTTATGAATAGAGACAGAGCTTGAAATCAAGTTCATTCAATAAATTCCCTTACCTTCTACTATTAGCTTAATTGTACTTTCACCTCTTCCATCTGGTGTGATGGCTGAGCACTTGTAGATAGCTTCATCCATGAAATCCACATTTCTTAGTAAAAGTGATAGAGTCCCCTCAGAAATTTCAGCCTGGTCCACAGATACTCTTCCCTCATACAAGGAATTTTGATCTTCTAGTTGCTCTGTGTTATTGTGAAACTGGTAAACCAACTTCGAGAAAACTTCAAAAAAATCAAGGTACTTGAAAAGGAGGTAATATTCTTTATTATCCTCTACCTCATATGCCTGTTTGATGTCTTCTCTTTCCCAAGAAAACTCAAGATTTTCAGTGCCCTTCACAAAGGAGAAATGACAGGAGAGGGTAACATCAGTGAATGGGTGGGCCCGCAGCTCCTCTGTAGACACCGAGAATGTCAAAGAAGAAATGAAGTTAATAAAGACCAATCAGCACTGCATCAGGTAAGATTTAATAAGCGATAAAAGAAATCACTCTAGCTATTTCATGCATAAGGGATTTAGTACAGAGAACTAGACACTTACAAAATCATTGGGAGGCTGAAGAAATGAGCCCAAAGAAGGGCATGGAAGGTGAGATGTGTAATATCTGTGTCTGTCCTCCCCCACATTATGCTAGGCTCAACAACACTGCAGTACTGGTCTTCTGGAAGAACAGTTGCCTCTGCCTTATCAAGAAGCTGGTGATGCAGGAAGTCATCACCACGGGTGTTGCTTCCATAGCCAATCTGCACCTGCTAGATTGCACTGGCCAATGAAAGAATGCGTCATGCACTATAACCTTTCTCCCCACTTCAATCAGTTGCCATTTAATTCTTGAGAAAATATATCTGATTGGCAGACTCTAAGTCATTCCCAGAACCCTAACTGCAAAGGAATCTTGGAAATATGTTTTACTCTCCAGTTTCAGCAATCCAGGAATGCACATCAGAAAGGCGGGAAAAGATGTTCAGTAAGTAAGTCTATTCTACCTGCCACAAATATCTACCAATCTGGGCAGAGCTATCCATAGCAGGACCTGAGGGCTATAGGGAATATAGCCATGCACTATGTATATTCATAGAATAATGACATGGAATAGAATGCTGATGTGTTATATTTGCAAGAAAGCTTACAGATCCTCTGATTCAATGTTTTTGAACTATTTTCCCCAAAGCCCACCTCATAGGTTGCCACTGATGACCAGGTGAAGAGCAAGTCAGTGAGATCTCCACTCCCTTAACACTTCAATCAGAACAATCCCTCCCTAATTTACTTTATAAATTAGGCTTCCAAATTGAATTCTTCTGTAAAATGTCTCTGCTACTAAAAGACAAAACTGATTCCCAGGAAGCACAATTGCTTAAGATCACAAAGTAAGATACTAGTACCACTGCAAAAAGAAACGAGACCTCTCAGAATTTAAAAAGAACCATTAGGGTCATGGTTACCAAACTTTCGAACATAAAAGACTAATTAAATTCTCAGCTTGAGTAAGAGAGAATAATGAGACTTAAACATTATGAAAATATGGACTCCAGTAGGAAGGCATTTTTTTTCCTTCTAGAGACACTATGCAGGTAACAAACAAGCAGTGGAAAGGCAGAAGAGTTGGTCAGTGTGAGCCTAAATAAGACTACTATTTGATATTTCATCTCACCTCATTATATCAAATAAGGTGAGATGAAATAGAAGGCAAAATAGGTTATGCACCAAGACCAAATTCAAATGGTAACTTAGTAGACAAGGAAGCTTCCAAGCCATCAGCCAAGCAAAGAACAGCCTAAGAGACATGTAATAGAGAACATTCCAGATGAATGACAGATACAATCTGCTCATTCCAGTAGTGATAATCACGTGGCTGTTGATGGGGGTGCCCAGATATTTGGTCAGACATTATTCTGAATGTGTCTATGAGGGTGTTTCTGGATAAGATTAACATTTGAGTGGACAGACTGAGTAAAACAGATTGTCTTCCCTAATGTAGGTGCCCTCATCTAATCAGTTGAAGTTCTAAATAGAACAAAAAAGCCAACCTTCCTTCAAGTAAGAGGGAACTCCTGCTTTTACTGCTTGAGCAGTCTTTTCCTGCCTTCAGACTCAGACTAGAACTATACCATAGACTGTTCTGCACCTCCAGCTCGCTGACTGCAGATCTTGGGACTTCTCAACCTCCACAAGCACAGCTGCATGACCCAATTTCTTCAAAAAAAAAATCAGGCTCTCTCTCCCTCTCTCTCTACCCCCCCGCCAACCCCCTCTCTCTCTCTTTTCCAGTTTGTTCTGTTTCTCTGGAGAACTCTGACCATATCTGGTAACATTTATCAAGTATTTACAATGTTCTAAACATATTCTAGGAGCTTTTCTGGCATTAATTCATTTAATCTGATACTAACACTGAGGCAGGTAATTATCCCCAATTTACTACTGAGAAAACCAAGGCACAGTGGGTGAAGTAAGTTACTCAAGGATACACAGCTAGTGAGCAGTAGAGCTGTCATTCAATGCTAGGCAGTCTGACTCCAAAGCTCTCCAACTGAAATGTGCTCTTTTGTCTCCTAATAGTAGGCACTGGTTCGAAGTTTGATGAATGAATCAGTGACTAATTAAATGAATTAATGACTACAAGACAGGCTGGAAAGGAGGCAAAGAGAAATAACTTGCATAACCTTTAGAAGGATTGATTTGCAAGTAAAAACCTGAAGTGCTTTCTTGCTCAAATTATTTTTCTGAAGTGGTTATCACCAAAAAGCAGTGTTTTATAATTTTTGTGGGACTTTATTTTTGTAAAATCCTGGTCTGACGAATTGTAAATCCAAGTTCTAGTTCTAAGTACCCCCTTACTAATCATTTGGCATCAGGAAAGGCACTTAATCTCTCTGAGTTATAGCTTCCTTGTGTATAATTAGAATTATAACACCTGTCCGAGGTTTTAATGAAATACCATGGGATCTTACAGACTGTTTTTATATGACATGGCTCGGTCATTTTCCAGAAGGACAGGAGTAAAGTAGATGAGTGGACACTTTAGTAAGCTGTTCCCCCACCCCAATGTCTCTCACAAGAATATGTAGTTTACCCATGAGTGGTCCTTGATTCTACCTTCTCCAGTTGTACTCAGGAGTTCTTGCTACAGTTGTACCCTTTCTGGCCCAAGGGAAGGGGTCTCAAACTCAGGGATCCAAAGGCTCTAGCCAATGCATCATGAAACACAACTTCCTGCTGATGTAACTAGTATAAAGGACAATTTCTAACTGATATGTCTGCAGATGGCCCTGCTTGAATCTGAGTAACTCCTTTGTCTATTTCAATCTGTGTTATTTCTAAACCATGTGTCTTTAGCTTCCCAAGCCTTAAGAGGCCGAGGCAAAAGCTCAGAAAAAGGTTAATAATGTGGGAAAACACTTAGAAAAATGTAGAAAGATACTGTCTAACGCATCTGCCATGGTACCTAGCACATAGTATTAAGTTCTTAATATTGCTACAAAATGTGAGATTAGAATCAACAGATCATTCTCTTTCTTGCCTACATACATACCTATTCCTTTATTTGGTTGAGTTTTTCCTAACTATGAGTGGATTACCACCTTACTTTTCTTACTGCTCTCCTCTACCCGCACACACACACACACCCCCCAACACCCAGCCCCCCCGCCCTCCTCCCCACCACACACACACACACACACACACACACACACACACAGAATAATCAAACATCAAGAGAAAAGAGCCAGCAAATGTAACCTGGGTTGACCAGGCCTTGTACTAACTCCTGAGTTGAACTCTGGAGCCTGAGGATGCCTTCAAGCTGCTGCCACCTTTAAGGGACTGACAGAACTGCTGCAGGTCTCTGGAAGATGGCATAAGCCTGAAGACTATAAATGTGTTTGATCACTTTATGGAGTAGTTATACAGCCAGATTTGGGATACACAGTGTTTTTTTAAAAAACTTTTGCTTATGGACTTTTGGTTAGCTGAATCATATTAACATTTCCAACATCTGTATATTGTTTGTCACCAAGAGAGTTGAAGATTTGAGTACAAAAAGACTTACATAAACCCTTTGTTGACTGCCCATCCAGATTTTTCAGGACAGACCTGATTTCAAATATTTTGGATGCTACACTATAAATTGGCACTTGTCAGAGTCACTTGAAAGTGGGTGTCTAGTATTGTTTTGTTTGGTTTGGTTGGGAGGTTCACACTATAGATACGACTGAGATTAGTCATTCAGATATGGCTTCAAATGGACAAACCAAATTGGGGGGGGTGGGGTGGAAGTTTTTCTCATTTAAAAAAAGAAAGCAGAATAAACAATAATGATTTATAATATGTGTCTGTTATTTTCTCCCATCTGCTCTTAACCATTTCCTATGAAGTAAATATAGATTTTTAAAATAAATACAATTTTTCCTGTAAAAAATAAATTTGTTATTTTCATATAACAAATGAAAAGAATGAGATTCAGAGAGATTATGTCGTTTATCTCCAAACAAATGTTTTCCTCACTATCCCCAAAGCTATTTCATAAATGCCCACAAAGTTTTTTGAAAAATGACTCACCTGCACTGTGAAGAAGTATGTTAACAGTCACCAAAAAGAAGGACATTTTGTAAGGAACAAAATGAAAGGCAGAAAATTTGGTTCAGCCAAGAAAGTGTGGGGCAGCATAACCATGGAACCACCTGCTGCTGGGACCCAGGATGGCCCTCACAGACACCCCCTTTAGATTCCATGCCCACCAGTGCACCTTTAGTAGACAGGCTTCCAGCACCTCAGTACCCCATGTGGGAATGTCTACTGAGTCAAGTTCACACAGCCTAATCTTGTGCATGTTTGTTTGTTTTGCTGTACGAACCAGGAGCTCTCTTTCTATAATATGAAAATCTGCCTCTCTAACTGAGTCACAGTTGAAGTCATTTGGATCTGAAGTCAGCCCTGAAGATATATGAGGGACAAAAGACAGTTTCCTATGCTTCCCAAGCCATGTTCACTGGCCTTTCTGGATGTTGCTGGTGCAAGTCTAAAGTGGAAGACATTTAACTAGTAGATATACAAGTGTATCTTCGAAGTCATGGTGCAATGCTTCCCAAATGGAGAAAAATAACCAAGAGACAGTACTAAATGAGTCTGCCCAGCCAGGGCCATAGTTTAATAGGAATGGCATTAACAAGCTCAGGATAGCTTTGGAAGCGGTAGAAGAAAGGAATTAGCAACTCTCAGCCCTTTCAAGAAACTCTGACACAAATGCACATCTACATATAGGTAAAGCCACTGATTCTCACAGAATCCAGCCTCCCTCTCTGGCCTCATCTCTCACTATTCCCCCGCACTTTACGTCCCACCTACCATCCCAAAGTTGTGGTGCTGTCCAAATCCTCTGTGCCTGGCACATCCCTTATCACCACTGCCTTCATCCACTCCCCAACTACTCACTTACTCAAAACTCTGCCCAAGGCTGGGCTCCGTGGCTCGTGCCTGTAATCCCAGCATTTTGGAAGGCTGAAGCAGGCAGATTACTTGAGGCCAGGAATCTGAGATCAGCCTGGCCAACATAGCAAAACCCCGTCTCTAATAAAAATACAAAAAATTAGCTGGGCCCTGGTGGTGCATGCCTGTAATCCCAGCTACTCGGGTGGCTGAAGCATGAAAATCGCTTGAACCCGGTAGGCAGAGGTTGCAGTAAGCCGAGATCGCGCCACTGCACTCCAGCACGGGTGACACAGTGAGACCCTGTCTCAAAACAAAACAAAACAAAACAAAACAAAAAAACAACTCTGCCCAAGTAGCACTTCTCAAGCCCTCCCGCACCCATATGCAGTTCATCATTCCTTCTTCTTTATTTTGAACATACTTTTATTGCTGCATGAATCACACTGCATGACAATTATTTCTTTACTTGTTCTTTGGCCCCTCACTATTTCCAAGAAAACAAAGGTAACATAATCGTACTCTCTCAGCATATGTTCGTTTCTCCTCTTCTTCCTGTTATCTATTTAAGATTTTTAAAAAATCTGCTACAGTCCATCGAGTCTATCTATGATACATCATAATAATAGCAACTTTACATCAAATGTTTACAAATGCCAAATCTAATCTATAAAATGAGCCTATAAAGTAGGTACTACTATTATCTTCATTTTATAAGTGAGAAACAAAGGCAGAAGGAAAATAAATAATTCATCCAGGTTACACAGAGACAAGACTCTCACTCTGTAGGTTAGCTGAAGCCTGTACATTCCACCTAAACTCTGACCTGACAAACCTCTGCTATGTCACCCGCACACCATGGGAAGCCACATCACCCAGGGCATCTACCAAAACAGGACGCTCATGGGCTGATGAAGCAGCTGACTTTCAGAATATTATAGGAACTCTCTTTCTAGAGCCTATTAGACGCTGAAAAATATGTGCTCTGTGGGTTGAACCGTAACAGATACAGAAATCTTCAGAAGAAAAGAAGGACAAACGAGTAGCCATTCCAGCCAATGACCAAATAAAGCATTTCTGCGTTCAGTGGGACAAGTAGTAAGATTCTTTGCCAAGTCTATATACTCTATGAATCTGATTAGTGATTGACATCATCTTCTGATTTAGAAAATATCTCTTCATGGTACATGTAGTAAAATATTTTAAAGACATATCTAAAATAATATAAATTTTAAAAGATAATACGGCAGATAGCAGCTACTAGAGCTATAGGTCTTTTTTTTTTTTTTTTTTTTTTGAGACAGAGTCTTGCTCTGTTGCCCAGGCTGGAGTGCAATGACGCAATTGCGGCTCACTGCAACCTCCATCTCCAGGGTTCAAGAGATTCTTCTGCCTTGGCCTTCCCAGTAGCTGGGATTACAGGTGTATGCCACCACGCCCAGCTAATTTTTGTAATTTTTAGTAGAGATGTGGTTTCCCCATGTTGCCCAAGCTGGTCTTGAACTCCTGGCTCAAGTGATCTGCCCGCCTCAGCCTCCCAAAGTGCTGGGGTTATAGGCATGAACCACCACGCCCAGCCTATCATTAATAGAGACAGAGACTATAGTCAAATGTCATGGGAAAAAAAAATTGTAGAAATATAATGTCTTTTCAATTCAGTAAAACTTTATTACTATTTCTAAGATATAGAAGCTTTTCAGCCGGGCGCAGTGACTCACGCCTGTAATCCCAACACTTCAGGAGGTCAAGGTGGGTGGATCACCTGAGGTCAGAGGTTTGAGACCAGCCTGGCCAACACGGTGAAACCCTGTCTCTACTAAAAATACAAAAAATTAGCTGGGCGTGGTGGTGCATGCCTGTAATCCCAGCTACTCAGGAGGCTGAGGCAGAAGAATCACTTGAACCCAGGAGGTAGAGGTTGCAGTGAGCCAAGATCGTGCCATTGCACTCCCGCCTGGGCAATAAGAGCAAAACTCTGTCTCAAAAACAAACAAACAAACAAACAAACAAACAAAAAAACAAGCCATGCATGGTGGCTTATGCCTGTAATCCCAGCACTTTGGGAGTTTCAGGCAGGTGGATCACGAGGTCAAGAGATTGAGACCATCCTGGCCAACATGGTGAAACCTCATCTCTACTAAAAATACAAAAATTAGCTGGGAGTGGTGGCGTGCGCCTGTAGTCCCAGCTACTTGGGAAGCTGAGGCAGGAGAATCGCTTGAATCAGGGAGGCAGAGGTTGCAGTAAGCCAAGATCGTGCCACTGCACTCCAGCCTGGTGACAGAGTGAGACTCTGTCTAAAAAAAAAAAAAAAAAAAAAAAAATTTTTCATCATTCTGAAAGACATAAATCCTAAAGCCTTTCTAATTCCCCCACCCCAGTCAGTTATGATCTTTGCTCCTCAGCACTTGCACTACATTTTCTATTGTTACATGACACTCTCATTTAATAAAGCTTACTTTTATTTATCCTAATAGTAGCAGTTTCACTGTAAATAACTTTTTGAAAAAATAGAAAAGAATAAAGAACATTAAAATCCCTTTTAATTCATCACCCAGACAGCCACTACTACCATTTTAGAGTATTCCAGTTTTTTACATGTGTACTTTTTCAGAAAACTCAATTTGTATATACAGTTTAGTGACTAGTTTAATTTTTTCCTCATGACACTATTTTGTGAGTATTTCTCCTTCATTAAATATTCTTATAGCCTGGTCTACTTTGTCTTGCAGTTATTTATATGCCTATCTAATCAGCCCTGCTAGACTATAAGTTCCCTAAGCGCATGGCTAGGTCCTCTTTGTCTTTCATATATCCATCATGGTGTTCTACAAGTTGTAGGCACCCAATAAGTATTTGTTGAATTAACTGAATTGAATTGAATTTGGTGTAAGATTCTTACAAAGTTTCACTTTATAACAGGAACAAGAGGCCGGGTGTGGTGGCTCACACCTGTAATCACAGCACTTTGGGAGGCCGAGGCGGATGGATCACCTGAGGTCAGGAGTTTGAGACCAGCCTGGCCAACAAGGTGAAACCCCATCTCTACTAAAAATACAAAAAATTAGCCAGGCATGCATCGTGGCGGGCTCCTGTAATCCCAGCTACTCGGGAGGCTGAGGCAGGAGAATTGCTTGAACCTGGGAGGTGGAGGTTGCAGTGAGCCCAGATTGCACCACTGCACTCCAGCCTGGGCAACAAGAGTTAAACTCCATCTGAAAAAAAAACAAACAAAACAAAAACCAGGAACAAGAAAAAAGAAAAACAACAAAGACAGAAAAAAAAATCATATACTACTAAAGACAAGTATAAACTATCCCAAAACAGAAAATTCTAGCAGTGCACACAGATTTTGCATTGTACCCTTTTCACCTCTGGTTTGTAGAAAAACAATGAGAACTCTAATGAACCAGCTCTAGGTGGCAACAAAGTGTAAAGGGAATGTAGATACCTCAACACTTCAGTTACATTGTCAGTCATTTGACTCTCCAGTTTACAAACACAGTCAACAATTTCTCCCCAATAAATTGTCTCTTTATCAAAAGAGCTTACTTGTATTACAGCTGGTTCCTCTGATCCACCAGGTGAGAAGCAAGTGAGGTGGAGTCAGCATGTCTTTGAAGGGACACTTGTTGATGTCCCCAGGGAAAGTGCTTGGTGATACTGTTATTACCAAACTGTTGCTATAAAAGCTCAGCAAAGAGCTCCATGAGACTTAATATTTCAATGGCTGTATTTGTTAGCTAAAAAAAGTGTTTGCAAGGTATTATGGGAGAAGAGTGGAACAAAAGGAACTCCATAATTTTTCAATGTTGGGGAATTATTCTGCACCTATTTTTTCAAAGTAACATATTTGAAGAATAATTAAATAACATGGGAATAATGCTCACTATACAACTTTTGGTAAAAAAATTAAAATAGAAAACTTAATATACATATACATATATGTATGATTTCAACTTTGTGGGAAGAAATATGTACACATAGGAAAAGAAAGAAATACGCCAAAATGTAAACCATAGTTGTTTCTGGATGGCGAGAGTGTGTGTGATTTCAGTTGTTTTCCTTTCATATCTCTGAATTTTCTAAAGTGACCTTTTACATTTACATTAAAATAAATACTTTGTAACTGAAAAAATTAAGAAATGAAGAGACTGACTTTATACACATAATGTGGTACAGTGAGCGACAGTACAGGAAGGAGAGAGTGAGATTTGTTCTTTACTCTCTACTTCTTAGGGATAAGCATGGTTTGTATCTCCTGTTTGAAGCCTTTTCCATTACCCTGGAGGCTCAAGTTCAGCAGTGGCCAATTCTTTATTAGGGAACCCTTCTCTCTCCAACCCCACAGCACATGGGTTACATCTGGGTCTGAGCTGGGTTGACCTAGTCCTGACACTCAGCACAGTCTAGGTAAATGATAGAGAAGGGTTTGAAGGAACGCTTCCCTTGGTAAAGAGACTTATTACAACAGGGTAAATAAGAAGAAGACAAGAATAGGAGGCCTGTTGCTGGGAATGGGTGCCAGAGGCAGCTTCTCCCTAAGTTCCTCACCCCATCAGACTATGAATGAAGCAGTTAGTTCCTGGTTTTGCATCTCCAGGTCCTCTCAGTTTCTCAAATCACTTTTAGTGGCTGAGTGAAGGAAACAACTATGCAGTTTCAAAATAAAGCTATATCCATTAACACAACGTATTGAAGAATTTTTGTTTTGGATTTGTTGTTTAGCCCTGGTTTTGTTTTGGTTTTCTCAAGAAAACAACTGGAATATAACGGAATGAAATAATTATGACCAGTTTGTGTCACTTCTCGAATTCATACTATGGGGGCTGAGGCTTGACTTACATTTGACTTTCACCTGAAGCAGAGGAGGAATATCTTGATGCTAGCACAGTATTGAGAAACCATGAGGAATACTTTGTACTCAGATATAAGACTATTTCTACAGGTGCCACAATCCACAGACTCTCCCAAGCCTTGCAGTCTTCGTGAAAAGACTGCAAGGCTAATAAAGAACACAAGTTAAGGAAATGGGATCTGGAGCTTCCAGTGAGGGCAGAATCAGAGGTGATCTCCTACCTAGTATTCATACCTCTTTCTCCAAGGCCTAGACACACCTATCATTTCAAAGTCTACTACTCTTCCTCTGTGCTGTATCTTAACAGTACACCTTAGATTTTTGGGGGCAAAGTTAAAATTTTAAATATTTTCTCCCATAATTATCTAAAGCATATCAATATTTGTCTATTCTAACCATCAGCACTAAGCATGCCAACCAAACCAGACCCCTTACCATTTCCCAAATATATGCTATAATTTTCTCCTTTTTGCTATGCTTTGTAAGAAATATTTTCTTTTTTCCTTCAATTTTGTATATTTCATCCCAGCTCTATCCAAATCCCATTGTCCTCTGAAAGCTATCCTAACTGTGGTAGCCTAAATGGTCTTTTTCCTCTGAACTTTGATAGCTTTTGGTTATGTTTCTGTATGAGTTACCAAATGTTATTTTATATTTTAGTTACTTTGGGTTCATGTTTTTAAAAATAACTTTATTGATATATACTTCATATATTTTCCTATCATACAATTTACTTACTTAAAGTGTACAGTTCAATGATTTTTTAGTAGTATATTCATAGTTGTACAACCATCACCACAATGAATTTTAGAACAATTTCATCCTGCCAAAAAGAAACCCTGTACTCATTAGCAACCACTGCCCATTCTCCCTTCCCTCTAGCTCTCGGCAACCACTAATCTACTTTCTGTCTCTAAAGATTTGCCTATTTTGGAGGATTTCATATAAATAGAATCATACAGTAGGTGTTCTTTTATGACTGGTTTCTTTCACTTATGTGTCAGAATAATGTTTCCAAGATTCATCCATGTTGTAACATGTATCAGCACTTCATTTCTTTTTGTTGCTGAATAATGTTCTATTGTATGTAAATACCACATTTTATTTATCCTTCATCAGTTGGTAGAGATTTGGTTTGATTCTATTTTTTGACTATGATGAAAAATGCTGTTATGAACACTCATGTGTAAGTTTTTGTGACGACGTATGTTTTCATTTCTGTTGGGTATATACCTGGGAGTAGAACTGCTGGATCATATGGTAACTATTTTTTTTAACCTTTTGAAGAACAGCCAGACTATTTTCCAAAGTGGCTGCACCACTTTTTCATCCCCAGTATTGGTCTATAAGGGTTCCAATTTCTCTACATCTGCACCATCACTTACTAGCTGTCTTTTATATTTTAGCCATCTTAGTGGGTATGAGTAGTAGCTCACTGTGATTTTAATTTGTATTTCCCTGATGGCTAATGATGTTGATCACCTTTTCATGTGTTTATCAGTGATTTTTATATCTTTTTTGGAGAAATGTCTACTCAGATCTTTTGCCCTTTTTAACTTGGATTTCTTTATAGGTTCATGTTTAATCTCTGTTACCAGACAGTAAATCTCTTGAAGGCAGTGATTGTATTTGAACAAAATCATGAACATTTTACTATGTTGTTATCCAGCACACCATAAATATGTGACTTGGCAAGTTAGTTAATTTTCCCACATCTCGGTTTTCTTGTCTGAAGAATGATGATAATAATATGTACCTTATAGAAGGGATGTGAGGATTAAATAAAAATAATCCCTAGACAGAGCCCCTAGGACAGTGCCTGGCACTTATAAAATAACCAATAAACATTACCTATTATTCTTACTAGTTTTTATACCTTGCAATATATAGTACAGTTTCTTACACACAGTAGGTACTCAATGTCTATCTGTGAATGAATTAGGGATTAAAATTATTTTAGCTCATTTATAGTTGTAGTTATGACTAGCTATCTATGAAAAGGTCAAACAAGCCAATATGGAACCAACATAAGCTGAGCAAGTGGATAAAATTTAAAAGATAGTCACTTCAACTCCCAAAACAATCAATAAGGAAAACACCGCACCGGGTCTAAGATAAACCCCTAAATGGAGTGAATTCAACGGGAGTAGCCATGAAGATGCTTTTATAGCTCTAACAAATGCTTAGTCAAAGACTCCAAAGATATCCAAAGATGTCATTATTTGAATCTTCAAAATAAAAGGGACTAAACTTCGATAAAGAAGCCCGGAGACATATTTCAGGAGACATTTTAATCTATCAATTCTACAGCAATAGCAAACTGTGGCAGAGGAAGAACTGCTGAAAATCAAACTGCTAGACCTTATATCACAAAACTGGCTGAAGACTTACTCTTGGTCCCTATAAATATAGAAGCCAACTCCTCCTCAGGATCGATTGAAAGACTATAGCTCCTTCTACTTTCAATGCTGCCCTAAACATAGAGTAACCGGTTTTTGAGATTTGGACAATTGGCAGGGAGATGGCAGAACTTTAAACCATCCTAGGCCAATATGGATAAACCAGACTGAGAGGGATTTAGCAGTGGAAATAAATCAAAACCTTGCATGCTAGCCTAAGCAACTGGCCTTCATCTGATAAGCAATGAGGAAACATGGGGTAAAGGCAGGAGGAAAAGAGATGGGTTGAAATCATGAAAGCAGTGCTTTAGAAAGGACAGTCTGAATCAGAGGTGGCTAAAATAAAGGTAGGAGTGGGTTTAGCAGGCATGAGGTCCTGATATACCTTGAAGACAAAAAAGACAATAAGCATAAATCTTGGGCAAGAGAGGTCAGACCAACCTCCCAAATCCTAATCCCTAAGACACAGAATGGCCCAGAGCAGAGGACCATGGTTTATGTAGGAAATTGTGCAATCATGAGTAAAGACTGTTCTCAACTTTGTTTTTCTACCCTGATCATGATATAACAAGTGGCAGAGAGCAATAGTTATAACATTAACTACTATTACAGCTAATAATAATAATTGCCACTACTTACAGAGTATTGACTTTGTGCTAGGTACTATGCTAAGCACTTTAGATTTTCACCTTACAATGACCCTATGGAACAGATAATATATTTTATAATACAGATGATGAAATCAAGCCTTACAGAAATTAAGTAACAAAATCAAGATTAAGTAAGAGAAATCTGATTTCCAGAGGTGGGTTTTGAAACCTGTATCTGATAAAAACCAAAGCCCACTCTTTTAACTGCATCAGTATGCTGCCTCCTAACTAGAATGGTTTATGAAAGGATTCTCTACTTAGATTATTTCTTGTTTTTTCTGCAGTCAGTAGGTCAATAGGGCCTATTTAAGTAAGGTATGTCAAAAACTATTCATGCATTTATTGCGTTCACTCACTATTTGCTGCCTACGATGTCTTGGGGGATACCATGGTAAACAGATGCAGTTCCTGCCTTCAGGAAGCCTAGAAAGGGTAGCTGAAGGAGGAGGAGAATTCATTTGGTCTCCTAAATGTCCAATACTATTCCAGTCAAGAGACTTATCTTGAAATGTATTCAATTGGCCAAGCCTGACATAATGGTGAAGTTCTGATAAGTGGACAAACAGGCCATGTACTTTCCCAGTTCCCTGTAACCCATGTTCCTTTCCCTATGTAACATATTCTGTTGTCTCCTCTGTCCTTTACCTTCTCCAGTGCCTCCACTCCCCTCTCAGGCATCTCTTTCAGCTAGCCACAGATGAACCCCATCACTGTGGGGGTTCACAAGCCACCACAGCTCTTTTACCTCCCAGAAAGTTTTCAGTATTCTCCAGGCTGACTGGAGGGTTTCAAGGGCCACTGTAAGATTGGGGGATGCTGCTTCATTTAAACCCATCTGGCTGCAGTGAAAAGAGATACATCCACGTTAGCTAAGATAGAGAAGGGTTATTATACTGGGCAGTAAGAAGATGCTCACATTTAATCCAGCTGTTAACAAGTTGGCCTCAGTGAAGCTGCACCTGGTGCGTTACTCTGGATATGAGGCAGTCCTAGATTTCAGCAGCAATATTTTATGAATCTTCACACTTATGTTTCACAATTGACAAAAAATTAGCGACATTCCCCATGTCTGCTTCTTTCTGATTCAACTGTAATTTCTTTCTGATCTGCCACCAACTGGAATTTCCCTCTGGGTTCTTTGGATTAAATTCCTGGGCGAGTGAGAAAAAAAAATAATCTCTGCTTCTGTTTGGGCAGTGCCTTATAAGTGACAGGCCACCAGGCAGTCTGTTGATGGGCTTACCTTGGTCAGATGTCCACTATGGCTCCGATCAACATAGGTTCTAAAGTGACGTCATATGATACAAGGACAGCACCCCAAATTATGTTTGGTTCAGGTGCCTCTGCTCCAGTTTTGTGTATGAAGCCCACAAAACCCCCAATCCTTAAGACAAGTGCCGTATAATTCCAACAATCACAATATTTCAAAGTACCATCAATGGATAGATGCCACTTGTAATACTGACACTATTTGGAAGATCTTATTGCTTTGAATCATTTAAAACAAAAAACAAAAAAAACTAAGCTCAAGAGAGCAGTGTAGTGTAGTGGAAAGAACATAGACTTTGGAGCCACACAGCCCTAAGGCTGAATTTCTAATTAGCCTTTCACTCTCTGTGATAGCAGACTTTACTCATCATTTTTGAGCTTGAGTTCCCTCATTTCTAAAATGCGGATAAACATTCTTATTTATAAATGTGGCGATAAGTAGAATTACATTTTTTAAGGTTTGTGATAAAAGGTGTTTGATAAATAAAAATTCCTTTTCAACTAAAACTTAATATTTACAAATATATTCAGTGTTTCAAAAGATATAGAGTACCTGTACCTACTGTGGAGCAGGCACTGTTAGGGGATGGGTATATAATAATAAGACAGTTCTTTTCAAGGACTTTACAATTTACTCTAATTATTCAAAAAATAAGTCCACTAACTAAGAGATATATCCAACTCAGTCAATCCAAATTATTTGCAAGAAATCATACTAGGCAATGGGGGATGGTGGTGGTGTGAGGGAGAATCCAAAAATGAATAAAGATAGTCATTCTATGTAAGTAGGAACCTACTCTAATTGGACATGAGATGTGCATTTTACACTGAAATTTACAGTTTCCTTGCCAATAGCTTCAATGAGGCAGAAACACAGTTTTCAACTTTTAGAAAGCAGTTTCTCAGTTATCTTAGCTGCTCAATGGTCTGGTTACATTTATCCTAAATTCAACAACCAAATAGTTGGAGACTTTATTAAATTAAAAGCTCCTAGTACAGCGTTGCAAGCAGTAGGTTTTCAAAATTTGTCAGGTTACTCATTTCTTTACCTACACCACTTTTTTTCTACTTCCTTTCCTTTATTCTATATAATGTGGAGTTCCCATACTAAGTATTTTTTTCCAAACTTTCTACTAGGAAGCCTCATTTGCTATTATTGAGGTTATCTTTTTCCCTTTAATTCCACTGATTTGTAATCTTACCTCTTATTTTATTTTTCTTGAGACAAAAAAAAAAAAAAGTGCAGGGCAGTGGCACAATCATGGCTCTCTGCAACCTCTACCTCTTAGGCTGAAACAATCCTCCCAGCAGCCTGTGTAGTAGTTGGCACCACAGGCGAGCGCCACTAGGCCCGGCTAATTTTTGTATTTTTTGTAGAGACGGGGTTTCCCCATGTTGGCCAGGCTGGTCTGGAACTCCTGACCTCAGCGATCTGCTGGCCTGGGCCAAAGCACTGGGATTACAGGCATGAGCCATGGCACCTGGCCAACTCTTATTTCTGAATTATGTTTGAATCCTTTCTTTTTCTCATTTTACATTACGTTCCTATCACTTTTTAAAATCCAAGATAAATATTTTAAAGCAAAAACAACTATTATTTTAAATATTTGTTATTTTCAGATATTAGGACTACTGTTAGAATGCTGGCTTGACCCAAAATAAGGTCTGTTCTTAAAAGGACTCTTTCAAAACAGATGACTCATCAGTTTTAAAAAGCATTCCACCATTAGCTTAAACATACAAAGTACGTCCTTCTAGGACTACCACTCAATCAGAAATTAAAGTTTGACTGCAGAGTAAAGGCATAGTTTCTCATACAAATAAATGACTGGCAAGAAAAAAACGACTTTCCTTTTTTAAGGAGGAAAGCAATTTAATGTCGTTGATTATACACGACCACTTAACTTTCTTATGTATAAGCTTTGTTAAAAAAAAAAAAAGCTAAGCATTTTTTCTCATTTCTATTCATTACTTTTCAAAATCATAAAATGTAATTTCAGAAAAGATTGAGTTTGGGACAAGGATGAAAAATACGTTAATTAGAATTACTAAATTAGTACCAGATCAGGATTTTCCCAAACTGTAGTTTTGACCTGCAGTACAAACTCTATGCTTTGAGTTTTTAAACTAACTCATTAATTTGAGCTATCTCAAATCATGCAACCGCCTCCATATCTCCCAAATTCACTCCTAGACACAACTTACACCAAAAGCCACGTATGTGCTTCTACAATTAAAACGGGCAAAACGTCCTTACTTGATACACATTTCTGCCTTAAAAAAGAAAAAAATAATTCTGTGGGGCAAGTAGTGCGGGTGTTACCCATATTTTATGCATGGGGCAACTGAAATCAAATCCCTGCCCTAGGCTATTTAACAGCGGAACCTCCAGTAAGGGTCCGGGGGTTCTGAGGTCTAGTCCAGCTGCGTTCACATTTCGAGGTCGGCTTTGTTAATCCTCGGACTTTAAATTCCTGCGGTTTTCTGTCATGGAGCTAAATCACCACTAAATTACTGTGTGCTCACAGAGTCCTGCAGACACGGGCCCCACTTTTAAACTGAAAAACAAGCGGGGGACGGGGGGGGCACGTGACGCGCGAACCCTCAAGGCGAGATAACCGAACATCCTTGGGCTGTTTGCCGAGGCAGTCTTGTAGCCCTGGAATAGGTCACCAGGCTCCAGCGACTATAAAGCGCGGCCGCCGAAACCCGGTCCGGCTCAGATGACAATTTGGCAGCCTCTGGGTGTCTGCCTCAGTTCTGCGCAGCCCATGCTGCGCTCTTGCCACTCCGCGCCCCGCGCCTCGTGAGGCAGAGCCCGCCCCGGAGCGGCGCGCGCACCCCAGGACTCGCGTCGCGTGACTCGGCCAAGGCGCGCAGGGTTTGCGCCCGCCCGCGCCACTTCCGACTCAGCCCTCGGTTCAGGTTCCGGGGCGCCGCAGAGCTCCCGGCCTCTGGACCGCGCGCGGCGCTCTGGGGAATCCGGCGCCACGCGCCGTGCGGTGGCCAGGATGGAGGAGGCCGGAGCAGCGGTGGTCACGGCCGGGGAGGCCGAACTGAACTGGTCCCGCCTCAGCGTGTCCACCGAGACGCTGGAGTCTGAGCTGGAGGCGCGGGGGGAGGAGCGGCGCGGGGCGCGGGAGGCGCTGCTGCGGCTGCTGCTGCCTCACAACCGTCTGGTGTCGCTGCCACGGGCGCTGGGCAGCGGCTTCCCGCACCTCCAGCTGCTGGACGTGAGCGGCAACGCGTTGACCGCGCTCGGGCCGGAGCTGCTCGCTCTGCGCGGCCTGCGCACGCTGCTGGCCAAGAACAACCGGCTCGGCGGGCCCAGTGCGCTGCCCAAGGGCCTGGCCCAGTCGCCGCTCTGCCGCAGCCTCCAGGTGCTCAACCTCAGCGGCAACTGTTTCCAGGAGGTGCCTGCCTCGCTCTTAGAGCTGCGCGCGCTGCAGACCCTGAGCCTGGGCGGCAACCAACTGCAGAGCATCCCGGCTGAGATCGAGAACTTGCAGAGGTGAGCGGGTGTGTGCCGGAGGGTGGGGAGGCCTCGGGCGGTGTCCGGGAACCCTGGGGCGCCGGGCCTGGGCACCTCAACGTTTGTCACGTAACTATTTCCAAGCTTTCTCTTTAACTGTGCGGTAGTGAGTTCTGCCCAACCATCTCAGCAAGTTGTTGTAAATACCTAGTATGTTCGCATGTGTGACTGTTTGGTGTGTTGTGTTTGGCCTATGCAGATTCTCGAGGCATTTTTTCTGTCTTCCTTATTGAATCTGGGGCGTGATCCAAACTGAGTGGAAACTCAAAACAGATGTAAATCAGAGGTTGTCACTTCTTTGCTCAAAAGTCTTCCGTGGATTTCCATCTCTATAGATCAAAGTACGTGCCTTTGAGCGTGGCGTACAAGGTGCTCTGATCTAACCCTTGCTTTCCACTACATTTGCAGCTTCCTCTTCTCTGTGGCAGTACCAACTACCATTTGTGGAGTTCAGTGACCTATGCATTTTCCCACGTAGAGAAAGCAGCTTGGAGTTGCTGGTAGGCACTCAGTATGTGTTGAATGGATGCAGTGCCTCTGTACACGTGCTGTTTCCCTTGCTTGGAATGTTTCCTTCACCTGGCAAACGCCTATCATCCTTCAAAAGCTATCTCAAGTTAATCATCTCTGTGATTCCTTTTTTACTACTCCCTGCACAACAATTTTTTTCGTTACTACTCCCTGCACAAAAAAGTACAGCCTATGCTGTACTTTCTCTGTGCTTCATTCATCTTGCCTTTGCATTTACCTTATTGGATATGATTCCTTGTTTACAGGAATTATCTGCTTCACCTACTAGATTATGCAGTAAATATGTTAAATTTAACTTTAGGAGGAAGCAGAGAAACAGGATAATAAAAGTGCCCGGTGGGGGAGTGGGAAATAGAGCCAAATGTATTGTACAAAACGAAAAAGAGGTATCTTCCATCTGTAAGATATTTTCACACTTTATTGTATTTTCAGAGATAACAGAACGTTAAAGGTAGAAGGGACCTCAGAGTTAAGTGGAGCAAAAGAATATTGGCCTGGGAAGGCCGGGCGCGGTGGCTCACGCCTGTAATCCCAGCACTTTGGGAGGCCAAGGCAGGTGGATCATGAGGTCAGGAGATCGAGACCATCCTGGCTAACAAGGTGAAACCCCGTCTCTACTAAAAATACAAAAAATTAGCCGGGCGCGGTGGCGGGCGCCTGTAGTCCCAGCTACTCGGGAGGCTGAGGCAGGAGAATGGCGTGAACCCGGGAAGCGGAGCTTGCAGTGAGCCGAGATTGCGCCACTGCAGTCCGCAGTCCGGCCTGGGCGACAGAGCGAGACTCTGTCTCAAAAAAAAAAAAAAAAAAAAAAAGAATATTGGCCTGGGAAAAAAGAACTCTTGGTGCTCCAGCCTTAGGCAAGTCACTTGTATCCTAACTGTAGCGTATCCTAACTGTAGCTTTCTAATCTACAAATGAAGCATTTGGGCAAGATGTCTCTTCATTTACTCTTCAATAGATATTTATTGAATACCTGCCCTGTGTCAGGCACTGTCCCAAGTATTGGGGATACAATGGTGAACATGATCCAGGAGACAGACATTAAACAACTAACTATGAACCTCATTATTTAATTACAGTGGTTATGAGTTCTATGAAGACCTACAGAATGCCTTGAGACAAAATGACAGAGGCACATGGGAAAGCCCAGAGGCAAGGAGGGTAACTACTAAAATTCTGAAAGAAGGACATTGTACTGGGAAGTGAGCAAGAGGGAAAGTGGCAAATATAAATTTGGGCAAGTCAGCCCGTGTCAGGTCTTGAAGGCTATGATAAAGTTTGGATTTTATTCTAAGTGCACATGAGAGAGTTTTAAGCATGTGTCTTGTTGCTATGCAAGAATGGAGTGAGGAGAGGGTGAAGAGATAGAGATTTTGAGGGCTGGTTTGAAGGAGGTCATTGTAATAGGATGAGAGATGATGGTAGCCTATACCAGCTTGATACTAGGAGAAATGCTAAGAAATGGAAGATTTCGAGAAAAGATTTAGAGGTAAAATTGACAGCCCTTGGTTCCTTCTAATTTTAATGTTGCATAATTCCAGCCTTGGAATTTTCTTAATATACTAACAGGAACCCAGGGAAAGTATTATTTCCATCACATGGGGAGAAAAGTAGGCAAAAATCCCATTTATTTAATACTTACAATGCAGTAGATCCTGTCATAGGTGCTAACTATGCTTTTTAATACTCACAATGATGCCATAAGATGATGTGCTCCCATTTTTCAGAGGCAGAAACTGAAGCTCAGAGAAATTAAGTCATAAGATTACAAGGCTAGTAAGCATTGGAACTGTATTTGACCTCTGTGGTCTGTGACTCCAAACCCTTGAGTTCTGCACAGTGGCAGAGTACTAGAACCTGAATCTTTGTTGGGGGGTTGGAGGGTCATGGTTTTTTGCTTGTTTTTGTTTTTTGTTTTTTGTTTTCTGTTTTTTTGAGATGGAGTTTCACTCTGTTGCCCAGGCTGGAGTGCAGTGGCATGATCTGGGCTCACTGCAATCTCCGCCTCCTGGGTTCAAGTGATGCTCTTGCCTCAGCCTCCCAAGTATCTGCGACCACAGGAGCGTGCCATCACGCCAGCTAATTTTTGTACTTTTAGTAGAGACAAAGTTTCACCATGTTGGCCAGGCCAGGCTGGTCTCAAACTTCTGACCTCAAGTGATCCACCCACCTCTGCCTCCCAAAGTGTTGGGATTACAGGCGTGAGGCACTGCACCCAGCCTAGAACTTGACTTCTGTACTGTTGGATTTGTGATCAGGAGGATTTGTCAAAGTCATTCACATAGTTGACTGATCTTCTGACTCAGTTTTCTGGGCTAACAACCGTGCTATCTGTGTTTATTGTTCATTGTGTCTTTGACACCAATAATGTATGATATCTTTAACGTCACTGTTTTCATTTTTCACTTGCGTGCCTTATTTCTCGTTACTGCTAAGAATCGGTAAAGGTTTAGGCTATGCTCCACATATAAACTCTGATTGTAGGTTAAAAGGGTTGTGTAGAAATATACTCTGAGCTAGAAAAAGCCTTGGCAGTGACCCGATTCATCCCCTTCTATTTACAGATGAGGAAACTTAGATTTATTATCAGTGATTTACTTGAGGCGAGATAGTGACAAGTGAGAGTTATGTGGTTCAGCCTTCAAACACTGCTAACTATTCACTACTAATATGATGCATTAAAGCTTCAAAAATGTAGAGGTGGAGGTTTAGTCTCTTAAACTACCTGTCCAAGAACACCATCTTCTCTTAGAAAATACCTGGATCCTCTAGACTTCATTGGTTACCCTGATTTATATTGATACTATGTATGCCATGCTGCTTTTTAAACCAGATCTAGTGTTTTGGCACATTAAGAAGATATGTGTCCTCTGTAAGAGCAATTATTAAAATAGTACAGACTATATAATCCATGAAAACTCCCCCACTCCTTCCACTCTTCATCATTTAAGGAAGGAATAACAAATGAATACTTATGGCTTAATTGGTGTCATTGACCTCTCCAGATTTAGCAAGATATCTATGTTTTCTATACCCTATTAATTCTTTCCCCTAGTGGCAAAATCTTTTTTTTTTTAACGTTTTCTGAAGCATCACTTTCAAAGTATAACAAATAAGTAGATGCTGAAAATCTTACTTATTTTTATGATTAACTTCCTTCCCCTCGAGTAAATTAGGTTATCAATGTGAACCATGCGGTTGTGGATGTAGTTACTTTCCATCAAAATGTGGTTATTCTTCAGCAAATAAGTGTAATTGTTTGGCTATAGTATATGGGCAAAATTTTTTTTGTTACATAATGCTGAAAAAGTAGGTATAATTCATATTCTGACTTATTTTTCTGAATCATACCTTTTATTCTTCTCAGTTAGGTTAGATATTAATTGAGGAAGAGCTTAATAGCTTATCACTCAATGGCCAATAGACTTTATTTAAGTAAACAAAAGCTTCTGGATTGTTTGGCAAATCCAGTATGCTAGATATTTGGAGAGTAGGTTTGAGCACAACTGAGTTTCATTGGTACTCTTCTACAATCTTTTCTTCTTAAGTAATGCCTTCCTTTTTCTGTTCATGATGCCTCTCACCATCTGTTTGATGTGGTTTTGAAAGATTGAGATAGGAGGGTGTGACAAAACAAAAGCTAAAAGTTAATGCTCTCAAATGTTTTGAAGTTAGTGTACAGTAGGTTGATATGTTAGAAAGGAGACAGATGACTCAACCAGATGATAGAATGCAGTAAAGTTTAAATGAAAATGCTTTTCCACATTTAGAGTCACATACTGAGCTTGTCACTGGCTCTCAACATCGTCCCTCTGACTTTTTTTATTGCCTTAATTTGGGGCAAGTGTCAAGAGATGATGCATCTATTTGTATGTCTACTTTTGAACATATAGGTACCTTATAATCCTGTGGTGTATGTTAGTATTTGTCATTTAATACAAAGATGCTACTTCAAGAAAACTTTCTTTATCCACAGATGTTCTTATCTTTCTGTTTCTTTTCCTTTCTGTTTTCTACTTCTTTGTACATTCCTATCTTACTTTAATTCCATCTCCTTTTAACCAACCATATAAGATAGGATTAATGTATTTTTGTTGTTGTTGTTGTTTGGGGGTTTTTTTTTGTTTTTGTTTGTTTGTTTATTTGTTTTTTGGAGTCAGAGTCTCGCCCTGTCCACCAAGCTGGAGTGCAGCGGCACGATCTCACCTCACTGCAGCCTCTGCCTCCCAGGTTCAGGTGATTCTCCTGCCTCAGCCTCCCAAGTAGCTGGGATTACAGGCACCTGCCACCACACCAGGCTAATTTTTTTTTAAATTTTATTTTCAGTAGAGACGGGGTTTCACCATGTTGGCCAGGCTGGTCTCGAACTCCTGACCTCAAGTGATCCGCCTGCCTCAGCTTCCGAAAGTGCTGGGATTAGAGACGTGAACCACTGTGCCCAGCTTAACGTATATTTTTATGATGTTCGGTGTCAGTTTTATTTGATTGGAGAAGCAGAAAGCATTTTCTACTTTTACTTGTGCTAGCCTGTTTTTTCAGTGGGTCATTTGTACTTGATAAGAGAAAAGGCATCCACTGCAGTATCCCTAAGGATTGGAAACGTGATTCATTTTTCAAGAGACAATTTTAAGGTCAATATATTAATGCTAAACAGGAAAGGAATAATTTGTTCCATAAATTTAGTGAGTACTTTTCTTGTTTTCTGTATTCCTCAAATACTGAAAGAATAGAATTGTTCCAACCCTAATTAACAGAGTTGCAATGTTGATAACCACAAGAACTTAAACCCTACAGTTTTGCTACAAATTCAACAACAGTTTCCTTTCTTCTTAAAAAAAAGTGTATTCAGAAACAGTAGAGTGTGTTATAGAAATTTAATTCCCACAAATCATCGAAAGATGTCAAGTCCCTAGAAATTTGGAAATTATTTGAGTTAGAAAGTAAAAAATAAGCCTGAAACTGTAAATTTAATATGATGGTTATGTAATTTGATTAGTGTTATTCATCAATTGCAAAAGAGAATTTACATAATTGCAAAATCATGGCCTTAGTTATATTTTAGAACGTCAGATCCTTTTCTGCCACAGTCAAGGTAACTACTAATGTTTTGCATCCTTTCCGTCTACCTTCCCTGTCCACTTCCAAAGCATTGAAAGAAGACATCAAGTAGCAAATGATCACCAGAGACTAGTTTTTCTTGGTTCCTGACTGTCTTAATAAGTTCAGGCTACTATAACAAGACGTAAACTGAGTGACTTATAAACAACACAAATTTATGTGTCACAGTTCTGGAGGCTGGGAATTCCAAGATCAGGGTCCTGGAATTTGATGTCTGGTGAGGGCTTTCTTCCTGGTTCATAGACTGCAGTCTTCTCACTGTGGCCTCACATTGTTACGGGATCTCTGGGATGTTGATTTTTCTGACTGGAAACCTCTGTGGCCATGGCACTTTTGCCCAAGTTCTTGTCCTGCATCCAGGAAGAATGAGGTACACAGACAAGTGAAGGGTGAAGAAGAGTTTTATTTACTGTTAGAACAGCTGAGATGAGTGAGTAGCTCCTCTCTGTAGGCAGGTGGTCCCTTCAAGTGTTCAGCTCTCAGCAGACAGGAGGCCCTGGAGAGGGTGGCCCCTCTCCTCAAGCAAGTCATTCGGATATCTCTGCAGGTCTCTGAAGCTCTTGGAGGTCTCTGAAGCTCTCAGCTGAGAGGGTGGTTCCTCTCTCCCGGCAGGTCATCTCTGTAGCTCTCAGCTTAGAGGATACTCCTCTCTGCAGCTGGTCACCCCATCCCATCTTCTCTCTGTCTTCTTCCTCCTCTGCCCTGTTCTGGCTGAGCCCAGGGCTTTTATGGACCTCAGAGGGGAGGAAGTGCATGCTGATTGGTCCATGGGTGACCATGGGCAGGCGGGGAGAGGCACCAGGAGTCCCCACTCCCATCTGCCCGACTGGCAGCTTGGCCCCCAGCCTTCAGGCCCACCCTGGTCCAAAGGTGGGGCCTTACTGGGGACCCACCCTCTTCTGCCCAGGAATCAGTCTGCCTCCTGATGCCATTTGTGATGCCCCAGGCTCAGCCCCAGCTCCTGCTCCAAGATGGGAGCGGGGGCTGGAGAGAGGCCAGGCAGCGGGAGAAGACACCCTCGAGCCTGCAGGGATTGTTGGGGGGATCCTTCCTGGGGCCCCCAAGGGTGCAGGCTGCAGAGATACCCAGCTCCTGCACCTGGGAGGACGGCTGCAGCTGCTCGCGGGAAGGCAGGTCCTGCCTGCTCCCAGCCCTCCCCCTAGAGCACAGGGAGGCTCAGATCCACAGTTGCAGTTTAGGTGGCTGTAGCCCCACCCAGGAGGGTGGGGCTTCTCCCTGCTCTGTAGAGCAGGAGGCCTGGGTCTGCAGCTGCAGGTTGGGCCACCACAGCTGCACCTGGGGAGCTCTGTTCCCAACACAGAAGGGCAGGGCTCCCCCCAGCTCCATGGAATGTGCAGCCCCAGCTGTGCCTCCCTGTTACATCAACATGATGGAGAGAGGAAGCAAGTTGCCTTGGGAATCCTAGAAGAACACTAATCCCATTAACGAGGGCTCCACCCTCTTGACCTTATCTAATCCTAATTACCACCCAAATACCCCACTTCTTAATACCCTAACGTTAAGGAGTTAGGGTTTCAACATGAATTTTGGGAGGGCACAGGCATTCAATCCATAACACTGACCTAAGCAAATAGAAAGGATAATATTTACACTTGCCCTCAGACTCACTCTTCCTTTTTTTACTTTATTTTTTTTCTCCCTCTCTAGACTATATTGCAAGTTATTATTTAGCTATCAAATCCTTTGTAAAAAGGACTTTGAGGTTTGCTCAGTTTTTTTCCCTGATAGTATTCTCATTGAAATAGTCCCTTTTCCAGGAACCTAGTAGTTTCTGTTATTTGGACTCCAAATATTGTATTCTGTTCTGTTCTGTTCTATTCTATTCAAGTAGCTGTCATCATTGAAAAATAAGGATTTCTGAGTAACTGGGCAGTAACTTATGCCATACTTGGTAGAATTTTAAAAACCCTGCCTAGGAACTGTTTTCACCAATGCTTAAGCACTTGCAGTAGGAGAATTCAATCTTATAACCAGTTGACTTTTGCTGCAAGATAATCTTTGAAAGAGAAAGAAAATAACAGAAAATTAAAGTTATCTGCTTACTTTTTCTAAACATTTTAAGTCTAAAGAGAGAAATGGAATTTTGAAAAGCTTTACACGATCAGAGATACGTTTTTTTAAAAGTGTCATTAATATATACATATATTTGTTTGTTTGAGAGACAGTCTCACTTTGTCACCCAGGCTGGAGTGCAGTGGTGCCACCTCTGCTCACTGCAACCTCTGCCTCCCAGGTTCAAGCAATTCTCCTGCCTTAGCCTCCTGAGTAGCTGGGATTACAGGTGCCTGCCACCTCGCCTGGCTAATTTTTGTTTTTGTTTGTTTGTTTGTTTTTGTTTTTTTAGTAGAGACGGTATTTTACCAGTTAGCCAAGCTGGTCTCGAACTCGTGACCTCAAGTCATCCACCTGCCTCAGCCTCCCAAAGTGCTGGGATTAGGTGTGAGCCCCTGCACCTGACCTAATGTATTTTTTAAAAAGACAAAATGTTAGATTCAAGTTGGCATTTTGAATAACCACACATCAAGGAAGGCTGAGATTATGAAAGACAGAAAAATTATACTTGAGAAAATATCTGTAATAAGGCAATCGGCAAAGAATTTTTAATTTCAGAGAGATAAAGGAAGGAACTTCATCAGTGAAGCAAGAATAGGGAGTTTTAAAACTGACAATTATGAAAACCCCAATTGGAGTTTCTAGAAATGAAAAGATGTAATTATGAACTAACTAACTAGACTAAAAGGTGGACAGAAGTCAGCTGAAGAATGAATCCATAAGCTGAAAGATTTTACTGAGTTATTTTCCTGGAATTCAGCTCAAAGAGATAAAGAAATAAAAAGTATGAAAGAAATATTAAGACATAGAGGATAGATCCTGAAGTTAAAACTGCTAATAGCAGCTGGGCATGGTGGCTCATGCCTGTAATCCCAGCACTTTGGGAGGCCAAAGTGGGCGTATCATGAGGTCAGGAGTTTGAGACCAGCCTGGCCAACATGGTAAAACCTCGTCTTTACTAAAAATACAAAAATTAGCCAGGCGTGGTGGCGGGCGCCTGTAATCCCAACTACTCGGGAGGCTGAGGTAGAATTGCTTGAACCAGAGAGGCAGAGATTGCAGTGAGCCGAGATCGTGCCACTGCACTCCAGCCTAGGTAACAGAGCAAGACTCCATCTCAAAAAATAAAAATTAAAAAAAAATTAAAAAACTGTTAAGAGCAATTCTAGAAAGACAATGAAAGAAAAACAATGTGTGAAGTAATGGTGGCTGAAATTTCCCACAGTTAAAGAAAGGGAGCTCTCTAAACTGATATCTTAACATGTCGTAGTAAAACTTTAGAACATTAAAGATGAATAAGAAAAAATCTTTACTCCTATTGAGGAAAGAAAAAAAAGATTACCTACAAAGGAACAATAGTAATATTGGCTGTAATAAGATAACGGAGCAGCATCTTCGTAGTGCCAAGGAAAAGTAACTGCCAATCTGAAATTTTATGCCCAGCTAAACTATTACTCAAGAGTGAGGGGAAAAAGTTAAAACACCAGAAACAAAGGACTCAAAGATTAACAACCATGAGTTCTTGCTGAAAGAACTTCTGAAGGATGTACTCCAAGAAAAATGAACCTTAAATAACAAGCCTCCAAAAAAAATGATAAAATTGGTAAAACATATTGATAAATCTGAATCAATGTACTGATTGGAAATAAAATAAATTGGTAGAAAATCGGGGTAGAACTAATTCTAGAAGATGATATGAAGAGAAGGACAGAAGAGAGCATGGGTATGTGTTTGAGACTGAGAGAGTACAACGAAAATTGAAGGGGGTAACTCCTGGCAAAATAGAAATAGCATATACAGTTCAAAACAGTAGAAGTAGAGGGAAAAGAACAAAAATAAACTTGAGGAGCACAATAAGAAGCAGAACTAAAGGGAAAAGGTATGTGGAGAGACACCATGATAATAGAAAACACAAGTCCGAACATATCAATCTTCAAATTATGCTTCATTTATAAAAATTTACACTTAAAATAAAAATACACCAATAAGTTATAAGTAAAGGGATAGGAAATGATGTACCAGGCAAATCTGTCATTTCTCATCTGAAGTACTGGATTAGGCTCCAGTCTGCTTTTCCTCCTTCTATTCCTGCCCACAGTGCTCCCCTAACCACTTCTCCAGTTGTTTGCCACTCAATAGCCAAAGTGATCCTTCTAAAGAGTAAGTCAAGTTAAATGACTAACCTTTGTTCAGAACTGTTTTTTCAAAACGCTCTTACAGAGGCCCAAAGGACATTCTGTGATGTGGCCTTTCCAGGCTACCTCTCTGATCTCTTTGATGACCACAGTCCCACCTCAGTCATTCTGATCTACTCATCTAGTCAAACTGGCTGTGTTGCTGTTTCACAACACACCAATCACTTTTCCATTGGGGTTTGTACTCAGTCATTTAGATCTCTGTTCAGATGTCATCTCCTAAGAGAAACTTTTTCTGTCCACCCTCTCTAGAGTGTAACTTCCATCACTATCTGATTGCTCCCCCTTTTTCTTTGTGACATTTAAAACTATCTGGCATAATGGACATGTTATTGATTTATTGTCTGTCTTCTCACTAAAATGTAAACTTATTCAGGTCAAGAACTTGAACTTATTTACATTCTATTCCCTAGAATGGTGCCTGGCACATTGTAGGTGTTAGTTCATATTTGTTAACTGGGCATTTTATATGATAGATAATATTATTCCATTTTTAAAAGGAAGAAACTGCAAGATTAAGTAACTGATCCAAATTTTTATACTGGTAAGTTGTAGAGCTGGGATTGAATGAAATAAATACCAACAAAAATAAAACTGGTAAGCAGTGTTGATAATCAGAGGACATAGATTTCAGGGCAAAAGGTATTTAAAATAAAAAATAGAGGCCAGGCACCGTGGCTCACGCCCGTAATCCCAGCACTTTGGGAGGCTGAGGTGGGCGGATCACCTGAGGTCAGGAATTCGAGACCAGCTTGGCTAACATGGTGAAACCCCATCTCTACTAAAAATACAAAAATTACTCAGGCATGGTGGCAGGGACCTGTAATCCTAGCTCCTCGGGAGGCTGAGGCAGAAGAATTGCTTGACCTAACTCGTGAGGCAGAGGTTGCAGTGAGCCGAGATCATGCCAGTGCACTCCAGCCTGGGCGACAGAGTAAGAGTCTGTCTCAAAAAAAAAAGAACAAATAGAAATGATTCATATGAATTAAGGCTCATTTCAGGAAGTTTTTAGCAGTCATGAGCTTGAATGTATCTGTAGTATAACTTCTGTATATTAATGAGAAAAAAAGTAAAGATTGACAGGACTCTGAAGGGAAGAAGGAAAATCATGTTTATAGTAGGAGACTAACCACCAGAGCAAGAAGGCAAAATAATAAGAGAAAAAAAATTTGCTCAGTTAACGAGCTCAATCATAATAGCTACATGTTCTTTTTGTACATATAATACATGAATGAAAATAGACCATGCTTGAGGCCACAAAGGAACAAAGTTATGCAGAATATATATATATATTTAACAACAGCAGAACTCCCAACAAATTAATGAGATAAAGCTGCATAATTCATGAGAAAAATAGATAAATGATACGAACAGGTAATTCTCTAAAGATATACAAATGTCTAAAACCATAAAAAGATGCTAAACTTCACTAATAGTTAGGGACCTACAGATCTGCAGATTAAAAACACAGAATGGTACCATTTTTTATACCATCAAATAGTAAATAAATAAATAAATGCTGGTGATAATACTAGGTGTTGGCAAAGTTGTAGGTTAAGGAGTGCTCTTATATGCTAATTATGGATTTGTAAATAGCCATGGCTGCACAAGGTAACTTGGCTTTATCTGTTAAAATTACACCTTATATTCTAAAATCTGCCAGTTCACAGGCAATTCAAGGGAGGGAGACAGTATTTAGTGCATCTGGATGGGGTCAGGACTTCATAGCTTTAAAAATATCATAGGGAATTCTTACCATGGAAGTTTGGGTAACCCTTTAGTAGGCTGTTTTCTCCCACATTTAAAGGTGTTTTGAAAAAACAGTAGTTCTACTGAGTTAGCAGATTTAACAGGAAGATAAAAGTAATACAGTATTGGGAGAAAAAATCTGTATGTGTTTGTATACATTTTATTTATTTATTTATAGTATAATATATATAAATATATATTTTTTATATATAAATAAATAAATATATATAGTAAGAACTGATCCTGCTACCCCCTGCAAAAATCTTTTGAAGGAAGCCTTTCAACAGTAATCATCAAAGAGTACTCTCTTTTTTTTTATTTTAGTGCAATATATGCCATGTCTAAAATGTTAACCTATTGTTGGAAAACAGTATAATTACCTGGAACTTTGATTTTATAGTAGTGGACAATTTACACAGCCTCTGAAGAATGTATTTGCTATAATAAGAGCGAAGAAGAAATGTAGAGACTTCATAGTTTTACAGTCTATTCAAAAACAAGCTAGTGGTTTTCCCATTGCCTGTCAGTGCATCAATCAAATCCAAGCATACTAGCATAGAATTCAGGGTTCTTGTAATCTGGTCTCTCTACAACCTTAATCTTTGATTCCTCAAGATGAATTTTCTTCTATTAACAGGTATATTCATTGTGCCTTCACAAGCCCTCTCCTCCAACCTGAAGTGTACTCTTTCTTCTTGTCTAAATGGGCTAAGTCCATAGCCCAGCTGAAGTCACAGCCCTTTGGGGAAGCCTGTTCCATTCAGAACTACTGTGGCCTTTTTAAAACTTTTATCTTCCTTTTCATTCAACTCCTAATACCATTTATGGTTTGTCTCTCTTATTTTGGTATTGTAATGCCTATTTTTGGCCTTGTTTTGTGTTTCATTATAATGTTATCTAACATTGGTCTGTCTCGTCTGCTTAGCTATAGTATAAGCTCCCTGAAAATTGCATTGTTTCTCTAGAGACTGGATAGCACATAGCAAATCTTAAGTAAAACATTTGCTGAATGAATAGATGAAACGTGTTTTTTGTAGTAGACACAATGGGGTATCTTTTTCAACTTTATTTACTTTTTTGGTTTTGTTCATTTATTTTTGCAGTTTAGAGTGTTTATATCTTGGAGGAAATTTCATTAAAGAAATCCCACCAGAATTAGGAAATCTGCCTTCTCTGAATTATTTGGTATTATGTGACAACAAAATCCAAAGCATACCTCCTCAACTTTCACAGTGAGTAGTTCCAGGCATTTGTATATACGCAGACATCTATGCTTAGTAATTATTGTCTTGTATTCACTCACATGTTTTTATATGTAGAAAAGAATTAGATATTCTCAAAGTAAGTGATATGTTAATTATAGTTCTGAGGTTTGCTGCAAGCTGAGTTTTTTTAATTTCACTTTTAAATGCTCTGGTTTATTCTTCAAAATATTTGTTCAGTCTATTTTCTGTAATCAAAGAATTGAGTATTAGCATACATTTCCCTAGGTTTTATGAGACTTTTAGTGATTTTATATTTGATATGAAACATTTCTATCCTAATTAGGCTTTATAATATGAAGGATCTTAATTTCTGTTGCATTTGAAATCTTTCCTTTTTTTAGATATCTGAATGAGAAAGCATGCCCACTGCCCACCCCCAAATCTTCAAATCTAGGTTTTACAGCAGTTAGCACATCAGAACATTCTCTAAGTATTCTAAATTCGCCAAGATTGCAAGGGCAAAAGTCCTTCATGACATTTACAAATCTGCACTTTGATCTAGTTTCAGCACCTTTTTATTTTACTTCAATTGACCTTAATCTTAATTGCTCATTCTTAAGG
Organism: Homo sapiens; assembly: GCF_000001405.40. Classification (NCBI taxonomy): domain Eukaryota; kingdom Metazoa; phylum Chordata; class Mammalia; order Primates; family Hominidae; genus Homo; species Homo sapiens. Next base: position 120,335,230 of record NC_000003.12, on the reverse strand, counting down.
GGAAATCAAGTTCTGTATACACACATATATTCAATATTTTTGATAGTTACGTTGTTTACTGCCATTGATTTTTCTACTACATTTATTCTAGGTTACATTCACTTCGTTCCCTAAGTCTTCACAATAACTTGCTGACATATCTGCCTCGAGAGATCCTCAACCTTATTCATTTGGAAGAGTTGAGTTTACGAGGAAATCCATTGGTTGTTCGTTTTGTTAGAGATTTAACCTATGATCCTCCAACTCTCCTGGAATTAGCTGCACGGACCATTAAGATTCGAAATATTTCCTACACTCCCTATGATCTTCCTGGAAATCTTCTTAGATACTTGGGTTCAGCCAGCAATTGCCCAAACCCAAAGTGTGGAGGTAAGTTAATTCAGTATTCATGTTTCCCACTTATTTAGCTATTTTTTAAATTAATTAAGTCTTCTTTCAGACAAAAGCAGTCTCTGTTTCTGTTCCCTTTATTTTTTCACTCATTTATGAGAAAGACATTTCACTCTGGGTTTTTTAAAAAATTCTTTTTCATAATATTTTAGGATTCATACATAAGGAACATACCCAGGAAGTCTCATCCTGTCTTGACATACGATAATAAATCAAGATGGTAAAATGAGAGGAAACACAAGGAAGTATAAACAGTTCTAATTGTTTAAAAACTGTTTCTAAAATGTTTGGACACCTTTTATTATTTATTTATTTATTTATTTATTTATTTTTGAGACAGAGTCTTGCTCTGTTGCCCAGGCTGGAGTGCAGTGGCGCGATCTCGGCTCATTGCAAACTCTGCCTCCCAGGTTCACGCCATTCTCCTGCCTCAGCCTCCCGAGTAGCTGGGACTACAGGCGCCCACCACAACACCCGGCTAATTTTTTTTGTATTTTTTTAGTAGAGACGGGGTTTCACCTTGTTAGCCAGGATGGTCTTGATCTCCTGACCTTGTGATCCGCCCACCTCGGCCTCCCAAAGTGCTGGGATTACAGGCGTGAGCCACCACGCCCGGCCCACCTTTTATATTTATTTGAATGATGTTTTCTTAGACTCACCATTCCCTGTATCAGATTTAATCAAGATGTATGAGAATGGGCTGAATGTGTGCCAGTTACAGAATGTACCCAAAACTTTATATTCTTTTAAGTCCATGGTTCAAAATGTCTTGAGTTTAGAGCATTTGAAGAGAATTATGCAAATGATATAAGGCAGAGTCAGGTAAGTATCCCAAGGAATTCAAAATGCTTCTGGAAATCAAAGGAGGGGGAGAGTATATTTAATTAGATCTGGAAACAATGAGCTAATTCTTGAGGTATGAATTAGATTTTGATAGGATAAAATTGAGGATAGGAAATTTTTCAGATGGCGAGTACAAAGTGGAGACAGAAGAGTATGGGGCAGACTGTTGGATGAGTAGTAATTTGCTCCAAATGTAAGGTTAGGGGAGTAATGAGAGTGAAAAGCTACATTGAGTCCTGGTTGTGAAGAGCCTGAAGGGCCAGGGTGTGTGGGTGAGAATTAGTGACTGATAGTAGGTCATTTTTCACTTTGGCTCCCTCATAAAAGACTACTTTTAAAAAATCCAGTAGGTACTGAGGAAATGCTGCATAATGATGATCAAAACCAGGTGAGACTTTCTCTGGCAGTCCGATCTTGTCTTGAAGCTATTACAAGGTTAAAAGGGAGAAAATTATCAAATTCTTCAAAGATTGTTAAAAGATAAAAAAGACACTTTGAGTTTAAAAAAGATAATGCTCTGGATCATTTCTGGCCACCCACTCTTAGAAGTAGAGATTGCAGCACTGTGCTTTTCTCTGATTCTCCATTCCTAAATTAGCTTTCACAGTGACAGAGGAAAACACATAGGGCAGCATTCACACCAGGCCCTCAGGCCTGAAAGTCTAAATCTCCTTTGAATTCATGCTTTTCTGGAAATGGACCTCTACAGGAATTCTCTTTTCTCTCTTAAATATTTCCTTAATGACTTCTTTAGTATACTGATGTGCCATTTATCTTAGGAACAAAAATGCTTTAAAAATTACCAGCTTAAGGCCGAGTGTGGTGGCTCATGCCTGTCTGTAATTCTATCACTTTGGGAGGCTGAGGCAGAAGGATCTCTTTTTTTTTTTCTTTTTTTTTTTTTTTGAGACGGAGTCTCGCTGTATTGCCCAGGCTGGAGTGCAGTGGCACAATCTCGGCTCACTGCAAGCTCCGCCTCCGGGGTTCACGCCATTCGAGGCAAGAGGATCTCTTAAGCCCAGGAGTTTGAGACCAGCCTAGGCAACATAGCGAGACCCCATCTCTACAAAAAATATAAACATTAGTTGGGCATAGTGGCATGTGCTTGTCGTCCCAGCTACTCAGGAGGCTGAGGTAAGAGGATGGCTTGGGTCCAGGAGTTCAAGGGTCCCATGAGTTGTGATCATGTCACTGCACTCCAGCCTGGGTGACACAGTGAAACCCTGTCTCTTAAAAAAAAAAAGTATCAGTTTAAAATTTGAGATAATCTATGAAATGAACCATTAGACATTTTCCCCCTCAAATTCGTTAGTTATTAAACTGTAACTTAAACAAAAGTACTTTTATATTCTCAGAGATACTTTTCTTTGTATAATCTGAAATCTTATAAATCACAAGATAGTGTTATACTGCTTTAGTTCGTAGTAACTCCCATAATGCTTTATTTTATTTCTTTCATCTGTTTTCAAGAAGCTAACACATTTTAGGGGATTTATTATCGGTCTATGACTGACCAACTTATTGAATGTATTTACTTTCCTCAATCATTCAGAGTAATGTACCACAAATTTCGCCTTTTTTATACTTACTACAAGATCAAAAAAAAACTACATGGTTAGTTGAGATATCAGGAAAAAAATAGAAGTAGAATTCATTGTTTTTCCTTTGCTTGGACCACATCTTTTAATTTTGGTCCCTTATGTGATAAACACACAGTATTTGGTGCCAGAAGAAACTTAGGCAGAGTATAGAGCTTGAGATTCCTCTCCAGAGAGGTGATTGGACCAAAATTCTAGATGTTCTGGTTATACTGCAACCATTGTGACAGTCTTTGTCTTAGAGATTTGCAGTATCATTTTAAGGACCAGCTAGAATCCAGAGGCACAGCAACATCTGCTTTCCTCTCAGCTCTAGCTCTGTTTTTACTTAACTGAAGGGCCACAGTCGAGGAGCACTAACCTAGGAATCAAAAGGGCCAGATATTACTTTCAGTTTACCTGACGATGTGTAATTGTATGAGAATCAAGTGAGATCATCAGTGAAACAGATTTGAGGCCTGTAGATTTACAGTCTTTGGAAATGTAAAATGGCATTTATTTCTTTAAATTTTGCCTTCCCAGTACATAAGAACAGGAGTGCCAAAAGTCATCCCCTTTCTGAAAATTTTTCGTATACTAATTCTTTAAGATAATTATTAAAGGAGTTTTTATGTTGTTTTGTTTTAGTCTGTGACTGTAGGGTAGTACCAAGGGGGTGGCTTGGGTAATAGAGAAAGGGCACCTCAGGTGTCCTAAAATCTCCATCAGCCATTGCCCCAAGTCTCCCAGAGAAAAGAAGCTAGGTACACAGTGTCCTTTCTGTGCCTGCTCCCTTTAAGATAAATGTCCTGGTTACCTCTTTGCACCCAGATTCTACCTTTAAGACCTTCCAGTAGGCTTATAGACAGCTATACAAGCAAGTACTACTTCTGCTTAAGATTCATAACAGAAGATGGTGTATGACATTTCTCCAGAACACTGGAGAAAGGGCTGAAAAAGAAATTGATTCCTTGCTTTGTAATGATTACTTTCTATTCCTTCTTCTCTTTAGGAGTCTACTTTGACTGCTGTGTCAGACAAATTAAATTTGTGGACTTCTGTGGGAAGTATCGCCTCCCACTGATGCACTACTTGTGTTCACCAGAATGTTCTTCCCCTTGCAGTTCTGCCTCTCACAGCTCCACTTCCCAGAGTGAATCTGACTCAGAAGATGAAGCTAGTGTTGCTGCACGCAGAATGCAGAAAGTTCTTCTTGGTTGAACAGGAGTGCACAGTGTTGTGAAATACTTAAAAAACTGAGCAAAATGGTTAGACAAGAAAATAGAGCTTGAAGTTCACTAGAAATCTTATCTTCATCTTAAGTGTTCATCAAAGAGTCTGGGATGATATAAAACATTTTGTGTTTCATCTACCCATTCAGCAAGAATGAGTCCAGTCCCATGTTTAGATTATTTTAACATAATTTGTGAATGATAGTTTCACATTTGGCTGATGGTTTGCAGTTTTCACTCAAGTTTTGCATGAATCACAAAGCAGAATGGTACCTTTTGAAGAGCAGTTCTGCAATAAGTCATGAGTAGTATAACTTTTGGACATTGAGATGGAGAAAGTGAGAAATTATCAAAGCTATAATTGCCAGAGTTGCCCTTGGGTTTAGGTAGAACACTGTATACCATATATACTATATACCATATATACTATATATACCATATATATTATATGCCATAAACAGGATTAACCCTCCCTTTTCTAATTGCCTGTATGTCTAGATTACAGAACTATTCAAAGAAGCTCACAGATGGTTACATGGGACAAACCTTTCTGACAAACTAACTGGTAAAGTAAGGCATATAACATTTACATGAGATATTAAAACTTTTTCATTATTATCCTTTGTTCTATATGATTGCTATTAACCTTATGTAATCTAGCAATGACTGTTATAGTGCCTTAATCCAGCAAGGATATAAAAATGTATTCAAGAAGTAATGCCAGAGCAACCTATAACCTGACATACCATGCAGAACATTGTAAAATATTCTTTAACAGAACTAGGTAAATAACTGTGTATCTAATATCCGATCTCATGGCCCTCTTAACATTTTTTTGTTTAAATGTGCACTCATCCCTTATAAGCACATTACTTTTACACTTAATGGTAGGCCACAATCTTCATCAATCTGTTCATCATAAGACAGAGTAAGAATTTTTAACAGAAAATTCTAAAAGAGATAGAAGCTAGGAAAGCTTCTTTATATCTTGCATTAAATGGGTAGGGAAAAAATATGACTCTCACCCATGTCATGTACTGGACCATCTTTCTCTACTTTTTAAAGAAAAACTAATACAACTAGAAAAACATCACAACAAGCCAAATAAAAATGGAGAAAAGGAGTCATTGTCCTTATACCTAATGGAACAGTTTCCAGAACTACTTTAACTATGGAAGCATTTTTGAAAATAAAGTATTAATAAAATAGAAAAAAATTATTAAATATATTGTATCCTTAATGTATAGCAGGAAAATAGTTTCACAAATTAATTGCTATTAGAAATTACCAAATTTTTATTAAGTACTTTAATATGCAATACAAATTGAATAATAGTACAACTATAAGTTGATATAAAGTAAGTGCTTACTGGTAATCATTAAATAACTAATAACATGACTTGTTGGTTAATGTTAAACCTACAGTAAGAAATGTTATACAGATCAGATAGGCATTAGAACATCAGGTGTACCTTTTCTGATTTCTGGCATTCATGGCACACCATTTCTTAAAAGCAGATTGTTGTATAATAACATATACATGTATTAGGGTTTTTTTCATATATATTTTTTATTTTAGAAGAAACTAGCATAATTCAGGGTTTATGTGTTTATTTGTATATTAATTCATGAAACATGAGAGTTTCATGAACTGCAGATGTGAAACGCTGCTATAGAATGAATCCCTTCACCTTTACCTTGTTATAATGTAGTAAGATTTTGTTTTCCTTTTGACTCAGAAATTTTCTATGTCTATAGAGGTAATCTAATATGTTCCTACTGCCTAGAAGAGTAATACATAGGTGATTATATCATAAAATAGAGGTATAAAGTCTTTGCTTACTTCTCCATGTGGGCCACAGCAAGCTGCAGACTGTACAGTTATGAAAGGTAAAGATGACTTAGGCTGTGCCTAAGTGACAAATGTAAAATGTTTTGTAAATAAGTGACTTACCTAAGATACATAAGATATTTTCATAGAAAATAATGTATTCATAGTAAAATACTCAAATTGATAGGACCAATTTTTTCTGGCCTAAATGCTTATGCCTACTTCCTAATCAATTACCAGCTTGACTTAAGTAACTGCTTGAGTAGTCTTCTAAGAGTTAGTCTTCGTAAAATAAATGGATAGGTATGTAAATATATAATCTTACATACCCTTTCCAGCTTCCTAGAAAGGTCTACTGCTTCATCTTTTACAGATGTAAATAGGTCCAACCAGAGACAGTTTCTGGCCTTTGCATATAAGAATATAGATGTATACCACAGTATTATTTCAACAAAATGTTATGGTTCTATGTATAGTTGAAAACTCTATGATCAGCATACAACTGTCTTTTGGTAATTTTTAATGAAGTCTACATTTAGCCGTCGGTTTTATCTTTCTTAAATCTTTGACCTAAACTTTTGTAAGAGCAGCTAATAATTTCTAAGATTTTCCCTGTTTCTTTTTCCTACCTTTCCTTTTCTCATAACTGATTGGAGAAATTAATCAGAAGTCAAATACAAGGGACTTCATAATCTAGAAACCAGATAATCAGCTCCCAAGTCATGTAGCTAACTATGCATTTAAAATAAGTCTGTCTCTTTAGTTCTTAAGTCATATATTTGTTTGTTAATTACAGTAAATGAACTTTAATTGGGGTTTTTAAAAGACAGAATTAGCGAAGTCTAATTTTTATAATGAAATAAGTTTTTGATATTGCTCTACTTGGACGATTTTAGTGACCAAAACTATGGATAAAACTGCCTAAGCATAACATTAATATATTTAGAATGGCATTCTTCAGTGCTAGTATTTGAAATTGGAATTAGTACATTGTGCATTCTTAGTAGTCTTTATCCCTAGAATCAATTCTCTCAGCATCACCAAACTGAATTGGTGAAATAGTGCTAAGATTCTGGGCAATAGGAAGATTAGTGAATATGATACATTGATTCCAGGGTGCCAGGGATTGGCTGACATTAAGGACCAGCTGGCTATGGTCCTCAGGCTACGGTCCTCAGTATTCTAGTATTTGAGTAGTGGAGGTAAATCCAAAGGCGACTGGTTATATTTTACTTCTAAATGTGTGCTGAAGTGTCTCTTGTTCAAAAATTCTTGATATTTAGAGCTTCAAGTTACCACATTTAAAAGTAAAGACTTGGCACGGTGGCACACACCTATAATCTTAGCACTTTGGGAGGCCGAAGTGGATGGATCATATGCAGTCAGGAATTTGAGACCAGCCTGGCCAACATGGTGAAACCTCATCTTTACTAAAAATACAAAAATTAGCCGGGCGTTGTGACGCACACCCATAGTCCCAGCTAACTCCGGAGGCTAAGACAAGAGAATCACTTGAACTTGGGAGACAGAGGTTGCAGTAATCTGAGATCACTCCGCTGCACTCCAGCCTGAGTGAGAGTGAGACTGTGTCTCAAACAAACAAACAAAAAACAAACAAAAAAATTTGCATTGTAAATTGTACCTCAAATTTGAGCAGTTTTTGTGTTTGTGTAAATTAAAGTAAAAAGCAGTCCACAATAATGTTTTGTAATACTGCACACCAGTTCTACCAGATTTTGTAACTATCAGATTTAAATGAAAAAAGAGAAGGAAGAGGCTGATTGCTGGAGTGTTAAAGAAATCTTGGCCGGGCGTGGTGGCTCACGCTTGTAATCCCAGCACTTTGGGAGGCCGAGGCGGGTGGATCACGAGGTCAGGAGATCGAGACCATCCTGGCTAACACGGTGAAACCCCGTCTCTACTAAAAATACAAAAAAAAATTAGCCGGGCGTGATGGCGGGCGCCTGTAGTCCCAGCTACTCGGGAGGCTGAGGCAAGAGAATGGCGTGAACCCGGGAGGCGGAGCTTGCAGTGAGCCGAGATTGCGCCACTGCACTCCCGCCTGGGCCACAGAGCGAGACTCCGTCTCAAAAAAAAAAAAAAAAAAAAAAGAAATCTTTAGAAGCCACAGGGCTAGAAGAGAAGTCACCAAACACCTAGGGACAGTCCTAGGCCTAGAAAGCCCTTTAAAGTAATAGTGAATTGTTTTAAAATTAAGTTATTGAGTGGCCTACTGACTACCATCCAAAAACCTTTATCACCAAATTTGTTCAGTGTTTGCTATTGGGAGATTGTCCATATCCCTCCGTAATTAAGGGCCAGCAAGTAATACGATCTTCTTACAGCCAACCTTGCTCTTCCCAAAGGGAGAAAGTAATACATCATTAACCTGGAATTTGTGATATAACAGGTAGCCTTGGTTAATGTTTACCTTTTCACTATGTAAAAAAGAAAAAACACACAGCAAATAGTGCAAATAAAATTTGGTCTTTTAAAGCATTTTAGCAGTAGCTATGTAAAAAAAGTTAATGGTTATTATTCCTAAATTTTCATAAGACCCTTGGTAGACAAAACTATCGGTTATATTATGTATATATGAGGTTAGTTAAGCTGCATTTAGTTAGGAACATTTAATTTTTACCTAAATGATCCTTTTTTCATCCAGAGGTAGAGATTTTATTGTCATTATGAATGTTACTCCCCATTTAGTCCAAAATAGTGAGCTTTTAAGTTGTGCCAGGTACTTAACAATAGTAAAAGCTATTGTATAGATTTTTATTCAATGTGACCTATAATACATTTCTGATTCCTTCTGTATTGAATGTCCCAGTTTCCATATTAAGTGCTATGCCCTGTATAACATTAATGAATTTAATAGTGTACAATTTTGGGCCAGGCATGGTGGCTCACGCCAGTAATCCTGGCACTTTGGGAGGCAGAGGCAGGCAGATCACCTGAGGTCAGGGGTTCGAGATCAGCCTGGCCAACATGGCAAAATCACATCTCTACTAAAAATACAAAAATTAGCCAGGCGTGGTGGTGCATGCCTGTAGTCCCAGCTACTCAGGAGGCTGAGGCAGGAGAATCGCTTGAACCCAGGAGGCGGAGGTTGCAGTGAGCCGAGATCATGCCATTGCACTCCAGCCTGGGAGACAGAGCAAGACTCTATCTCAAAAATAAAAATAAAAAAAAAATTGCGTGCAATTTTGTATTTTCATAGTCGTATCTTTTTAAAGGTATCATGATTTCAGTTGTGGTCAGGAAGTATGTGCCTTAAATCCTCTACTCTAGACCCAAAGTTTGGAGAGCTATATTATTTAATAAGTTGTTTGTGACAGCCTTGTTACCTTTTTCATTTGATTTGAGGGAGAAAGACTGTGATCCTGACAGATTCCTTCTCATAAAATGGCCTAATGTGTATCAGTCTAGGACTTCTGGGGAGGGAACCTCTACCATGCATTCTGTCCCAGGATGTCAAAGTCATAAGAATCAGGGTCCCCTGAAATAAAATCACTGAAAAGATATGTTCTGTTATATATTATTTAAAAAATTTATCTGGTGCCACCAAAGAATGACAGCAGTTTCTAACCAACTTCATATTTATAGCATCTTATGAAGATATTGTAAGGCTTAGCATATTTTGCCACTGGTTTTCTTTGTAATATAGGTTGAAAGTGAGACATGTTTGAATACTTTTGTATGTAAATATCTCCCATTCTTTTTCTATCTCTTCTTGGTCTATATTTACTAAGAATTGATATTTAAAAAACAGTTCACTAATGAACTCTACATATTATTGAACACTCACAGGGCAATATTGATTTGGGTGCTACTAGACTTTTACCTAACATTAGTCTTTCTCAATAGTTGTTGTAAAGGATAGTATTCAATCCAGTAAATATTAAAGTGTATTAGTTTAATGAAGGTTATTTATATACTGTCATACCACAAACCTATGGTGGAAAGAACATCTGCATTCACCAGAATGTACTTGTTCCTTTGGCTGTGAATAAATTGGATAAGACTTTTTTATTGTAAGTTCCAGCTGTTGGAAGATACGGGGATAAGATTGACATTGCTGTTGCAGTATTGCAAAAACATGACTAAATTGGTTAATTATGTCTACCGCTTATGTTTAAGAGAATCCTTTCACTAACTTAAATTGTTAACATTGTTGTGATATTGAGAAAGAATATTAACCTAAACAGTCACTTTACAACAATCATGTAAAGACGTGTGCCTGCAGTTGAGGTTTTTTGCATTTCTGAGCCTGCTTTGTATTCATGAGAAACAAAAACATAATGGGAGAAAAGTTTTAGATAAGCAGCATTGTAAGTTTTTGTAAAGTTTGGGATGTCAAAGTATTAACGAAGGGTACTGAAAACATACTTTTACTTGGGTCAAATTACTTTTTATGATCTGATTTCTTAATTTTCTGTATTTGAAATCTTGCAAATTAGGAATATCTACATCTATAGATAAATAAGTAAAACTTAATGGTAGAAATAAGTGTAATTCAGCAACATGATTCAACAATTTTTATATTTAGGATAAGTTATTGTTTATTATATTAATATCAAATTTATATATTGCCTTGTAATGCTAAATGCTCTTAAAAGAATATATGGGCTACTTCAATTCTACCACCTTCTTCCCCCTCCCCCAGGACGTACAAAAGATCTTATATTAACCAATCCTCTGTGAATTTTGCCATATCAAACATTGTGCCTTATTTTAATAAAACTGTTTTGTTGGAATCCAGTTCTATATTAAAGTCTCTATAATGTTGATATTTGCCTGATTACTTGTTACATCATTGAATACATACATTAAATATGTACTAACATTGACTCTGTTCTAGATGCAATGGATAAAAGATAAATTGGACTTGTCTTCTAGTCTTCCTTCTGCTTCCACAGTCTCAATAGACTTACGGGTGCATGCTCTAATAAGAAATTGGTGACATCATCTTGCTGACTAAGGCCAGTTACTTCTTGTATTTAGTACAGAATCACACAGTCTTAACCCACAGTAATATAGTTCTAACTGAGCTCATTGACATAGCACTTCATACCAATATTTTATAGTGCCATTATTTTGGCACCTGACATTTTTCTAGATTCCAGGATATGGAAAAATATTGTGGTTTTAAGTTGGGGTAAACAGAGTGGATAGGAAGGACATGTACTTTGCAAAACAGCTAATGTTTCAAATGTGCTAAGATGGAAGAAACTCAGCACTTCCCTGGTTAATATATAGGATGGTGATATGGTTTGGCTGTGTTGCCACCCAAATCTCATCTTGAATTGTAGCACCCATAATCCCCACGTGTCATGGGAGGGACCCAGTGGGAGGTAATTGAATCATGGGGCGGGTTTTCCCATGCTATTCTTGTGATAGTGAGTAAGTCTCAGGAGATTTACTCACTAGGGCAGTTCTCCTGCACAAGCCTGCTGCCACTTAAGATGTGCCTTTCCTCCTTTGCCCTCCACCGTGATTGTGAGGCCTCCCCAGCCATGTGGAATTGTAAGTCCATTAAGCCTTTTTCTTTATAAATTACCCAGTCTCGGATATTTCTTCATAGCAGTATGAAAATGGGCTAATACAGATGACTGCTTGGCAAAGACAGGCCCAAAAAATTTGAGGGAGAAGAGAAAACACATAGAGTGTATGTGTTTGATACCCTCTATGTGTTTGTCTGATCTCTTTCCTTTTTTTTGAGATGGAGTTTCACTCTTGTTGCCCAGGCTGGAGTGCAATGGTGCAATCTTGGCTCACTGCAACCTCTGCCTCCCAGGTTCAAGTGATTCTCCTGCCTCAGCCTCCTGAGTAGCTGGGATTACAGGCGTGCACCACCATGCCCAGCTAATGTTGTATTTTTAGTAGAGACGGGGTTTCTTTATGTTGGTCAGGCTGGTCTCGAGCTCCCGACCTCAGGTGATCCGCCCACCTCGGCCTCCCAAAGTGCTAGGATTACAGGTGTGAGCCACCGCACCTGGCCTCTCTTTCGTTTTTTTGTTTTTTGTTTTTTTTTTTTTTGAAATGGAGTCTCACTCTGTCACCAGGCTGAGTACAGTGGCGCAATCTCGGCTCACTGCAACCTCCGCCTCCCAGGTTCAAGCGATTCTCCTGCCTCAGCTTCCCAAGTAGCTGGGACTGCAGGCGCGTGCCACTGTGCCCAGCTAATTTTTGTATTTTTAATAGAAACGGGGTTTCATCACGTTGGCCAGGATGGTCTCGATTCCTGACCTCGTGATCTGCCCACCTCTGCCTCCCAAAGTGCTGGGATTACAGGCGTGAGCCACTGTACCCGGCCTCCTTTCTTAAAGGTAAAACCGTTCTCTAATCCACCTAGTCTCCATAGCATTAGTGCCACAAGAACATTTTACTCTTAAATGACTTGTCTAATTCTTTGCAGATACCAAATATAAAGCCAGAACATTTCTGGGGATATGTATGACGGGCATGTTCCATCCATCACACCAGTCACTTCCAGCTTCATGAACAATCTGTCAGAATCCCGTAGAATATTAGAGCTAGAAGAAACTTTAGAAATCTGAAATTGACACACTTGTTTGAAAAATGAAAAAAATTCAAATCGAAAGAAACTTTTTCTAGAATCCATATGGCTGAATCTTGAATCCAGGCTTTCAGATTACCGCTTCAAGACTTGTTTCTGGCCAGGCGTGGTGGCTCACGCCTATAATCCCACCACTTTGGGAGGCCAAGGTGAGTAGATCACGAGGTCAGGATTTCGAGACCAGCCTGGCCAACATGGTGAAACCCTTGCTCTACTAAAACTATAAAAAAATTAGCCGGGCATGGTGGCAGGTGCCCATAATCCCAGCTACTCAGAAGGCTGAGGCAGGAGAATTGCTTTAACCCAGGGGGCAGAGGTTGCAGTGAGCTTGTATCAAGCCACTGCACTCCAGCCTGGGTGACAGAGCAAGACTCCATCTCAAAAAAAAAAAAAAAAAGACTTGATTCTGCTATAGGATGCTGCTTCCTTTGTTTAATATGCTGTAACAGGAAATCAGTAACAGTATTAGTACTCCACAATAACAGGCCTACTAGTATTGAAGTGATGCGATCTGCACTATATCTCAATGTATTCAGAATTTTAGATCTGGTGATGACTTTAAGAGTAAACAGCTGGGTACCTCTTTAAAGCACATTCAAGAGGCTATCTTATTTAATCGTCATGACACTGCTGAGGTAGATTTGGTGACGTACGTTCATGTGGTTTATCAAAGCCTTCCCCCTTCCTTCTGCCGTTTGAAATCAACTAAGAAATTGACATTGACCTGAGATAGGGAACAAAATACCAGCTCTATCAAATCAGAATTGAGCTGCTTATATTCTTTCCCTTAATTAAATTGAATGTAACCAACCAAAATCACAGGCTTCCCCTGCGAGGACTGAGTCTACCCCTGGATAGTATTCTATACTACTGCCCAGAACATACCACTTTGGGCAGACAGATCCAAAGGAGCACAGGTAAATTCTTAAACCCCTTAGTGCTGCCCAGTAGAGAAACTAGACCAATTATCTTCAGTCTTCGGCCATCTAAGCAGATGAATTAAGTCTTTATCCCACAGGGAGGAAAAAGATGTTGGAAAGTGTTTCCTCTGGGCAGCTATTTTCAAACCTTGCTGAACAGTAGAATCACCAGAAAAGCTTTCAAAATATACAGATACAAAGACACCATCCCCAGACCAATTGAAACTTGATCTCTAAAGATAGAGTCTTGGCATCCGTAGTTGTAGAAGCTCTTGTAGGTGACTTGGTTTCCCAGTGAGGGTGATAATCAGTGTTTTAGTGAAAGTCCCTTTATGGTAACTTGAGGTCAATGGAGTAGAGTTTTTCTTAATAGATAAATGGGACCAAAGTGATGAAGTGACTTGCTCAAGTTCTCTTAGATGTTGCTGTGGCTAAAATTTATTCATCTGTACCCCCAATTTTTTTTAATTGAATGCATACTTCAGACCAGGCACTGACTGCTAATCCAATGTTTTTTGCTTCTCCCTGTCAGTCACTTTTCTTCTGAACTGGAAGTGTTTTGAGGGTATATGATGTTACATTCAAATGGATTGGCCATTTTGAAGCCAGTTACAACTAAGGCAGAGTGTTCACCAAATTGTGGAAAACAAAAGCAGCAAACAGATCAACTTGACCAGAAACATTCGTGAAAGAAAGACTTGGTCAAATATTTCAGGTTATGGCCACAGGCAGGAGACAACCTTTCCATCTATGAGGAAACCCTTGTCAAGTTGTACACTGGTTTTATTGATCACAGATAAACACATAGCTAACATCATAAACAACAGTAAACAGCAAGACATTCCTAAGAACGATAAGATGTAAACATCTGCCTAGAAGATGACACTATAGTTAATCCATAAGCATAGATTCCCATGATTCTATAGAAAAGTTCAACTCAACTACAAATAAACACTATGCATAAGTTCTACCCTAGTTTCTTTCAGATTTAGTTATGAGGCTATGTAATTATTTTCCTGCTTAAATCTGGATAATAATGCAGTCTTAAGACCTCTGTAAATATATGGAAAGTTTAAATGGAAAAGAAAACTTGTTCATGATGCCATGGGAACTCTATGGAAAAGAACATATTATCGAGATAATTATTATGGGTATTTTCTCCCTATAAATAATGACTGAGTTTAAAATGTAGCTTTGGAAACTTTAAAAGTTGAACTAAAGAAAGATGTGAAATAAGTTTTTCTTCTTGAAAATTAAGCTTATTTTATACTAGAAAGCTCCCAAAATTTTAGTATTTTGTGTTAATTTTAACCCCTTTGTAAACCTGACAATGATTTCACAAGTTCTTTCTAACTTTGAGAGTCTACAATGATCTTGCTGAAAAGCTCCTTTCTATTTGTGTAGGTCTCAAATATTTGTAAATTCTTGTATCATTCACTGCACCTCTTTTAGCCATCTCTATTTAGGTCTTTTCATCTTTCCTCCTAAGCCAATGCACATGACGCTAAGGGCAGAGTTAGTAGGGTAATGAGAATTTTACCCCTAATCTGCAATTAAAATTCCACACTTTATAACACTTCCAAGGGTTTGTGGTAGTGGATGACAGATGTCAATCGGTGGTTTTGAAACAAATAATCTTAGTGTTTTATTTCTGCTGGGGCAGTATCTCATGAAAGATGTGTGTGTAATTGACCAATGGATAAGAATGAATCAGATAATTACTAGATACCTGTGGCTTAAGATGTGGCATAACTGTAATTACATTTTAAGCCCTAGTCTGCTATAGGAATTTCTTTTTTTTTATTTTAAAATAAATTTTAGTGTGTATATTTGAGGTTTACAACATGATGTTGTGGGATACATATAGATTGTAAAATGGATACTATAACAAAGCAGATTAACATATCTATCATCTTACATAGTTACTTTTTTGTGATAAGAGCAGCTAAAATCTTTTTTTAAACTTTTAAGTTCAGGGATATGTGAGCAGGTTTGTTATATACATAAACTCGTGTCACAGGGGTTTGTTGTACAGATTATTTCATCACCCAGGTACTAAGTTTAGTACCCAATAGTTATTTTTTCTGATCCTCTTCCTCCTCCCTTATTCCACCCTCAGATAGGCCCCAGTGTCTGTTCTTCTCCTTTGTGTCCATGTGCTCTCATCATTTAGCACTCAGTTATAAGTGAGAACATCAGTATTTGGCTTTCTGTTCCTGCGTTAGTTTGCAAAGGATAATGGCCTCCAACTCCATCCATATGCCTGCAAAGGACATGATCTCATTCATTTTTATGGCTGCATAGTATTCCATGGTGTATATGTATCATATTTTCTTTATCCAGTCTTTCATTGATGGGCATTTAGGTTGATTCCATGTCTTTGCTATTGTGAATAGTGCTGCAATGTACATTTGCATACATGTGTCTTTATGGTAGAATGCTTTATGTTCCTCTCAGTATGTACCCAGCAATGGGATTGCTGAGTTGGAGAGTAGTTTTGTTTTTAGCTATTTGAGGAATTGCCACACTGCTTTCCACAATGGTTGAACTAATTTACACTACCACCAATGATGTATAAGTGTTCTTTTTTTCTCCACAACCTCACCAACATCTGTTATTTTTGGACTTTAATATCCATTCTAACTGGTGTCATATGGTATCTTATTGTGGTTTTGATTTGCATTTCACTAATGATCTATACTGTTGAGCTTTTTTTCCATATGCTTGTTGGCTATGTGTATGTCTTCTTTTGAAAAGTGTCTGTTCATGTCCTTTGCCCATTTTTAAATGGGGTTGTTTGGGGTTTTTTTCCTTGTAAACTTATTTAATTTCTTTATAGATGCTGGATATTAGATCTTTGTCAGATGCATAGTTTTCAGATATTTTCTCCCATTCTGTAGGTTGTTTATTTACTCTGTTGATAGTTTCTTTTACTGTGCAGAAGCTCTTAAGTTTAGTTAGATCCCATTTGTCAATTTTTGCTTTTGCTGCTCTTGCTTTTGCATCTTCGTCGTAAAATCTCTGCCCATTCCTAGGTCCAGAATGATATTGCTTATATTGTCTTCCAGAGTTTTTATAGTTTTGGGCTTTATATTTAAGTCTTTAATCCATCTTGGGTTGATTTTTGTATTTGGTGTAAGGAAGAGGTCCAGTTTCAGTCTTCTGCCTGTGGCTAGCCAGTTACTCCATCACTATTTATTGAATAGGAAGTCCTTTCCCCATTGCCTGCTTTTGTCAGCTTTGTTGAAGATCAGATGGTTGTAGGTGTGTGGCCCTGTTTCTGAACTCTCTATTCTGTTCCATTGGTCTATGTGTCTGTTTTTGAACCAGTACTATGCTGGTACAAAACCATGTGTAGTCAGGTAGCATGATGCCTCTTGCTTTGTTCTTTTTGTTTAGGATTCCCTTGGCTATTTAGGCTCTTTTCTGGTTCCATATGAATTTTAAAATAATTTTTTTCTAATTCTGTGAAGAATGTCATTGGTAGTTTGATAGGAATAGTGCTGAATCTGTAAATTGTTTTGGACAGTATAGCCATTTTAATGATACTGATTCTTCCTATCCATGAGCATGGAATGTTTTTTCATTTGTTTGTGTCATCTCTGATTTCTTTGAGCAGTGTTTTGTAGTGCTCATTGTAGAGATCTTTCACTTTCACCTGCCTGGTTAGTTGTATTCCTAGGTATTTTATTCTTTTTGTGGCAATTGTGAATTGGATTGTGTTCCTCATTTTGTTCTCAGCTTGGCTGTTATTAGTATATTGCAATGCTGGTGATTTTTGCACATTGATTTTGTATCCTGAAACTTTGCCAAAGTTGTTTGTCAAAGGAATTTTGGGGCCAAGACTATGGAGTTTTCTAGATATAAAGTCATGTCATCTTTCAACTAGGGATAGTTTGACTTCCTCTCTTCCTATTTGGATGCCGTTTATTTCTTTCTTTTGCCTGATTGCTCTGGCCAGGAATTTCAATATTATGTTTAATAGGAGTGGTGAGAGAGGGCATCTTTGTTTTGTGCCACTTTTCAAAGGGAATGCTTCCAGCTTTTGCCCTTCAGTATAATGTTGGCTGTGGGTTTGTCATAGATGGCTCTTATTTTGAGGTATGTTCCTTCAATACCTAGTTCGTTGAGAGTTTTTAACATGAAGGGATGTTGAATTTTATGGAAAGCCTTTTCTGCATCTATTGAGATGATCATGTGGTTTTTGTCTAGTTATGTTTATGTGATGAATCACATTTATTGGTTTGTATATGTTAAACTAACCTTGCATCCCAGGGATAGAGCCTACTTGATAGTGGTGGATTAGCTTTTGCTGCTGGATTTGGTTTGCTGGTATTTTGTTGCGGATTTTTCCATCAATGTTCAACAAGAATATTGGCCTGAAGTTTTCTTTTTTGTGTGTGTCTCTGCCATGTTTTGGTATGAAGATGATGCTGGCTTCATAGAATGAGTTGAGGAGGAGTCTCTCCTTCTCAGTTTTTGGGAATAGTTTCAGTAGAAGTGGTATCGGCTCTTCTTTGTATATTTGGTAAAAATTGGCTGTGAATCCATCTGGTCCTGGGCCTTTTTTGATTGGTTGGCTATTTGTTACAGATTCAATTTCAGAGCTTGTTATTAGTCTGTTCAGGGATTCAGTTTCTTCCTAGTTCAGTCTTACGAGGCTGTATGTATCTAGGAATTTGTCCATTTCTTCTAGTCTGGAGGAATAGAGTTGTTCATAGTAGTCTCTGATAGTTATTTGTACTTCTGTAGGGTCAGTAGTAATATCCTCCTTGTCCTTTCTAATTTTGTTTAGTTGGATCTTCTTTATTTTCTTCTTTATTAGTCTAGCTAGCAGTCTATCTTACTAACTTTTTCAAAAAGTCAGCTCCTAGATTCACTGATCTTTTGAATTTTTTGTGTCTCAATTGTCTTCAGTTCAGCTCTGATTTTGCTTATTTATTGTCTTCTGCTAAGCTTGGGGTTGGTTTTCTCTTGCTTCTCTAGTTATTTAGTTATGATAGGCTGGAATACAGTGGTGTGATCTCAGCTCACTAGAACCTCTGTTTCCAGGGTTCAAGCAATTCTCCTGCCTCAGCCTCCTGCGTAACTGGGATCACAGGCATGCACCACCACGCCTGGCTAATTTTTGTATTTTTAGTAGAGACAGTTTCACCATGTTGGCCAGGCTGGTCTCAAACTCATGACCTCAAGTGATCTGCTGTCTTAGCCTCCCAAAATGCTGGGATTACAAGTATGAGCCACTGCACCCAGCCATCTTTCTAACTTTTTGATGTGGGCATTTAGTGCTATAAATTTCCCTCTTAATACTGCCTTAGCTGTGTCCCAGAGATTCTGGTATGTTGTTTTTTTGTTCTCATTAGTTTCAAAGAACTTCTTGATTTCTGCCTTAATTTAATTGTTTACCAAAAGTCATTCAGGAGCATGTTGTTTGATTTCAAAGTAATCGTATGGTTTTGAGCAATTTTGTTAGTCTTGAGTTCTATTTTTATTGCATTGTGGTCTGAGAGAGTGGTTGGTGTAATTTTGGGGTTTTTGCATTTGGTGAGAATTGTTTTATGTCCAAGTGTGTGGTTGATATAGAATGTGTGTTGATGAGAAGAATGTATTTTCTGTTGTTTTTGTATGGACAGTTCTGTAGATGTCCATGAGGTCCATTTGGTCCAGTGTTGAGTTCAGGTCCTGATTATCTTTGTTCATTTTCTGCTTCAATGATCTGTCTAATACTGTTAATGGGGCATTGAAGCCTCCCCCTATTATTGTGTGGGGGTCTAAGTTTCTTTGAAGGTCTCTAGGAACTTGCTCTATGAATCTGGGTGCTCCTGTGTTGGGTGCATATATATTCAGGAGAGCTAGGTCTTCTTGTTGAATTGAACCCTTTACCATTATGGAATGTCCTCTTTGTCTTTTTTGATCTTTGTTGGTTTAAAGTATGTTTTGTATGAAGTTAGGATTACAATTCCTATTTTTTTTTATTTTTGTTCTTGTTTGCTTGGTAAATTTTTCTCCATCCCTTAATTTTGAGCCTATGGGTGTCATTGCATATAATATGGGTTTCTTGACGACAGCATACTATTGTGTCTTGCTTCTTTATCCAGCTTGCCACTCTGTCTCTTTAACTTGGAGCATTTAGTCGATTTACATTCAAAGTTAGTATTGATATGTGTGGATTTGATCCTGTCTTCATGTCATTACCTGTTTATTATGCTGACTTCTTTGTGTGGTTGCTTTATAGTGTCACTGGTCTGTGTACTTAAGAGTGTTTTTATAGTAGCTTGTAATGGTCTTTCCATATTTAGTGCCTCTTTCAGGAGCTCTTTTGAGGGAGGTCTGGTGGTAACAAATTCCCTCAGCATTTGCAATTTCTTATTTCTCCTTTGCTTATGAAGTTTAGTTTGGGCAGACAAGAAATTCTTAGTTGGAATTTATTTTCTCTAAGAATGTTGAATATAGGCCCCAATCTCTTCTGGCTTATAGGGTCTCTGCCAAGAGGTCTGCTGTTAGTTGGATGGGCTTCCCTTTGTAGGTGACCTGGCCTTTCTCTCTAGTTGCCTTTAAATTTTTTTCTTTCATTTCGACCTTGGAGAATCTGATGATTACGTGTCTAGGGGATGATCTTCTTGTGAAGTATCTTACTGTGTTTCTTTGCATTTCCTGAATTTGAATGTTGGCCTCTCTAGCTAGGTTGGGGAAATTCTCTTGGATGATATCCTGAAATATATGTTCCAAATTGGTACCATTCTCCAAATTGGTACCAGTCTCTCTTTCAGGGACATCAGTGAGTCATAGATTTGGTCTCTTTGCATAATCCCTCATTTCTTGGAGGTTTTGTTTATTCCTTTTCAATATTTTTTCTTTATTCTTGTCTGTCTTCAGAATGTCAGTCTTTAAGCTCTGAGATTCTTTCCTTAGCTTGGTTTATTGTGCTATTAATTACAATTGCATTATGAAGTTCTTGTAGAGTGTTTTTCAGTTCTTTCAGGTTGGTTATATTCTTTCTATACTGGGTACTTTGTCTGCCAGCTCTGTATCATTTAATTGTGATTCTTAGCTTCCTTAGATTGGGTTTCAACATTCTCCTGAACCTCAATGATCATTCCTATCCATATTCTGAATTCTATTTCTGTCATTTCAGCCATCTCAGCCAGGTAAGAACCCTTGCTGGAGAACAAGTACAGTTGTTTGGAGGAATGAAGGCACTCTGGCTTTTTGAGTTGTCAGAGTTATGGTGCTGGTTTTTTCTTATATTTGTGGGCTTTTATTCTTTCCATCTTTGAAGTTGCTGTCTTTTTTGTCTTTATCCTATTTGGTGACCTTGGGGACCTGATTATAGTAGTGTTGGGTTCAGGTGACTGACTTCATTTCTGGAAGATTTTAGGGGGCCAAGCTTCAGCTCAGGACTCCTGGACTGCATGTTCTAACTCTGGGAGACTGGTATTGAGCCCCAACTTTGTTCTCTGGCTCCTCGAGGTTATGAACCTATTGTGCTGGAGGGGCCAAGGTGTTCCCAGACTACTGGTCACAATACTCTAATGGGTGATGCCATCCAAAGCACATCATAGCAGGGTGACAGTGTGATCTGTCCTAATTTGCCTGTGCCAGCTGCAGCAGCAGCAGCAGCATGGTGGGATGCATACTGCATGCTCATCAGCTACAGCAGGGTACTAGTGGGTACTAGGGTGGCAGCCTTCATGGGGCTGTGTGCATGTTCCTCTGGTGGTGGTATTAGTACAGGGTTGGGGCACTGGAGGGTGCAGGACTGTGTGAGGTCTCTGTGCACATTCACACCCACAGCAGTGGCTGGTCAGAGCAAGGGTGGGTTCACTATTCTCCATGACTAGTTATGTGCCAGTGGCAGTGTTGGCACAGAGGCAGGGCACTTGCAGGGGTAGGACTGGCAAGCTCCATGCTCACCACCATCTGACAACAATGGCATTGTGACGGGGGAGGGGAGCAGGGTGCAGTCACCCTGGCAGCAGTGACATGGCAGGGTGCACACACCCACACATACTGGCAGGGAAGGTAAGGCAAAGTCTGCCTTCATACACATACACTGGCACAGTGATGCAGGGGGTGGCTGTGGGCAAGTGCATGCAGTCAAAGTGGCATGGGGGAGGCTGCAGTGGAGGGAGGGCACAGGCAGGCTGGTGTGTGTCCATAGGGGCCACTCTGCTGGAGCACTCTGCTGGTCAGACAAGGTCTGCCAGTCTTCGGATGTCCTAGTCCCTTGGGGGGAGATGTTCCTCCTGGCTGCGTGTAGTTGGCCATCTTAGAGAGAGAGCCAGGAATTTCTTTCTAGTTCTAAGAAAACATAGAATCAAAGGATTAGCAGCAAGAACTTGAGAAGTCATCATCACACCACTTTTTGCAAAAGGACAATTAATCCATTAGGGTAAAAACATATCCTATGTTTAAATAACTCCCAGAAGATTTTTCTTCTTTAGGAATTCTGAAGCTTAACAATGGTCACTAAAGGAAGCATTTTCTTTCTTTTCTTTCTTTCTTTCTTTTTTTTGAGACGTTTGAAACAAGAGTTTTGCTCTTGTTGCCCAGGCTGGAGTGCAATGGTGCAATCTCAGCTCACTGCAACCTCCACCTCCTGGGTTCAAGTGATTCTCCTGCCTCAGCCTCCCAAGTAGCTGGGATTACAGGCATGTGCTGCCAAGCCTGGCTAATTTTGTATTTTTAGTAGAGACAAGTTTTCTCCATGTTGGTCAAGCTGGTCTCGAACTCCTGACCTCAGGTGATCCACCCGCCTTGGCCTCCCAAAGTGCTGGGATTACAGGCATGAGCCACCACACCCAGCCAAAGGAAGTATTTTCTAAGGTTCTTGTGATTTGTGCTAGCCATATTAGATGTGCAGATAACTTTTAAATTGTTTATGTCATCAGAGAAGCACAGTGACACTAAGACGTGTGCACTACCCATTATGTTATTTTTGTACCTTGGTCTGGCTCTAAAATCTTGCTGCTCTCACTTTCTCCCAATCCACAGTTCTTCCCACCACTATAAACGTCAAGGCACACAGGAGTTGTTAGGGACAGACTCCCCCAAGAAAGCTTCTTGGTGCTGCCCACACTTCCCCCAAGTCTCTTTACATTTCTAAGCCCTTGTCTAGGCACCACGGTGAAGCCAGCAGACTTCACTTATCAGACCTTGCTGCAGTAAGCAAACCCCAATTACAAACCATCTGGACCGCACAGTGGGAGGTCGTGGGAAGCATAAACAAACTACCTACACCCTCCTATAATAAACCTCACAAGGTGATATGTGGCAAAATTAACCCCATTGAATCCTTTCTTGAAATTCTTTAACATAGTTCCTAACAAGGTAGGCTTACTTTGTGTTTTACTCATTTTCCTCAGGAGACAAAACAACACTCTTACCACAAAGAGGGAAGGGAAAAAGGGGCAAAAAGTCACTCACTCACCAAGCAATTCACACTAAAACCAAAGTATGGATAAGGAGTTACTTATTCATCAAGCAATTTGAGCCAAGTCAGAACCGAAATCAAAGCCAAAACAGTTCAAAACCAAAAGTCAATACTGAAATCTAAACCAAAACAGTGCAAATCTAGTCAAAATCAAAACCAAAACCAAGGTGCCAAAAAGGCACGCCATGGGTGATCAGGCCACACTTCCACTCAGATGGAGTGGGCAAGTTCGAAGACCGGTCTTACCGTGTTCCAGATGTCCGGACTCCAAGCGCCAATTCCTTCCCGGTGTTCAGCCGCTGCATTAATCCTCCGCGGGGGCCTACCGTGCAGTGCTCTGGAGGCGTTCCACTGGGGCAATTGCCTACCGGGGAGCGCTCTCAGGATTCGCATCGCCAAAGCTGGCCAGAGTCTCCCACAGGGATGCTCCACTGGGCAGGCCTAAGCCGCCTAAGGGGCTGCCTCGACCATCCGCTTATCACCTTGCTTCCAGA
The DNA here is from genome assembly GCF_000001405.40 of Homo sapiens. Lineage (NCBI taxonomy): Eukaryota > Metazoa > Chordata > Mammalia > Primates > Hominidae > Homo > Homo sapiens. The sequence goes on along the minus strand of NC_000003.12, from coordinate 120,311,931 downwards.
TCAGGGAACCAAGAAATGTAGCAGGACAAGCCACAGACAAAACCCCTCAGACACCGAGTTGAGGAAGGAAAGGGCTTTATTGGCCAGGAGCATCAGCAGACTTATGTCTCAAAAAAACCGAGCTCCCCGAGTGAGCAATTCCTGTCCCTTTTAAGGGCTTACAACTCTAAGGAGGTCGAGTGAGAGGGTCATGATCGATTGAGCAAGCAGGGGGTACCTGACTGGGGGCTGCATGCACCGGTAATCAGAATGGAACAGAACAGGACAGGGATTTTCACGATGCTTTTCCATACAATGTCTGGGACACAAGCAGTTAAGTCAGGAGTTGATTGTTAACTACTAGGCCCAAGGCACGTTGCTGGGCTGCCTGCCTGTGGATTTCATTTCTGCCCTTCAGTTTTTAATTCTTTTTTCTTTGGAGGCAGAAATTGGGCATAAGACAATAAGAGGGGTGTTCTCCTCCCTTACTATGACTCCTGCTTCTCAGGATACTCCACAACCAATCATGAGCCCCACTGAGTCAACAAAGCAAAAAACAATATATTAATATCTAAAGGAAAAAAAAAAGAAATAAAAGATTTTGCAACTTCAAATTCCTTACATGAGTGAAAGGAGATGATCACTGTTGAGACCCAAATTAGTGGGCTAGATGATCAAATGGGGAAAATAGCTTAGAACAAGGAGGAAAGATATAAAGTATAAAAGGAAAATATCTTAGGCCCCCAGAATCACTAAGGAAAACTCAAGCTGGAAACTGCTTAGGGCAAACATGCCTCCCGTTTTATTCAAAGTCACTCCTCTGCTCACCGACATAGATACATATCTGACTTACCCTCCTTTGGAAAGGCTAATCAGAAACTCAAAAAAATGTAACCATTTGTGTATCACCTATCTGTGACCTGGAAGCTCCCTCCCTGCTTCCTGCCTTTAGTTCAAGTTGTCCTGCCTTTCCAGACTGAACCAATGTACTTCTTACATACATTGATTAATGTCTCATGTCTCCCCAAATGTATAAAGCCAAGCTTTGCCCTGACCACTGTGGGCACATGTCATCAGGACTTCCTGAAGCTGTGTCATGACGCATCCTCAACCTTGGCAAAATAAACTTTCTAAATTAATTGAGACCTGTTTCAGATTTTCTGGGTTCACAAAAGCAATTAAAATCATGAGAGAAAGGATATGTGACATTTTGAGGATAGATCCAAGAAGTTTAGCATATTATATTGGGAGATCCAGATGGGGAAAAAGACACATAGAAGGAAAAGCAACATAAGAAAGGAGAAAAATTTTTGGACCAAGAAATACCTGAATCTACAGATTAAATGGATTCAACAAGTCCAGGCTTGATTGATAAATTCACACACACACACACACCCTTAGCAATATTCTGGAAAGATTCTGGAACTCTAAGGAAAAAAAGAAATCTTTACAAACTTTTCCACTCAGAAAAAATAAATTGCCTTATTAATTATAATGCAAACAGAATCAGACTTCTTGTGCATCAGCAGCAGCTAGAAGTTAGTGGAATATCTGCAGACTTCTGAAATGCAAGGACTCCAACTCAAGAATTTCTTGACCAGCCAAAGAATCATTTAGTTGTCAGAGTGATAGGAAGAAATTATTTGTAGGTATGTATGAAGTCAAAGACTAATGCCTACATTTTCCCACCCTAAGAAAATACTTAAGAAGTGACTCTAGCCAGATGATAGATTAACCATAAGAGAAACTACAAGATGATAAAGAAGGGAAGAAATGGTAGAGATATAGGAGCTGAAAAGAAATTATTTAGGCAGTTAGTGAGGGTAAGAGAGTCCTCGGTGAGGCTTCACTTTTAACAAAAAACAGCCCCAAAACCATTTCTTTTCTAACAAACAGCAGCCAGTAAAATCGAGCTGCAGACATAGATAAGCAAGCTGGAAGCTTGTGCAGGTGAATGCCGGCAGCTGTGCCAATAGGAAAAGGCTATCTGGGGCCAGGCATGTTCAACATGGAAGCTCCATCTTCCATTTTCTTTGTCACCATGTGTGCAGTAAAGAAACAGGGAACATGGTGCCAGCCAGGTAGAAAATTCCTTTGCATAATAAAAGATTAGGGTGCAGTGGCCAGCCTCTTCAGATGCTATACAAATGACACACCTGGTCCAACCAATTCTCTGCACCCTCTGCAAATCAGACACCACCTCCTCAAGCCCATCCGTAAAACCAGCCGCATCTTGCCAGGTTCCGGGAGATCCGTTTGGAACCCCCTCCCTCTGCACAAGGGAGCTTTTCTCTTTTGCCTATTAAACTTTCACTCTTAAACTCACTCCTTCTTAGTCCGTTTCCTTGATTTCCTTGGTGTGAGGCAATGAACCTGGGGTATTACCCCAGACAAACAACACTGCTTCAGTAGTGAGCAACAAAATGTAGAACAAATAAATCAATATAAAGACATATATAGACAAAAGATATCTAGATAATTACAGATGGAGAATGTGTAAGTGCAGATACAAAACAACATAATAGCTAGATATATGAAGCAAAACCTGTAAGAAATAAAAGAAGAATTTGATTAAATAAAATTATATTGGAAAACTTAAACTTTTTTTTCAGAATTGGATAAATTTGGTATATAGCAAATGTGGGATGGCATAGGAATTAAATAATACAATTAATAAATGATGTGGTATCTATGTGTAAGCTCTAACATCCCTCGAACTACAAGAAAACATGTTTTCGTACCGATAGAATATTTACAAAAGTCAGTCATATTTGACCAAGAAGAAAACCTTAACAGACTCTAAAAACCACATTCCTTTATTTCAAGCCAACAGATTGAAAACAAATAATGTAAAGATAGTAAGAAACCACACACAGAAAAAAATTTTTTAAATTATAAAATATCTATAAAGCAATGAAAAAGAGAACACTTTTTACCAAAATCCAAATGACACAGTGGAAATTACTCAGAAGAAAATGTGTACATTAAAGTTTTCATAAAATAATATAAAAATAATATTAGATTTCATTTCAAGAAATTAGAAAAAAAGAGCAACAAAGTCAATTTTTAAAAATTAGAAAGAGAGCCGGGCACAGTGGCTCATGCCTGTAATCCCAGCACTTTGGGAGGCCGAGGTGGGCAGATCACGAGGTCAAGAGTTTCAGTCCACCCTGGCCAACATGGTGAAACCCCGTCTCTACTAAAAAAAAATACAAAAATTAGCCGGGCGTGGTGGCGGGCGCCTGTAGTCCCAGCTACTGTAGTCCCAGCTACTCGGGAGGCTGAGGCAGAAGAATCGCTTGATCCCGGAGGCGCAGGTTGTAGTGAGCCGAGATCACGCAACTGCACTCCAGCCTGGGCGACAGTGAGACTCTGCCTCAAAAAAAAAAAAAAAAAAAAGAAAAGAAAGAATGTATAAAGACAAAAGCTAAAATTATTTTAATAGAAAACAGTAGAATGTACAAATAAATACAAAATCCTTTGCAAAAGATGAAAAAGATCTGGTCTGATTAAGAAAAAAGACTGAGCAAAAGTAACAAAATTAAAAATTCTGTAGAAAACTACAAATTAGGAGAAATTAAAAGTTTAATAAGAGAAACCCATAGCAACAAACTGGAATCCTAAAGAAAATAGCTGATTTCCTAGTAAAAATACAAATTACCAAAATTGACTCTGAAATAAGGATAGTATAAATAGAACAAGTAGCACAGAAAAATTTTAAATTGTCCTTAAAAGTCTTGCATTGGGAAAGATCCCACGATTACGTGGGTTCACAGCTGAGTGTTAGTTGACTTTTTACGAATTTTTTTTTTTTGGTTTTTAAAAGGCTTTATTGGGGAAACGTACAGGGGTGAGGACCGTCCTTGGAAGCCTCAGGACGCCATCCTCCATGTTGCTGGGCAATCGAAGTCCCCAGGGGCCCCTGCTCAGAAGCGTGTCACCAGTCTCTGCCGGGGCCTCGTCTGTGACTCCTGGAGGGGCCCAGCCCTGGGTAGCCACTACCCTCCATTCCTTGCTGCTGCTGCTCCTGCTCCAGGTTCCACTGCAGGACCTGCTGCTGGTAGGCAATGACTTGCCGTATGCCGTTGAGGAAGTTGCCCTGGTCACGGAGGATGAGGCCGATGAAGATTTTCTTCTCAGAGGAGTACAGGAGCATGAGCACGCGGATCTCGCACAACACTTTGTAGGAAAAATGCACTCAGCCGGCGAAGCCATTGTCCTTGATCTGGCACAGGCTCTTCAGCGTCTCCAGGTCCTTGGTGAAGTGGAACTGCACCAGGCGCGAGTTCCGCAACAGCAGCACAGGGTGGTCAGCAGCTGCTGCGGGATGAGCTGCATTTACAGCTTCCTCGGCCACTGGTCGGTCCTCATGATCTCCCCCTGGTTCACGTAGACGTGGGACGGCAGCCACCTCTTGGATCGACTTTTGGGCTCAGGCCTGGGTTCCTGCCACTCCATGACGCCTCTCCACACCAGGAACTTGTTGTTGACGATCTGGACTGGGCCTGAGTTGACACTACCAGGTCCCACTGCTTGCTTGCGAGTAGTGATGACCTGCCGGATGGCGCTGACGAAGCCGCTCTGGTCGTAGGGGATGAAGCCCATGAAGATCTTCCTCTTGGAAGAGTACAGGAGCATGCGCACGCACATCTCGCAGGGGGAGATGTGGGGAAACAGCGTGCAGCCCGCGAAGCCGTTGCCCATGATGCGGCAGAGCCCACTGAGCAAGCAGCAGTCTCGGTTAGTGAAGTGGAACTGTGCCAGCCGGGAGTTGCGGAACAGGGGTCCCAGGGTGGTCATCAGCTGCTGCGGGATCAGCTGCATGATCAGCTTCTGCTGCCACTGGTTGGTCTCCAGGTTCTCGCCTTGGTTCACGTAGGCTTGGCGGGGCAGGGTCCGCCTCAACTTTATAGTGGAGTCACAGTAGGGTCTGCGCTTCTCCTGTCACTCGAGGACGCCGCTCCAGGCCAGCAGCCTGTTGCTGAGCCGGTGCTCGCTCACGGCCAGGCCCCCGAGGGTGAGCCCAGGTGAGGAGGGACCGATGGGACCCAGCGCCCCGAAGACAAGAGCACCTTCCACGGGAGGGGCCGAGCAGGCCCGGATCTGCAGAGACTGCGGGCCTCGGGGGCTGGCTGGCCAGGAGCGGGAGCGGACAGCGCGCACTATGAGGGGCCGCGAGGGGGTCCCCGGCGCCGGAGCGGTACGGGGCCCGGCGCGGACGGACCATGGCGGGCGCGGGCCTAGCGGGCAGGGAGCTGCTACGGGCCACATTGGGGGCTGCGGGCTCTATCGACTGAGGGGCGCGGGCTCGCGGCTTCGGGGGAGACTGGCTGAGCCGTACCAAGCACAGGGGACGCGCCGCCGCAGAGAGGTAGCTGCGGCCGAACCACTGCAACTTCTACTGAATTATAATGTTATTTTAAATGGTCAAGGCCTAGAAAAGAAAAAGGGACTTTGATTCATTTCATAGTTTAATATTAATATAGTTAACATAGTTCATCTAATCTGCCAATGATTATAAAACTCACATTATGTACCATTACGCTTCTTAGCACTTAGAATTTTTATTTTAAGTTTACTGAAAGCACTGCTTTGGGTTTTTCTTTCTTTCTTTTTTTCTGAGACGGAGTCTCGCTCAGTAGCCTAGGCTGGAGTGCAGTGGCGAGATCTCGGCTCACTGCAAACTCCGCCTCCCGGGTTCATGCCATTCTCCTGGCTCAGCTTCCGGAGTAGCTGGGACTACAGGCGCCCGCCACCACGCCCAGCTAATTTTTTTGTATTTTTAGTAGAGATGGGGTTTCACTGTATTAGCCAGGATGGTCTGGATCTCCTGACCTCGTGATCCGCCCACTTGGGATTACAGGCATCAGCCACCGCGCCTGGCCTGCTTTGGGCTTATTTTAAGAGATTTTTGAACATCTATCATTCTTCAGCTTTTTTTTTTTTTTTTTTTTTTTTTTTTTTGAGACAGTCTCACTCTGGTCATCCAGGCTGGAGTGCAGTGGCACGTTCTCGGCTCACTGCAACCTCTGCCTCCTGGTTCAAGCAATTCTCTTGCCTCAACTGGGATTACAGGCATGTGCCACCACGTCTGGCTAATTTTTTTTTTTTTTTTAAAGTAGAGATGGGGTTTCACCATGTTGGCCAGGCTGGTCTCGAACTCCTGGCCTCAGGTGATGCGCCCGCCTTGGCCTCCCAAAGTGCTGGGATTACAGGCCTGAGCCACCGCGCCTGGCCTCATTCTTCTTCATTTATAAAAAAGGAAATAGCTTCATGCTCAGAGTTTTGCTCTTTTGGATCACTTTCCAAGTCAAAGCTGCTGATGTCAGCATTTCTCTATGTAATACTGTCCTCTGTACCAAAAAGCAAGAGTAATAAGACCTTTTCCAAAAGAAGCATCCATTATCGTCTCTGTGATTTTTTCCAAACTTCTGACGTTCCGTTGGCAAGTTTTGATGCCGTAGCTTTCTTGTTCTTGCCAGCAGGTGTCAATGGAAGGTTTCAGGCAAGTTCACACAGGCACAGGCACAGGCACAGGTGATGATAACTGTCATGACAGCCCTGGCCAACAGCAATCATCAGCCTTATCCTGATTTCAGAGATGTTAAAATGTGAAAAAATATGCATCATGGAATCAATGAAATGTAGTAGTACACAACCAGAAAATTTTTAACCTCACACATGGAATACAGGCACAATCATCCTAGATATTAGCAACTGGAACCCTGCAATGTATCTACAGAATAACGACCAAATACCCAGACCTTTATTTTGAGAAGCAGTTGGGCAGTTAACAGGAAGAGAAATTGAGTGAAGATAATGAAGTCATGCCCAGAACGTTATTGCTGCTGGTGTAACTTTTTTTTTTTTTTTTTTTTTTTTTTTTTAGAAAAACAGTATTTGCCTGGAGACCCAAGTTACAATCCTGGCTTAGTCATGTACCATCCATGTGACTTGGACCAACAGAAGTCATTCCTTGGTCCTGTGTCTCCAAGTAAAAGGAGAGCTTCCCTAAGGTTCTTTTCAGCTCTGATATTCAAGGAGTCCATGAGTCCAGGACAGTTTCTCATCTACCAGGAATCCAGCTCAGGTTTTATATAGGATCTGTACAAGTTAAACCTTGGTTACTCAGGTAGAAAACTGGTCACACTGCCCAATAAATCCTCCTGCTCTCTAATTTCACCCAGTGCAGAGTCTAATCAACAGCTCGAATAGAAATAAAATATTACCAGATTCCCCTCCCCAACTTATTTCAGACAAATGGGCTCCTTTCTGAACCCAAGCCTAGGTAGGCCTCCTACGCAAATCGCCTTCAGGCAGCGTCAACAGGCAGAGCCTTGAGCCTGTTTCTACTGCCACCCTGCAGCTTCTCACGCACTCAGACACTCTCTTCCCGTGACTTCTTAATTCCCCTCTTGATATTTCTTTTATTTAAAATAAATTTACATATATTGTTTACTAAAAAAATTAAATGGAAAAATATACATAACCTCAAATTTACCAATTTAACCATTTTTAAGTGTCCAGTTAGGTGGCATTAAGCACATTCACATTGGTGTGCAACCTATTTACTTTTTCCATTAAAAAAATTATATGCCCTTACTAACAAATGCAAATATCTTCTAAAGGTAAAAAATGAAAACTGAAGGTCTCCCAGTCATTCTTTCCTAAGGAAATTACTTGAGTTTCTTGTGGATCCTTCTAGCAATTAATATACATGTGTGTACTATTTCGTATTTATACAGGCAGTTTTTATTTTTAAAGATTTATACACATTGTGTTGCCCCTTGCTTTTATATTTAATAAAATATTTTGGAGCTGTTTCTATGTTAACACACATGGCTCTATCTCATTCTTTTCATTGTTTTTAAATGCGTGATTATGAGATAATTTAACAGGTATCCAATTGATGTTACATTGTTTCCAGTTTTTCTGTGGCTATTTTTTTGTTACATTTGATTTTGCTATTACAAATACCATCCTTGAAAATATAATTTGTCATACATTATGTATTATATCTGTAGTCTCAATTCTTAACTGTGGAATTGCAAGAATAAATGAGATATGCATTTGTGTCCTTTTGCTATAATACAACTGTAATTGTAAGTAGAGTGCTTTCCTGAATTCTTTGTAGCCAGCTGGTCAGAGGTGAGGGTGACCTGGGGAAGTTGAACTTGCAGATACTGCCTGAAGTGAGGGCAGTTTGGCCTAACTCTGGTAGTTGGTGTTAGAACTCATAGGGAAGGAGAATCTCTAGGCAGAAGTCAGGACTGTGAGGTCCAGTCACCCCTACCTTTGGGGAGAGTCTAGTTATATGACACAAAGAGTTAAGAAAATTAACTTCCATTCATGCTCATTACTAAAAAGTTGAGCAACTCTGTGAATTAGCAAATGGACTGTCCATCTGGAATGTTCTTTCATATGTCTGTTCTAAAGACTTGGTCTGATAGGCTACTTCTACAGCCCAAGGGAAGATAATAATTTCATCGAGGGCTGTAAGTTATTCAACATTTTGTCCCTCTCTGAGAACCTACAAGAGTGCTTCCCTATGATAGATAATTAAAATAATAATAGTAGTAATAGTAGTAGTAATTATTTTATTTTATTTTACTTTTATTTTTCTTAGAGATGATGTCTCGCTTTGTCACCTAGCTTGGAGTGCAGTGGTGCAATCTCGGCTCTCTACAGCTATGACCCCCCAGGCTCAAGTTATCCTCCTGCCTCAGCCCCCCAAGTAGCTGGGACTACAGGCATGCACCACCACACCCAGCTCTTTCTTGTTTTCTGTTTTTTGTAGAGATGGGGTTTTGCCATGTTGCCCAGGCTGGTCTCAAACTCCTGCGCTCAGGCAATCTGCCCTCCTTGGCCTCCCAAAGTGTTGAGATTACAAGCGTAAGCCACCACACCTGGCCAGTAATAATAATTTAATAGAACTCAGGAAGATCCACATATGGTCAAAGGCCTTGAGAATCACTTATCTTATGAGTTAAAAAAGAAAAGGTCAAGCCAAAACAATAAATATGGAAAGGAAATGTGATGACAGTTTATGAAATCATGAAAAGTGTAACTGAGGCAACCCAGAGAATGCTTAAATTCCCAATTATTTAAATATTGAAGCAAGAAAATTTAACACAAGCATATACACAGTGTCTAACAGACTGTGAATTAGTGCAAACTGCAAATTTCAAAAGAGTTTAAAGGAAACTCAAGAAATACAAACTAAAATAGATAATTTATTAAGGAAAAATATTCAGGAAATTTATCATAACTTTCTGAGGTCATGGAGCAGAATCAAGCATTTGTACAATATGTGCTTAGTATTCGCTCCAGAAGTAGAGGCCTCAAAGGAGATAAATGGCAATGACTCAGTCTCATCCCCTAAAAGGAGGGGACCCAATTACATCAGACTTGGCTCAGCCTGCTTAGGATTCGCTGAGGCTCATTCAGTTGCCCAGTCATGTTGGTACTCTTCGACCTGCCCTCAGTTGTCAGTTTACGCACCCCAAAAGAAATCATTTTAGTCTTTTCTCTGGGGTCCCTGACACATTTCCAGTTCTACTGGCACCGTTGTGTACTCTGGTAGGGAGGGATACCGAATAAGTCTTGGCAATTTGTTACTATTTATTAAGGAGTCCAGCTCCAGGTCAAAATCCTATGTGTGATCTTTCAGGCCTGATCATAAGCAATTACTGGGCTTTGCCTGGCAGGCCTGATTGAGGAGAAGCTGCCTCCCCATACCACACTTGCACTGGCAGTGCGTTGTACTTTTCTGAAGGGAGTTGCAGTCAAGAACTCGGCCCTTCTTCTCCCTACCCCAACCAGCCATGCATATTCATAATCCTGGCCCTGGTCCCTTCATTCACTGGCCTCCTTACTGGGGGCCTTGCTGAGGCACTTCTTTTTTCCACTTTGACTCAGTACCTTTCTACTCCTAGACCTTCCCACTCTCTCTCTCTCCCCCTGTCTCTCAGGTCTATAAAGAGGCAGGAGTCTTTTGTTCTGGGCTCTTTAACAGTGAGACGATTCCCTCCATGTGTACAGCACTCATCTGAAAAGTTTTCAAAGTACGTACATTAACAACCTAAATGCTCAGCAATAAGGATTGTGCAAATAAATTTTGGTACATTTATAAAAGACTATGCAGATATTTTAAATGATAATGACATAAAAAGATTGATTATAGGCAGTTTAAAGCAACATGTGCTCTGTATTTGCAGTCATGTAAAAAAAAAGTATGCAAACAGCATAGGTATGAATGATCACCTCCACAATATTACCAGTGGTTACCTCTGGGTGGTAAAGTAATGCACGTTTCATTTTCTTGCCTATCTATATTTTCTAATCTAGGATCACCCAACCATGTATTATTTCTGTAATAAGAAAAAAACTGATAAAAGTTATTATTTTTAATATACATACTCCTTGAAGGGGCAATTTTATATCTAGGAATTCATCTTAAGGAAAAAACTGTAAGCATGCATGCAAGATTTAGCTATAGTAATGTTTATTGCAAGGTTGTTTCTAATAGTGAAAATTTTAGAAATAACTCAATTTCTAGTGTTAGGGGATTGGGAAAATAAATTTTAATATATTCATAGATTATAAAACTAGGTAGGTAAATTAAATATTTAATGATCTTGAAAATGTTCATAATATCTTAATAGGTTAAACAAAACAAACAGGTTACACAACACGTATTTTCATACCCTTTGACCCAGCAAATTCCACTTCTACGAAATACTAACACAAAGAATCAAGTGACACAATCTTGATTGTGTCATTTCAGTGACAAAAAATAGAAGCTACACAAATTTTATCAATGGAGAATGCCAAAACAAACAATGGCAGATTCCTATAGTGGACTACTAACAACTGTTGGAAATAATGAAATAGATCTCTATGAGCGAACATGGAAAATGTTTTGATATATTCTTAAGTGAAGATATATAGAAGGATTCTGAAGTACATTCTATCCTAAATTTTACATCTCTATACCATTTTAATAGCTATTCACAAGCATCTATACATTTTAAAATCAGGAAAAAATGTTAAATATATATAGTATGATGTATGTATGTGTGTGTGTTTATAATATGCCTAGCTCTGAAAGAATATTTACCAAAATGTTGACAGTGGTTATTTCTGGGTGGTGGGATTAGAACTGATTTTTATTTTATTATTTTTGTTAATTCTGTATCCTTTGAGATTTTTGCAATACATATATTACTTTTATAACAAGAAAACTTAAAACTGCTATAAATGGAAAAACTTTAAAATTTCTAAACCTATAGGCTTGTTTAGAGCTCCTGGGTTTCCACAGCTTCTCACAGGCAGAGGCAGCTTAGTTAAAAGCAAAACAGACAAAGAAGCCCAGTCACAAAACACCACATATTTTATGATCCCATTCATATGAACAGGGAAATCTATAGAGATAGAAAGTAGATTAGAGATTGCTTAGGTCTGAGTCTGAGGTGGGAGCTTGGTGGGTGGGGGGAAAGATGGGGACTAGAAGTTGATAGCTAAATGGTGTGGGATTTCTTATTTTTCCTTTTAAAAACTTATTTCCTTTACGCCTGTAATCCCAGCACTTTGGGAGGCCGAGGTGGGCAGATCACCTGAGGTAAGGAGTCCGAGACCAGCCTGGCCAACATGGTGAAACCCGGTCTCTACTAAAAATATAAAAACTGGGCAGGGCACCTGTAATCTCAGCTCTTTGGGAGGCCAAGGCGGGCAGATTACCTGAGGTCAGAGGTTCAAGACCAGCCTGACCAACATGGCGAAACCCTGTCTCTACTAAAAATACAAAAATTAGCCGGGCACGGTGACGAATGCCTGTAATCCCAGCTACAAGGGAGGCTGAGATAGGAGAATTGCTTGAACATGGGAGCCGGAGGTTGCAGTGAGCCGAGATTGCGCCATTGCACTCTAGCCCAGGCAACAGTGTGAGACTCCGTCTCAAAAAACAAATGAAGAGACAAACAAACAAAAATTAGCTGGATACGGTTCCAGCTACTCAGGAGGCTGAGGCTAAGGCAGGAGAATTGCTTGAACCAGGGAGCCGGAAGTTGCATTGAGCCGAGATTGTGCCACTGCTCTCCAGCCTGGGTGACAGAGCAAGACTCCATCTTAAAAAAAAAAAAAAAAAAAAACAAATAAAAACTTATTTCCTTTTATGCTTTATGCCATTTTATATTGGCAAGTATATGCTACAGTGGTTTAACAGAATTTTAGATTTCAAGAAAGCTCCACAGCATCAGAGTCATGCTGCTTTATTATTCCTATTTTCCAGATGAGGAAACAGAGGTTAGAGAGAAGTAGAGTAGAGGGTGTTGGTGGCATGACTCACAAGTGGAGGCAAGAAGCTTGTCTGCCTTGGCAGTGTATGCCCATTCTATACTGCTGCTGTGACTGTTAAGTGTAAGCCCATGGAGATGGGCTATAAACAATCTTTCCAAAGGCCTCTTTATAATGTCTTGTTTTTTGGTAAATTGTGGTAAATATATATATTACCATTTTGACCATTTTTAAGTCTACAGTTCTGTGGCATTAAGTACATTCACATTGTTATGCAACCATCACCATCATTCACTAAGAAAATAACTATGTATATTAAGACAAGCAGGGTTGATCTGGGGATTTTAGTGGCTGAAATTAAATTCAATCCTTTTAAGACACTGGCATCCTAAAATTCAAGATTCAAATTCCTGGGACAGGAAGTGTATTTGTTTTAGTGTGGCTTGTGCCCACTATTGTGGTCAGGAGAGTGGGGTTTCAAGATTGGCAGACCACTAGAATTGCATGGGAGGGACAGTGGGAGGCAGACATTTTCCAAAGGAGTGAACTTGGGGCAGGAAAAAAATACTTGATGACCACTAAATGTGGTTACCATTTAGTGGTCATAATATATTTGTTAACTAGAATTTTGTTTAATCAAAATGGTTTATATAATGTGATCATGCCAGATAATAATATACAAAAAATTTGTACTATATTATAGACACAACTGTGTTTGTGGATGGGGCAATGTGAACTAATATTAACTGAGCATGGAATTAGGGCATCAGATGGTGTGTCATATTCCAGAATAAGCTGTGAAATACTGAAATAGAAGATTGGTTTCCCTAGGAAGTTTGAAACTGCAAACTATTTTCATTTCTTAAGTGCTATATTGATTCTAGTTACAAAATAAATGCTACATGAGCTTCATGTCAACCTATAAAAGTTGTAATGGCTTAAAAAATTACAAGCGTAGTTAAAAGATAAATGATAGATTGGGGAAAGTGCTTCCATACATAACAACATATTAAAGAGTTACTATCCATAATATGCAAAAAATTCCTGCAGGTTGAAAAGAAAAAGACCAGTAGCTCAAAAGAAAAATGAGCTAAGTATACGAATAAGCAATTTACAGAACAAAAAGTCCTTAGAGGGAAAAAGACTTCAGTAGTAGTCAGTGAAATACAAATTAAAGGAACAACAAACTATCACTATTCACTTATCAGAATGGCTAAAATTATGCAGAGCACATTGTTACAGCCTTTTATTTTATTAATTAATTTATTTATTTATGTATTTATTTTTATTTTATGTATTTTTTTTTTTTTTGAGACAGAGTCTCACTCTGTTGTCCAGGCTGGAGTGCAGTGGCACAATCTCGGTTCACTGCAACCTCTGCCTCCCAAGTTCAAGTGATTCTCTTGGCTCAGCCTCCTGAGCAGCTGAGATTACAGGTTCCTGCCACCACACCCGGGTAATTTTTTTAAATTTTTAGTAGAGACGGGGTTTCACCATGTAGGACAGGTTGGTCTTGAACTCCAGACCTCAGATGATCAACCCGCCTCGGCCTTCCAAAGTGTTGGGATTACAGGCAGGAGCCACTGTGCCTGGCCTGTTACAGCTTTTTAGATGACAATCTATTAACATTTTAAGTAGTCCAGTCTCATATCTGGTCATCAATCCCTCAGAAATTAAAGTACCAGGGAATTTGGATATACATGTAAGAACGATTATTGAAACATTGATGGCAATAGCTATTTTTTTAAAAAAGGAAGTTGAATGTCATAGCTAGGGGATCTCTTGAATAAATTTTGGTACATCCACAGCATGGAACATTGCATGAGGTCTAAAATAAAAGAATGAATTAGAACTTATACCAGTTGAATTGGAAGAATTGTTGTGACTTTCTTTAATTAGAAAAGCAAGAAGCAGAGAAGTGTATATACCATGATAATCCATTTTGTAAAATAAACAAGAACAAAAAACTGATATAGATATATTAGCATGGAAAAATTAAGAAAAGCTATACATTGCTTAACTTGTTAAATAGCTGGGAGTAGGGGAAAGCAGTGAGGGGGAGAGTCAGGTAAGAAAAGACTAGAAAAGAGGGTGTCCAAAAGAAAACCAAGCATGCACAAAATGATTCCATTTGTGCATATATGCATGGATGTGTGCATAAAGAGATGCATGAAAATATGTTTGCTGAAACATTACCCGTGATTAATGCAGGAGGTGGAGGTTTATTCCCTTTCTTATATGTCTATGTATTTGAATTTTTACAATAAGTACATGGTTTATATACAATCAAAGCATGTTATTTATTTGTTTTATTTTGTTGTTGTTTTGTTTTTTGAGGTGGAGTCTTGCTCTTTTGCCAGGCTGGAGTGCAGTGGTGCGATCTCGGCTCACTGCAACCTCCACCTCCCAGGTTCAAGCGATCCTCCTGCCTCAGCCTCCCAAGTAGCTGGGACTACAGGTGCGTGCCACCACACCCAGCTAATTTTTGTATTTTTAGTAGAAACGGGGTTTCACCGTGTTGGCCAGAATGGTCTTGATCTCTTGATCTCGTGATCTGCCTGCCTCGGCCTCCCAAAGTGCTGGGATTACAGGCTTGTGCCACTGCGCCCAGCTGGATGTTATTTATTTTTAAAGGTATGTGTGGCCAATTGCCTTGGGGGTTGATGATAAAACAGAAACACACCCTGCCTTGCAGACCCTGTGGGGAGATAGGAGGACACAGCCAGCTGTAACATATATCTGTAGTTAGTGAGGGCTAGAACTGAGGCGCAGTGCTGGGAAGGAAACATGAATTGATACCACAGATCTGACTGCAAAGATCTGGAAGAACATCATTATAGGAGAAGGTACTGGAGCCGGATCTTGGAGGCTTGGGAGCAATTCAACGGGTAAAGATGGAAATAAAGAGAAATCCAGGACAGGGTGAGCAAAATCATCAGAGGCGTTAAAAACACAGGGTATATACAAAGATTGGGAATTGGCCCCGCTTGGTACAAGTGGAACACAGGTGTTGAGTGGATAGAAGATTGGAAAGGTAAGCTGATTCCCAATTGTAAAAGGTTTTCTTTTTTTAAAATTTTAAGTTATTTTTTGAATTTTTATTTTAGTTTTGGGGGTACATGTGAAGGTTTGTTACATAGATAAACTTGTCATGGGGATCTGTTGTACATCACCCAGGTATTAAGCTCAGTACCCAATAGTTATCATTTCTGCTCCTCTCCCTCCTCCCATCCGCCCTGTTGAAGTAAACTCCAGTGTTTGTTGTTTTCTTCTTTGTGTTCATAAATTCTTTTCATTTAGCCCCCACTTATAAATGAGAACATGTGCTATTTGGTTTTCTGTTCCTGTGTTAGTTTGCTAAGGATGATAGACCCCAGCTCCATCACGTTCCTGCAAAAGACATGATCTCCTTCTTTCTTATGGCTGCATAAGATTCCATAGTGTATATGTACTACATTTTCTTTATCCAGTCTGTCATTGATGGACACTTAGGTTCATTCTATGTCTTTGCTATTGTGAATAGTGCTGCAATGAACATTCGCATACATGTGTCTTTACGGTAGAATGCTTTATATTCCTCTGGGTATATACCCAGTAATGGGATTGCTGGGTTGAATGGTAGTCCTGCTTTTAGCTCTTTGAGGAATCTCCATACTCCTTTCCACAATGATTGAACTAATTTACATTCCCACCAATAGTGTAAAGTGTTCCTATTTCTCCACAGCCTCACCAGCATCTTTTTCTTGACTTTTTAATAATCGTGTGAGATGGTGTTTCATTGCAGTTTTGATTTGCATTTCTCTAATGATCAGTGATGTTGATCTTTTTTTCACGTTTTTTGGCCGCATAAATGTCTTCTTTTGAGAAGTGTCTGTTCATGTCCTTTGCCCACTTTTTAATGGAGTTG
This sequence comes from Homo sapiens, assembly GCF_000001405.40. Taxonomy (NCBI): domain Eukaryota; kingdom Metazoa; phylum Chordata; class Mammalia; order Primates; family Hominidae; genus Homo; species Homo sapiens. The sequence continues at coordinate 120,295,751 of NC_000003.12, read as the reverse complement.
CTTGTATTTTTCTTGTAAGTTTAAGTTCCATGGAGATGCTGGATATTAGACCTTTGTCAGATGGATAGATTGCAAAAATGTTCTCCCAGTCTGTAGGTTGTTCACTCTGATTATAGTTTCTTTTACTGTGCAGAAGCTCTTAAGTTTAATTAGATCCCACGTCAATTTTTGCTTTTGTTGCAGTTGCTTTGGTGTCTTTGTTATGGTATCTTTATCCATCCCTAGGTCCAGGATGATCCCTAGGTTTTCTTCCAGGACTTTTATAGTTTTGGGCTTTACATTTAAGTCTTTAATCCATCTTTTTAAAATTATTATTATACTTTAAGTTCTAGGGTACATGTGCATAACATGCAGGTTTGTTACATATGTATACATGTGCCATGTTGGTTTGCTGCACCCATTAACTCGTCATTTAATCCATCTTGAGTTGATTTTTGTATATGGTTTAAGGAAGGGGTCCAGCTTCAGTCTTCTACTTATGGCTAGTCAGTTATCCCAGCACCATTTATTAAATAGGGAGTCTTTTCCCCATTGTGGTTTTTGTCAGCTTTGTAAAAGATCAGATGGTCAGCTTTATTTCTGGGTTCTCTTTTCTGTCCATTGGTCTATGTGGCCGTTTTTGTACCAGTACCATGCTGTTTTGGTCACTGTAGCCTTGCAGTATAGTTTGAAGTTGGGTAGTATGATTCCTCCAGCTTTGCTCTTTTTGCTTAGGATTGCCTTGGCTATTTGGGCTCTCTTTTGGTTCCATATTAATTTTAAAATAAATTTTTCTAGTTATATGAAGAATGTCATTGGTAGTTTAATAGGGATAGCATTGAATCTATAAGTTGCTTTGGGCATTATAGCCATTTTAATGATACTGATTCTCCCTATGCCTGAGCATGGAATGTTTTTCTATTTGTTCATGTCATCTCTGATTTCTTTCAGCAGTGTTTTATAATTCTCATTGTAGAGATCTTTCACCTCTCTGGTTAGCCATATTCCTAGGTATTTTATTTTTGTGTGTGTGGCAATTGTGAATGGAACTGCCTTTCTGATTTGGTTCTCAGTTTGGTTGTTGATGGTGTATAGGAGTGCCAGTAATTTTTGTACATTGATTTTACATCCTGCAACTTTTCTGAAGCTGTTTATCAGCTGAAGGAGCTTTTGGGCCAAGACTATGGGGTTTTCTAGATATAGAATCATGTCATCTGCAGATAGTTTGACTTTCTCTCTTCCTATTTGGATGCCCTTTATTTCTTTTTCTTGCCTGATTGCCCTTGGCTAGGACTTCCAATATTATGTTGAACAGGAGTGGTGAGAGAGGGCATCCTTGTTTTATGCCACTTTTCAAAGGAAATGCTTCCAGCTTTTGCCCTTCAGTATGATGTTGGCTGTGGGTTTGTCACTGATGGCTGCATTTTGAGGTATGTTCCCTCAGTACCTAATTTGTTGAGAGTTTTTAACACAAAGGGATGTTGAATTTTTTTGAAAGCTTTTTCTGCATCTATTGAGATGATCATGAGGTTTTTGTCTTTAGTTCTGTTTATGAGATGAATCACATTTATGGATTTTCTTGTGTTGAACCAATGTCGCATGCTGGGGATGAAGCATATTTGGTCATGGTGGATTAGCTTTTTGATGTGCTGCTGGATTCAGTTTGCCAGTATTGTATTGAGGATTTTTGCATTAATGTTCATCAGGGATATTGGCCTCAGGTTTTCTTTTTTTGTTGTATCTCTGACAGATTTTGGTAGCAAGATGATGCCAGCCTCATAGAATGAGTTGGGGAGAAGCCCCTCCTCCTCACTTTTTTGGAATAGTTTCTGTAGGAATGGTTTCAAACTCTTTACCTCAAATGATCCACCTTTCCCGGCTTCCTAAAGTGCTGGGATTACAGGCATGAGCCATCAAGCTCTGCCTGACTTTTGTTATTTCTTGTTTTCTGCTAGATTTGGGGCTGATTTGTTCTTGCTTCTCTAATTCTGTCATGAATTTAAGTTGTTAATTTAGATATCTTTCTAACTTTTTGATGTGGGTGCTATGAATTTCCCTCTTAATACTGCCTTAGCTGTGTCCCAGAGGTTCTGGTATATTGTATCTTTGTTTTCATTATTTTCAAAAAACTTCCTGATTTCTGCCTTAATTTAATTATTTATTCAAAAGTCATTCAGGAGCATGTAGTTTAATTTTTATGGGATTGTATGGTTTTTAGCAGTTTTCATTGTGTTGACTTCTATTTTATTTTTCTTTGAGATGGAGTCTTGCTCTGTCGCCCAGGCTGGAGTGCAGTGGTGCAATCTCGGCTCACTGCAATCTCTGCCTCCTGGGTTCAAGCAATTTTCCTGCCTCAGCCTCCTGAGTAGCTGGGATTACAGGGTTGTGCTACCACGCCTGGCTAATTTTTGTATTTTTAGTAGAGACGAGGTTTCACTATGTTGGTCAGGCTGGTCTCAATCTCCTGACCTCATGATCTGCCTGCCTTGGCCTCCCGAAGTGCTGGGATTACAGGCATGAATCACCACACCCGACCGACTTCTACTTTTATTGTGCTGTGAACCTAGAGTATGTTTGATATGATTTCAGTTCTTTTACATATGTTGAGGATGTTTTATGTCCAATTATGTGGTCAATTTGAGAGTATGTGCCATGTGGCAATGAGAAGAATGTATGTTCTGTTGTTTTGGGGTGGAGACTTCTGTAAAGATCTATCAGATCCATTTGGTCCAATGCTGAGTTTAGGTCCTGAATATCTTTGTTAATTTTCTGCCTCAATGATCTAATACTGTCAGTGGGGTGTTGAAGTCTCCCACTATTACTGTGTGACAGTGTATCTCTTTGTAGGTCTTTACGAGCTTGCTTTATGAATCTGGGTGCTCCTGTGTTGGGTGCATATATATTTAGGATAGTTAGGTTTTCTTGTTGAATTGAACCCTTTACCATCATGGAATGCTCTTCCTTGTCTTTTTAAATCTCTGTTGGTTTGAAATTTGTTTTGTCTGAAATTAGGATTACAACCCCTGCTGATTTCTGTTTTCCATTTGTTTGGTAGATTTTTCTCCATCCGTTTATTATGAGCCCATGAGTGTCATTACATATGAGATGGATCTCTTGAAGACAGCAGACCATTGGGTTTTGCTTTCTTATCCAGCTTGCCACTCTGTGCATTTTTAAGTGGGGCATTTAAGTTTATATTCAAGGTTAGTATTGACATGTGTGGATTTGATCCTGTCATTGTGCTGTTAGCTGGTTACTATGTTGGCTTGTGTGTGTGGTTGCTTTACAGTGACCCTGGTCTGTGTAAGTGTGTTTTTGTATAAGCTGGTAGTGGTTTTTCCTTTCTATATTTAGTGCTCCTTTCAAGATCTCTTGTAATGCAAGTCTAGTGGTAATGAAGTCCCTCAACATTTGCTTAGCTAAAAAGGATCTTATTTCTCCTTCACTTAGGAAGCTTAGTTTGGCTGGATAGGAAATTCTTGATGGAAGTTTTTTCTTTAAGGATGTTAAATATCCCAGCCTGTCAAACATGCTGAAACCCCATCTCTACTAAAAATACAAAAATTAGCTGGGCATGGTGGCAGGTGTCTGTAATCCCAGCTATTTGGGAGGCTGAGGCAGGCACATCACTTGAATCTGGGAGGCAGAGGTTGCAGTGAGCTGGGATTGCGCCACTGCACTCCAGCCTGGGCGACACAGCGATACTCCATCTCAAAAAAAAAAAAATTGTTGAATATAGACCCCCTAATTTCTTCTGGCTTATAGGGCTTCAGCTGAAAGGCCCACTGTTAGCCTGATTGGGATCCCTTTGTAGATAAACTGCCCTTTCTCTCTAGCTGCCTTTAACATTCTTTCATTTCAACCTTGGAAAATCTGATGATTACGTGTCTTGAGGATGTTCTTCTTGTGTAGAATCTTGCAGAAGTTCTCTGTATTTCCTGAATTTGACTGTTGGCCTCTCTAGCAAAGGTTGGGCAAGTTTTCATGGACGATATCTTGAAACATATTTTCCAAGTTGTTTGCTTTCTCCTCCTCCCTTTCAAGTAGGCCAATGATTCATAGATTTGGACTCTACATAATCCCATACTTCTCAGAGGTTTTGTTCATTCCTTTTTATTCTTTTTTTCTTGATTTTTGTCTGACTGTCTTATTTCAGAGAACCAGTCTTCAAGTTCTGAGATTCTTTCCTCAGCTTGGTTTATTCTGCTGTTAATATTTGTAATTGCATTGTGAAATTCTTTGTTGTTGTTGTTTTTGTTTTGTTTTGAGATGGAGTCCTACTCTGTCACCCAGGCTGGAGTGCAATGGTGCAATATTGACTCACTGCAACCTCCACCTCCTGGATTCAAGCAATTCTCCTGCCTCAGCCTCCCATGCAGCTGGGATTACAGGTGTGCACCACCAAGCCCAGCTAAAGTTTTAGCTAATTTTTGTATTTTTAGTAGAGATAGGGTTTCACCATGTTGTCCAGGCTGGTATCGAACTCCTGACCTCAGGTGATCCACCCACCTCAGCCTCCCAAAGTGCTGGGATTACAGGCACGAACCACCACACCCAGCCTATTTTTTTTTTGTTTGTTTTTTTGTTTTGAGACGGAGTCTTTCTCTGTCACCCAGGCTGAAGTGCAATGGCTCACTGCAACCTCTACCTCCCGGGTTCAAGTGATTCTCCTGTCTCAGCATAGTAGCTAGGACTACAGGCACCTGCCACTGTGTCTGGAATTGGTGGGTTCTTGGTCTCACTGACTTCAAGAATGAAGCCGCAGACCCTCGCAGTGAGTGTTACAGTTCTTAAAGGCGGCATGTCTGGAGTTTGTTCCTTCTGATGTTCGGATGTGTTTGGAGTTTCTTCCTTCTGGTGGGTTCGTGGTCTCGCTGGCTCAGTAGTGAAGCTGCAGACCTTCGCGGTGAGTGTTACAGCTCTTAAGGTGGTGTGTCTGGAGTTGTTTGTTCCTCCCGGTGGGTTCGTGGTCTCGATGGCTTCAGGAGTGAAGCTGGAGACCTTCGCCGTGAATGTTACAGCTCATAAAGGCAGTGTGGACCCAAAGAGTGAGCACCAGCAAGATTTATTGCAATGAGCGAAAGAACAAAGCTTCCACAGTGCGGAAGGGGACGCGAGTGGATTGCCACTGCTGGCTCGGGCAGCCTGCTTTTATTCCCTTATCTGGCCCCACCCACATCCTGCTGATTGGTCCATTTTACAGAGAGCCAATTGGTCCATTTTACAGACAGCTGATTGGTCCGTTTTGACAGGGTGCTGATTGGTGCGTTTACAATCCCTGAGCTAGACACAAAAGTTCTCCATGTCCCCACTAGGTCAGCTAGATACAGAGTGTTGATTGGTGTATTTACAAACGCTGAGCTAGACACAGAGTGCTGATTGGTGCATTTACAAACCTTGAGCTAGATACAGAATGCCGACTGGTGCATTCACAATCCCTTAGCTAGACATAAAGATTCTCCAAGTCCCCACCAGATTAGCTAGATACAGAGTGCCGACTGGTGCATTCACAAAGCTTGAGCTAGACACAGGGTGCTGATTGGTGTGTTTACAAACCTTGAGCTAGATACAGAGTGCTGATTGGTGTATTTACAATCCCTTAGCTAGACATAAAGATGCTCCAAGACCCCACCAGACTCAGGAGCCCAGCTGGCTTCACCCAGTGGATCCCACACTGGGGCCACAGGTGGAGCTGCCTGCCAGTCCTGTGCTGTGTGCCCGCACTCCTCAGCCCTTGGGCGGTCAATGGGACTGGGTGTCGTGGAGCAGGGGGTGGCGCTCACTGAGCAGCCCACGGCAGGGGTGGGCGGGGGGAAGGCTCAGGCATGGCAGGCTGCAGGTCCTGAGCCCTGCCCTGCGGTGGGGCAGCTAAGGCCTGGTGAGAAATTGAGCACAGCAGCTGCTGGCTCAGGTGCTGAGCCCCTCACTGCCTGGGGCCAGTGGGGCCGGCCGGCTGGCTGCTCCGAGTGCGGGGCTGCAGAGCCCACGCCCACCTGGAACTTGCGCTGGCACGCAAGTGCCATGGGGGCCAGCCCCAGTTCCCGCCTGTGCCTCTCCCTCCACACCTCCCCGCAAGCTGAGGGAGCTGGCTCTGGCCTTGGCCAGTCCAGAAAGGGGCTCCCACAGTGCAGCGGCAGGCTGAAGGGCTCCTCAAGCACAGCCAGAGTGGGAACCAAGGCCGAGGAGGCTCCGAGAGCGAGCGAGGGCTGTGAGGGTTGCCAGCATGCTGTCACCTCTCACCACCACACCTGGTTAATTTTTGTATTTTTAGTAGGGATGGGGTTTCACCATATTAGCCAGTCTGGTCTCGAACTCCTGACCTCAGGTGATCTGCCCACCTCAGCCTCCCAAAATGCTGGGATTACAGGCGTGAGCCACTGCACCTGGCCCACATTGTGAAATTCTTGTATTGTGTTATTCAGCTCTGTCAGACCAATTAGGTTCTTTTTCATACTGGCTATTTCATCCTTCAGCACCTGTATTACTTTATTGTAATTCTTATTTTCCTTGGATTGGGTTTTGCCATCTTCCTGAATCTTGATGATCTCTTTGTTCCTATCCATATTTTGCATTCTATTTCTGTTATTCCAGCCAGTTCAGCCTGGTTAAGAACTCTTGCTGGAGAACTGGTGTGATCGTTTGGAGGACGTATGATACTCTGGCCATTTGAGTAACCAGAGTTCTTGCATTGGTTCTTTCTCATCTCTGTGTGTGGGTGTTCATTTGACTGCAACGTAGATTGACTACAGTCAACAGACTTCTTTTTTGGATGTTTTCACTGTGCTGAGGCTTTCTATAGGGTCTTTATTTGAAGCTGACTTCTTGTCTCTGGTTTCAGAGGTGTGTATGTTAGTGAAATATTTTTCGTGTTGAAGCTTTGGGGTGTGATCCTGCAGGTGACACTTAGGCTTATTGGTCAATTGGTAGACTCCTGCTCCTGTATGTTTCTTCACAGTTGCAGCTGTGTTCCCTCTCAGTGCTCCGAAAGTGTGGGTTCCTCTCCCCCTTGAGTGCTGGCTGTAGTTCACGACTTAGCACCCCTGGACTGCCCACTGCAGCTCTGGAGTGATCTGTGTTTATGTTCCTTCCCCAGCTTAGAAGTAGCAGAGGCTCATCTTAGTAGGTGCTGTGGCCGAGAGTCATTTGCTTGACTCCTGGGGGCTCTACCCCCAGAAAAATGCAGGTTACCAATTGCTCAGTGCAATCAGCCCAAGAAGGAGGGTTCGTGCTTTGGACCCAAGCCAGGGGTTGCCTGTCCAGTGAGCAGTGTGGAACACATGGGAGATGGACTGGTCTCCTTTCCTTGGGTCTACTGCAGCTTGTTGGTATGGAAAAGGCACTTAGGGTCTTTGCTCCTTCTTTAGTCCAAGGGTGGCAAGGGGAGTTCCACAGCAGAGGCAGTGGCTAAGACCCTTTCAATTGCCCCTGGAGGCACTGTCCTGGAAGTCGCTGAGTTGGTATTGGCTGGATAGCTCTGGTGGGGAGTGGCTGGAGGCCGAGGCCTGGAGGACCTGCCAGTGAGGAGATATGGGAATAGGCACCCATGAAACAGTCTGGCCACTTTTCTACAGGGCTGCTCTGGTATGCTTAGGGCCTGCTCCAGTCCCTAGTCACCTCAGATTTTCCAGAACTTGGAGGTGTCACCAGTGAAGGTTATGATACAGCAAATATGGCAGCCTGTCCCTCCCCCTGGGAGCTTTGTCCCAGGGAGGTATGGACCTGTTGCTGGCCCAAAGGCACCTGTAGGAAGTGGCTGAAGACCCTGGTTGGGAGGTCCCACCTAATGAAGAGGAACAGGATGGGGCACACTTAAAAAAGCAGTCTGGCCACATTTCTGTATAGCAGCTGTGCTGTGCTGGGGGTCCACTTCAGCTCCTGGTCACCTCAGACACTCTACAACCCAAAGGCTGGAAGAGCTAAGTCAGCCAAACAGCAAAGATGGCAGCCCATCCCTCCCTCTAAGAGTGCCATCCCAGGGGGAATTCAGATCTCTGTCACAGCTGAAGAGCTCAGGCAGGGTGGCTGGAGGCCCTGGTTGGGAGGTCACACCCAGTGAGTAGGAATGGGATTGGGCACCCACTTAAAGCAGCAGTCTGGCCACATTTTGGTAGAGCAGCTGTGCTGTGCTGGGGCATCCTTACCGCCCCAGGTCGTCTCAGACTCTCCAAACCCTGAAGGCTGGAACAGCTAAAGCTCCTGAACAGCAAAGATGTTGGCCTACCCCTCCCCTGGGAGCTCCTACTTAGGCAGGTGCTATGTTGCTACTGGTAGCTGGGTGGAATTCCAAGCCAGTGGGTCCTGTCTTGTGTGAGGTGTTGTGGAAGTGGGCCCTGCGGGCTGTTGCTGCTCAGCCCTCTGGATTCAGCCTCTTTCTTAGGGGTATGAATGGGAGTCTAAACTCCCTCTTTGTGGGAGATGCAGCTACTTTTGCCAGAACGCCCAAGTATCTAAGCCTCCAGGGTCTCCACGCATGCCTGAGTGGCTGCTTTGCTGAGACTCCATGTAGCCCTGTCTGCCAGACTGAAGACTGAAGGCCCTGCTGCTAGTGGAGTGGATTCACAAGGAGATCTCCTGACAGGAGGGTTGCAAAGATCTGTGGGAGAAGCATGGTTTCCGGGGTCGCTCATTCACTTACCACTTCCCTGGGCAGGGGAAGATCCCCTGGTTCCCTGTTGCTCCCAGGTGGGCTGTTGTCCTGTCTTGCTTTTCCTTGTTCTCTGTGGGTCAGGTTGTTTCCTTGATTAATCCCAATGCGAGTACCCGGATGTTTCAGTTGAAGGTGTTGTATCTACTCGTCCCTTCTGTTCCTCTCCGTGAGAGCCATGTACATTACCTGCTTCTGGTCAGCCATCTTGGCCACTCCCCATCCTTATGAAAGTTTACACTGTATTACAATTGCACAGGAAAGTTACTGCAGGTTTGGGAGTGGGACAGAGGATAGAGGATGTTGGCTTGTTTTGTCAAGAGAGTGACATTCTTAAGTCTATGTTGGTGGTGGGGACAGATAGGAGGCAAGAAAATCAGTTAGGAAATTATTGAAACAATTCAGCCCCAGATAATCGAAGCTTATCAAGAGCAGCAGTGTGAGAATGCAGAGAAGTGGACAGTTGCCAGAAACATCTCAGAGGTAAACATGGCAGGCCTGGAAGATGAAAACCTTCAGTGCCTGGCAACTGAGGGGTTGGAAATACTCCAATCTCAGAAAAGAGAATACTGGGATTGGAGGTGGGGGCCAAGCTGGGAGAAAGATTTCAATGTCTTGCAGAATATAGAGAGGGGTTGATGAGAATAACAGCCGAAGAGCCCAGGGGAATTCCCAGGTTAAAAAAAAAAAGCCCCACAGAGATCAGAAGGGCAAATCCTCAATCTAGAGCCACAGAAGTGAAGATTTGGCTCTAGACTCTGAAGTCAGCTCTCCTACGGAAAAAAGATGGACCCAGGCCTTTTTAACTCAGGCAGCCCCCATGGAGGAGAGAGATGGTCCTCCTCAGTTTCTGCACGTTCCAAATGAAAGGGTCCTTCTGTGTAGAATGAGAGATCTGGAGAGTCCTGGGTAAAATCTCAGACATAATTCTTTCTTCTGAGAAACCAGCTTTTTGCTTACTGCCTTGAGGAAAACCTTGTCTATCTTTCTTTCTTCCTCTTGTTTTCCCCCTCAGTAGAATCCTGTGAAAAGAAGTCTTTGGGTATCACAATGTGTAAAACAGTTAAGAATGTAGCCACTGTCTTGTCACAGTGGGGTCTGCGGACCTGGCCTCTCTCTTCCCGTCCTCTACAACCAAAGATTTCCTCTGCGCAGTTGTAAAAATGTGGAATGTCCTAATGCACATAAATAGGTCTGAGATTTTAAAATAAATGAAACAAATATAATATGGAAAGTCTAAGTGGATTCCCAAGACCATTTCCAGGTCTCCCCTCTATGTTTCTCCTTGAGGGTGTCTTAAACACAACATCTCACACATATTTTTAAGCGGAAGACAGTGGGCTGGGTGCGAACATCTTGTTTGTGGCCTCCTGTAAGCATTCTTGGAAAAAGAAACGTACTTGTCTTTCTGATTATAAAATAAGCAAAAGCTCAACGTAAAGAATTTGGCAACTCCAGAGAGTATAAAATAAGAAAACTAATTGGTAACTCCGACGCCACTCCAGAAATAAAAATGAGCATTCGCGGAGAATCCTTCCAGTCTCCTTACCGAGGCCGGCTAGGGACCTGAATCTGAAGCTCCTCGCCCCGGGGCCAGCTCCTGCGGCAGCCGCTGGCTCGAGGCCCGGGAAGGGGCGCTGAGGGGAAGGCGCCCCCCAGGGAAGGTCTCTGAGGAGACGGCCGGAGGCGGGGCCGCCCCAGGGGACTCGGCGGCGACGCAAGGAGAAAGATCCGAGGAGCTGGAGGAGCCGTGAGGCGCGTGGAGTCTGCAAGGTCCCGGAGCCCTCCCGGCCCTCGCGGGAGAGCAGGGTCGAGGCGCGCCACGCGGGCGGCGCCAGGGAGGGGCGGGCAGGCGTGGCTCAGCCAGTGCCCCGGCCAGAGGCGCCCGGCGCCCCGCGCACACCTCAGAGGCCTGCGCCGCCGTCCCGCCGCCTCCACGCCAGGCTCCCGGCGCGGCGATGGGCGCGGGCCCCTGTCTCTGCCCCGGCCCGCCCCTTCCCGCCCCTTCCAGCCCCGCGAACGCGCGAGACGCCGGGGGACCGTGGGCGTCCTGCACATAGCAGCGGGCTTGGCGCTTCTCGGCGGTCCGACGCTGATGAGGTGAGCACAGCGACCTTAAGGATCCACAAAACTTCAAACACTTAATTATTAAGTGAAAGTGGAAAGGGGGAGGGGCTTTCTCTCCCTTTCCAGAATCTGGGCAGTTTGTTTGGAACCGGTAAAGAAACTCTCATAGGAACTTGAGGTGAGCAGGGGTCACGCATCAGGGATGCGAGTGGCAATTTCAGTGGAAGAGACGGGAGAGTACTGTAATTTGGTGTGAAGATGGGGCCGTGGGTTTTCTGCTGAATAAGCGACCGGCTGTGCTGAAAATGAGAGATCCCGAAACAGTTTCCCACCGCCTGTAGACTTTCCAGAGTCTCCTCACGCCGAATCTGCTTTGCAGGGCATGTTCACCCCCAGGGTGTAGAGTGGCGGGCACGATGGGCTCCCCCATGGAGATTGCAAAGTCCTGAAAAGGGACAATTGTATTGCACTGCGTCTGTTGAACTGCCTTGCTTCTGGGCATGAGGGAGTCACCTGGAAGCTGCAACATCCTTGTACCCTGGCAAGCAGCCCTTTCCAAGTTAGCTCTGTCAGAAACTAGAGGCCTCTAGGTAGAACTCAAGGTATCCATGTACTCGTGAAGAATACAAACCTTGAGGTTTTTAAAATCGAATTTTGTTAAGATTTCAGGATAGAAATCTGGGAAGAGAAGTCATGGCATGGCATAACTTACCCCTTTGTTAGTTTTCTAGGTACATGCATGCTTGAATTAGAGGTAAATGATGCCCTAGCCTATCATAAAATGTCTTTCCTGGTGTAGTTCTTTAAACCAGAATATGGAGGATAACATTACATTTTTGCATCCTAGATAAAAGGGAAAGATTTTCAGATGGGGCTTACACAGCGGGAGAAATTGTTGATATAGTTGTATTAGGCAGCAAGGCCTGCAAAGAAAAACTTCTTTTTCTCCACCAGTGGCTGAATTCTGCACAGAATGTCTCCTCGCAGTCTGGGTAGCAGCCCGGCTTGCAAAAACAGTGCTTCTTTCATTGCTGCAGGTGGGGCAAATGCGCTTGCGGATAAATGGCTGGGGAAGCGTTTGCTTACAGGTTAAGGCAATTTGAGTCTGGAGAATAAAGTGCTTTAGCAGGCTGTGCTTGAGTTAGGTGTCCCTTGTGAGGAATAGAGGTGGCTTTCTGGTCCCCATTTTGCCAGCCTAATTCCCCTTCAGGGACACTACTGTCTCTGGAATGTTCCCTCTGTTTCCCCTTCTCTTCCACCCCCAGCTTTTAGCTTCTCCCCATTCCCCAGTAAAGTCTAGAATTGAGCCTGGTCAGAGTCAAAGTTCTGATAGCCTAGGGATATAGAACTTCAAGCCTGGTGAAGGCAGAAATGAGACCTAGGAGAGACCCAAGATGGGTGAGATGAAACAACTTTCAGCCTAGAAGGCTCTCAAAAGAGTGGAAAAATAATGATTGAGGGAAACAGATTCTCTGGAAAGGAGAATAGGTGCTTAAGTGTTTGTTTTCAGCTGAGGGTTTTAATATTTCCATTTTTGTTGTTTAACCATAAGGGAATTTCCATTATAGGGTAGGAGGAGGATGAGGCCTTCTCTGAAAACTGCATCCTTCTCCTTGAATTTGCATTTTATTCCATTCTTATGTAGGTTTCAGAGATTAATTGGGGGAAGGGGGAGAGAGGAAAGAAGCCAGAGGCTCTGACATGCTGCAGAAACAGTGCAACGTGGACTGACTTGGGCTGCAAAGGTGGATTTGGGGGTTGAAAGAAATGTTCTACATTTAGTTGAAAAAAAAAAATCAGAGCCTTTATTTTGCAAAGGTCTTGAGAATCAGAACATTCATGTTTAGTTGCTGATGAATTTTGCCTGATAAAGGATGCAAATCACTATCTCACCTTTTTTTCTCCAGTACTTTATTATGAAAAATTTTAGACATACAGAGATGTTTTCTACCTCTCATTTTATAAACTTATTATCTTAAAACAAACTTGTTAATAAAAATCAGTGTTTAGAATCCAGACATATGTGATCTGGTCCTGGACAGAGCTTGAATCAGAAGGTGTTTCAAATATAGATGTGTGAAGGATATTAACATTTTAAGAAAAAAATATGGATCTTATTCTTCTGACTTTCCCATAAGAATCTTGAGCAGACCCCTTAACTGCCTTCTTTTTCCCATTCTTAAAATGTCAGTCAGTTGGATGATATTACTCTCCTGCTTAACACCCTCCAATGGCTTCCCCTCACACTGTGAATAACATTCAACTCTCCACCAGGGCTTGTGATTTGGTCTGGTGCCCTCATATTCTATGGCCGTCCTCTTGCTTACCATCGTCCTTGCTCTTCCCTCTGCCTGAACACTCTTCCTTCAGACACTGCCACTGCTTCTTTTCTCAGCTCATTCCAGTTTCTTTTCATACTCTCCAGAATGATGGCCACCTGATCTAAAACAGCCTGTGGTCACTCCCTGTCTTCTGACCCTGCTTTATCCTTCTTCATGGCACTTAGCACTCCCTGACACTATATAGTATATGTGTTTCCTTGTTAATTGGGCATGTTCCCCACTCTAATGTAAACTCCATCAAGACAAGGAATTTTTTTGTCTTATTTATGGCTGTGTTCCTATTTGGTATATTATGAGCAATTAATAAATAACTGTTGGATTAATTAGGTAACTAAATTACACAAATAAGGCATTGACTCCCATAAGGGTGGCAGAACCCTTGGTAAAATACTAGAAGTCCTTTGAGGTAATTCATAATTCAAGTTAATCAATATTTGATAGGTAAATGATGACCCTGGAGATCAGTGGCCTCTTTTATCCTCACAGCACTTCTCAGCTGAATCCTATGCTAATAGCTGGCCAGTTTTGACAAACCCACATCCCAAACAAGACATAAAATATTTCAGTCACAGAACTTTTCCTCACGTCTCTTTCTAGTCACCTCCACCCCACAGAAGCAGCAAACCTTGTTCTGATTTCTAATATCATAGATTAGTGTTGCTGGTTCCTGAATTTCATATAACTGCAGTTACACAGTATGCACTCTTGTGTTTGGCTTCTTTTTGCCCTACACAATGTCTGTGATATTCATCTGTGCCATTGTGTGTATCAGTAGTTCATTTCTTTTTTTTCCAAGGTAGTATTTATTGTATGAATATTGACCATGTGTTTATCTGTTCTCTTGTTGATAGATACTTGGTTGTTGCCAGTTTGTGGCAATTTTGAACAAAGCTGCTGTGAACCTATAAAGGGTCTGCCTCATCTTGAGTCTTCTCTACTTTATATGAAAATCTTCCTTGTGCCACCAATGCAGAGAGAAGTATGGCAAGGTTATGGGGGCTGTGACTGATGTAGCAGCTTGCATGTACCCCAGCCAGTGCTCTCTCTAGACAGCTCTGCTGGGAGCTGACCTGCTTCCCACTTTAGAGGGAAAGCACTTGGAAAATGAGTGTCTAACAAATTAGCGAGCCCTCCAGTGCACTCTTAAGTGCTTTAAATCCTTGAAAGAGACACTGTGGAATGCCTGCTGCCATCACTGTTGTATTTCCCTCCTCCTCTCAGCTTCCCCATCCCAGCACAAGTTGACTCTAATCAGCTTCTGAGCATTATGCTACTGAGGGGTTTAAACATTCATGAGCAAGAGTCTTGTTCAGAGCCTGATAAAATATTCATGTGTTTCCATGGGGCATTGGTTTCCATCTAGACTTCTCAAGGCATTTTTCTGAGATGCATGTCGTAATTGTGAAGAACTCAGACAGTGATGGATGATACGGCCCTGTGTTATTAAACCCTACCACACAGAGCACCTTGCTTTCTAGGGATGGAGAAGAATGAGCACACAGAAAAATTGACATTAATCCTGTCTAGATCAAGAGAAAGGCTACATGTACTGATAAAAATGGCTTGAGTAAAGAGGGGCCTGTTAATATAGTACCAACAAAGGTATGAATCCATAGAGGAGAGTGAAAAGAACTTGTTAAAATGAGAGGAATGCTGGGATGCAGTCATTCCAAGTGGAAGAATGGGGGAATCAGCATTGTAAAATGCACAGTTCCTTTGACACTCATGTGGACGAGGTTCATATGAGACAACTGTGCTGAGTGCTGTAATTATCACAACCTGCTATGAGAGGATGAGAGTAGAAGTGGAGGCTAGGCAGGGTTTCCAAGTAGAGCCAGAGAGCTATTCCAAGAGGAGTCAACATTTCTCTTCAAGGAAGAAGTGGCTTTGAGTCAGGTTCTGAAGGAGGTGTGCCTCTTTGACTGGCAGCTGCGGTGTGGAAGGGACTTTCCAGAGAGACAGAATAGCATGATAGAGTGAGGGCCAAAGTGCCGGTGTGGTGTGAGTAAGGAGAGAAGGTGGGTGGATGGGGGTCAGGGCAGGGTTGCAGCAAGACATAAAGCAGGAGAGCTAAAGGCCAGCTTATGAAGGCCACAGGAGGATGGACTTCAGTCTGTTTGCTGGAGGGCCGTGTAACTTTTGGCCAGAGATTGGGTTACATTTTGAGGAGTTCTTGGGAAGTATATCCACCCTAGGCAAGGCCTTGAGGTATGTTTATGTCCAAGGCATTTCCAGAATATTCTGCTGTGTCCAGAACACTATGAAGACTCTACGTGGTCTACTCTAAGAGAGGTAAACCAGAGGAGGTCAGATATACTCAGTATACTCCTGGGACTGACCAGAAACAGGCCTCACCAGGCACCTCTCTGCCCCCAGCACACAAACACTCAGAATATTCTGAGTCAGATTGAATCCACAGCATTCCCTAGACTTCTTCATGACCACTTTGCCTCAGCTGGGGGAGTTGCAATGATCTAAGTATCCCCTTATCACCTGAATCTGGGCCAGGATACCTCAGACATGGGTTGCCAGGCAACTGAGGGCTAAGTGATGCAGCTGGCCAATCATCCCCACAAAGCCCAGGTCTGCTTTGACCAGGCCATCGGGCTGTGACCAGAGAGGCAACTTGGGGGGTTGAGGTCATGCAGACTGATGACTTGTGGACACAACTGCCAGGCCCCTTCCATATGTCTTCTTCCTTTGGGTTGCAGATTTCTATTCAAAAATGCCTCAGGATGTTGATTTTTTAACCCATAATAAAAATAGTGAAGTAGGGAGGAGTGTTAAACATGTCAGTCATCTATACCTTATGTTGTCATTGGGAAGAAATAACTGTGGAAACAATTGTCCCGGGAAAGTCAGTCTTCAGTCTTGCAGTGAGGAGCTTTGCATATGTGGAGATTAGCTAGAAAGCTCTGGAGTTCTGATGGTGAGAAGGGATTTCTTGGGTCAAGGATAGGAAAGGGCAAGGGAGGACCTTCATGATTCTCCCCAGGGCTTTGCTGGTTGGAATTGCTCTTCTGCTGCCATGGGTAGCATGGGGTTTCAGTGACTGAAAACACCCAGGAAAGTATGCTCTGGGTCTTCATGTTGCCATCTGCCTACACTGGAATGTCAGACCATCAGTCAGCACTGCCAGCTCTCCATCTTGATTTTCTAAGAGTTATTGAGAAAACCTTGAAAGGGAAGGCAGAAGTGGGTGTCTTAACTAGGGAAATGCCAAGGTCCTAAAGGTGTGGTCTAGGTTGAAGGTGTGGTAAGGGCCTGAAGTCATTGGTCTGGCAGTACTTCAGACCAATAAAGTCTTTCTTGGCTCTTATCTAAAATATTCCTGATTTTCTGTGTGAGGTGGAATCTCTCAAGTGCTGCATTAATCAGTCTTTTGGCTGAACAGGTAAATAGGGTGCATGCTTAATTGAGTGCCTTTTCTTTTTTTAAAGTTTCAGCTTTTATTTTACATTAAGAGGATACATGTGTAGGATTGTTCATGGGTAAATTGGACCCAGGCATAAGCACAGTACCCAATAGGTAGTTTTTCAACCCATGCCCCCTCCCTCCCTTCCCCCTGTAGTAGTCTGCAGTATCTATCTTTCCTGCGTTTATGTCCATGTGTGCTCAGTGTTTAGCTCCCACTTATAAGTGAGAACATGTGGTATTTTGTTTTCTGTTCCTGCATTAATTCACTTAGGATAGGCCTCCAACTGCATCCACGTTGCTGCAAAGGACATGATTTCATTATTTTTTATCCTATGGTGTTTATGTAGCACATTTTCTTCATCCAGTACACTGTTGATGAGTGCCTAGGTTGATTCCACATCTTTGCTATTGTGAATAGTGCTGTGATGCACATATGCAAGCATGTGTATTTATGGTGGAATGATTTATATTTCTTTGAATATATACCCAGTAATGGGATTGCTGGGTCAAAGGTAGCTCTGTATTTAAGTTTTTTGAGAAATCTCCAAACTGCTTTCCACAGTGGTTGTACTAATTTACATTCCCACCAACAATGTATAAATGTTCCCTTTTCTTCACAGCCTTGCCAGCATCTGTTGTTTTTTGACTTTTTAATAATAGCTATTCTTACTGGTGTGAGATGGTATCTTATTGTGGTTTTATTTGCATTTCTCTGATGATTAGTGATGCTGAGCATGTTTTCATGTCTATTGGCCACACTTGTATGCCTTCTTTTAAGAAGTGTCTTTTCATGTCTTCTGCCCACTTTTTAATGGAGTTATTTGATTTTTGCCTGTTGATTTAAGTTTCTTATATATTCTGGATATTAGACCTTTGTCAGATGCATAGTTTGTGAATATTTTCTCCCATGCTGTAGGTTGTTTACTCTTTTGATGGTTTCTCTTGCTGTGCAGAAGATCTTTAGTTTAATTAGGTCCCACTTGTCAATTTTTGTTTTTGTTGCAGTTCTTTCTGGGGACTTGGCCATAAATTCTTTGCCAAGGCCAATGTTGATAAGGGTATTTCCTAGGTTTTCTTCTATGATTTTTATAGTTTGAGGTCTTATGTTAAATCTTTAATCCATTTTTAGTTAGTTTTTGTATATGGTGAAAGGTAAGGGTCTAGTTTCATTCTTCTGCATATGGCTACCAGTTATCCCAGCACCATTTATTGAATAGGGAGTCCTTTCTCCATTGCTTGTTTTTTGTCAGCCATGTTGAAGATCAGATGGTTGTAAGCGTGCAGCCTTATTTCTGAATTTTCTATTATGTTCCATTAGTCTATGTGTCTCTTTTTGTACCAGTACCACCCTGTTTTGGCTACTCTAGCAAATTCTTTGGAATTAAGGAAAATAGGGACACAATTTATGAAGACCTCTGGGATGTAGCCAAAGCAATGTTAAGAGGAAAGTTTATAGCCGTAAATGCCTTCATCAAGAAGCTGGAAAGATCTCACATTAACAATGTAACTTTGCATTTAAAGGAACTATGAAAAAAGGACAAACCAACCCCAACTCTAGCAGAAGAAAAGAAATAACTAAAATTAAAGAAAAACTTAATGAAATTGAGATGCAACAATCCATATGAAAGATCAGTGAAACCAAGAATAGGCTATTTGAAAAAATAAATAAGATTGATAGACTGCTAGCTAGGTTAACAAAGCGGGAGGAGACAGTGAGAGAGAGAGAGAGGATCCAAATAAGTACAATAGAAATAACAAAGATGACATTACAACTGATCCTATAGAAATACAAAAGATCCTTGGAGAAAACTATGAACAGCTCTATGCACACAAATTAGAAAATCTAGAAGAAATCAATCAATTCCTGGAAACAATCTCTTGAGATTGAATCGGAGAGATTGAAGTCCTGAATAGACCAACATCAAACTCTGAAATTGCATCAGTAAAACAAACAAACAAACAAAAAAAACCCTTCCAACCATAAAAAGCCCTGGACCAGATAGATTCACAGCCACATTCTATGAGACATGCAAAGAAGAACTAGTACCAATCCTACTAAAACTTACAGAAAATAGAGGAGCAGGGACTCCTCCCCAATTCATCCCATGAAGCCAGCATCAGCCTAATACCCAAATCTGGCAGAGATATGATGAAGAGATATGATTTTTGTGTCTATGTTCAGACCAATATCCCTGATGAACATAGACACAAAAATCCTCAACAAAATACTAGCAAACCAAATTTAGCAGAACATCAAAAAGTTAATTCACCATGATCAAGCAGGCATTATTCCTGGGATGCATGGTTGGTTCAACATACACAAATCATAGTGAGTCACCATGTAAACAGAATTAAAAGCAAAAACCGTTATGATCATCTGTGTCATCTCAATAGACACAGAAAAAGCTTTTGATAAAATCTAACATCTCTTCATGATAAAAACTCTCAACAAACTAGGCATCGAAGGAACATACCTCAAAATAATAAGGGCCATCCCTGATAAACCTACAGCTAACATCATACTGAATGGGCAAAAGCTGGAACCATTCCCCTTGAGAACTGGAACAAGGCAAGAATGCCCACTCTCACCACTGCTATTCAAGGTAGTGCTAGAAGTCCCAGCCAGCACAGTCTGGCAATAGAAAGAAATAAAAGGCATCCAAATAAGAAAAGAAGAAGATGAACTATCTCCCTTTGCTGACGATATAATTCTATACTTAGAACACCCCAAAGACTGTTCCAAAAGGTTACTAGAATTGAAAAATGATTTTAGCAAGGTTTCAGGATACAAAATCAATGTACGAAAATCAGTAGCATTTCTAAACACCAATAACGTCCAGGCTGAGAGTCAAATCAAGAACATGATCCCATTTACGACAGCTGCAAAGAAAAGGAAATACCTAGGAATATAGCAAACCAAAAAGGTGAAAGAGCTCTGCAAGGAGAACTACAATACACTGCTGAAAAAAAGTTAGAAACAACACAAATAAATGAAAAAATATCCCATGCTCATGGATTAGAAGGATCAATATCATTAAAATGGTCATACTGCCCAAAGCAATGTATACATTCAATGCTATTCCTATCAAACTACTAACATCAGTCTTTACAGAATTAGAAAAAACTATTCTAAAACTCATATGGAACCCAAAAAGAGCCTGAATAGCCAAAGCAAGCCTGAGCAAAAAAAAAAAAACAAAGCCGGAGCATCACACTACCTGAGTGCCTTTTCTGAACAGATATTTCAATGATTCTGTGATTATTCATGAGCCAGTGATGGCTGCCTGCTTTTGGATGCTGCTAGGATAAATGCAGAAGATCAGAGTGAAGAGGGAGAGGGAAGCATAACAGCAGCAGAGAGGAAAAGGGAAGAGAGTAGTGACGTGCTGAAATCGCAGAGATTGTGGGTACCCAGTTATCTACAAGTGAGAAACAGGGATAAAAGAAGATCAAATAACTACCCATGGGAATTTTACATGCAAATATTGCTGACTTCCAAGGCAGCTGTGAGGAGAAAGGAAGGGAGGAGACACAAAGGCAGCTGTCACAGTCAATCCGAGGAATATTAATAAAAACTTGACACATGAAAACACATGGCCGTATCACAACAGCCTGGGTCCCAGCAAGGATGTCTATTCAAACCCCTCTTTCACATTTCCTTATATTCATTCACAGTATTAGGTATTTTGCAAGACATTCATTTGCACTTGCAAAGATACACAAATGCAGAGTACTTAAAAGGGTAAACTATCCTAAAATATTAGTGGTGAGATTATAAATGATTATTTGTATTTTTTCAACTTATCTATGTTTTCCATGATTGTTTTAAGAAGTGTGAATTTCTTTGATAATCAGAAAAACATTAAGGAGAAAGGGGGTTAAGTAGGGAGGTAGAGAAAGAGGCATGGGGTGGGGAGAGAGGATTGTAGAAAAGAAAAATATGTTGGAAGATGAATGAACAATTTTAAAACTTTATGTTTCACAGACTGCTAGCTTGTGCATATTTTTCTTTATTATTGAATATATATGTTTATCACCCTCAGAAGATCTGGAAGTACCAATTGGCATGAAACTGAATTGCAAATACTGAGCTAAGTATCACACCTCCAAGACCATTGCCTTGGCCAGTGCCATTCTGTGTGTGACATGTGGCTTCCAGTGATGCTCAAAGTATTTTCCGCCAAAGGCTAATAGAGAACACTTCAAACCTGGGCAGCAGCATCTCTCCCACAGGGTTTAATATTTATACTTGTAGCCACGTGGCTGGCTTTGTGCTTCTCATCTCTGAAGTATGGAACAGGAGCCAACAAAGGCTGTCAATAGTTGGAGTAGTGGGATTTTCCAAGACAAAAGCGTGAGTTATTCTCGTCCACGTGTTTGCTGGCTGCTCACTGGCTCAGGCAGCCCCTTGGCAAGCTCTGTGGCTGAGGCTTTAAATAAATAGATGTAGTTTTTGTTTCACAACCACTGACCTTTTCTGGAGGCACTGTTGATTCTGGGCTTTAATTGGCTTCTGTTGAGTGACACAAGGTGAACCCTCTCTTCAAGAGCAGAAGCTCCTATCTGCTGTTAACCACCAGCATCAATTCAAAGCAAATGCCAGAGGACCACATACCTCACTGAACTCTGGGGACTGGGGTTACTTGTAGTTATGTCTCAATAAATACTTTTTATATTTTAACTTTTGCATTTTTAAGTTGTAAAAGCTATACACACTCATGGTAACAAGTCTAGTAAGACAGCAGTATATAAAGAAAATATGGCCAGGCGCAGTGGCTCACCCCATAGTTCCAATACTTTGGGAGGCCGAGATGGGTGGATCACTTGAGGTCAGGAGTTCAAGACCAGCCTGGCCAACATGGTGAAACCCCATCTCTACTAAAAATTAGGCTGGGTGCGGTGGCTCACTCCTGTAATCCCATCACTTTGGGAGGCTGAGGCGGGTGGATCACAAGGTCAGGAGTTCAAGACCAGCCTGGCCAAGATGGTGAAACCCTGCCTCTACTAAAAATACAAAAATTAGCTGAGCGCAGTGGCAGGCACCTGTAATCCCAGCTACTTGGGAGGCTGAGGCCGGAGAATCACTTGAACCCGGGGGGCAGAGGTTCCAGTGAGCCGAGATCCTGCCACTGCACTCCAGCCTGGGCGACAGCATGAGACTCCGTCTCAAAAAAAAAAAAAAAAAAAAATTGGCCAGGTAAGGTGGCTCATGCCTGTAATCCTGGCACTTTGGGAGGCCGAGGTGGGTGGATCACCTGAGGTCAGGAGTTCGAGACCAGCCTGACCAACAAGGTGAAATCCCATCTCTACCAAAAATACAAAAATTAGCTGGACGTGGTGGCAGGCGCCTGTAGTCCCAGCTACTCGGGAGGCTGAGACAGGAGAATTGCTTGAACCAGGGAGGCAGAGGTTGCAGTGAGCCGAGATCGCACCACTGCACTACAACCTGAGCGATGGAGCGAGACTCTGTCTCAAAAAAAAAAATTAGTCAAGTGTGGTGGCGTGTGCCTGTAATCCCAGTTACTTGAGAGGGTGAGGCGGGAGAATAGCTCGAAATAGCTTGAACCCAGGAGGCAGAGGTTGCAGTGAGCCAAGATTGTGCCACTGCACTCCAGCTTGGGCTACCGAGGGAGACTCCATCTCAAAGAAAAAAAAAAAGAAAGAAAATATAAGTAATCTCCACCTTCTCTCACTCCCATCTTTCTGACAAAACCACTATTTAAAGCGCCCAGGCTGGGCGTGCGGGCTGACATCTGTAATCTGAGCACTTTAGGAGGCAGAGGCAGGAGGATAGCTTGGGTCCAGGAGTTCAAAACAGCCTGGACAACATAGTGAAACTCCGTCTCTATGAAAAAAAAAAAAAAATAGCCAAGTGGGTGGTATGTCATCCTAGCTACTTGAGAGGATGAAGTGGGAGGATCGCTTGAACCCAGGAGGTTGAGGCTGCAGTGAGCTGTGATCATGACATTGCACTCCAGCTTGAGTAACAGAGTGAGACCCTGTCTCAAAAAAAAAGTTTCATGTGTATTCACATGTCACGATCACAGCTCACTGCAGCCTCAACATCTCCAGCTCAAGGGATCCTTCCACCTCAGCCTGCCAAATAACTGGGACCACAGGCACATGCCACCACACCCGTCTAATTTTTAAACATTTTTGTAGAAACGAGGTCTCACTGTGTTGCCCAGGCTGATCTTGAATTCCTCGGCTCAAGTGATCCTCCCACCTCAGCCTCCCAAAGTGCTGGGATTATAGGCATGAGCCACTGCACTCAGCCCCTTCACTCCTTTTCTATGTTCAAACAAACATATGAGTGTGTAGACTTATTTTCTATTGTATGTGAAAATGGAATCATATATGTTATTATTTCTTTCATTTTATTTAGTACATATTATGTACATTATTCTAGATTAACACATATAATTGATCCAATTTATTATTTTTAATAGCTACCTAATATTCCATTATAGGAGGTTCCATAATTTCTTCCCATTCATTACTTCCCCATTGATAGATATTCATGTTTTTCTTCCAACTTTTTTTGCACAACAACTTATGCTACAATAAACATTCTACATTTATTCCTATACTTTGGGTTTTATTTCCATAGGAGAGATTCCCAAAATTGTCATTTTTGGGTCAAAGGGAATACACAATTTTAATTCTCACTGTAGGTCTCCTTTACAGCAGTTGTTTCTCTCCTCCTTTTGTCTTTCTCTCCCCTCTCCCACCACATTTTGCCAGCAGGGCCTGTGTGTTTAAGAAGGAAAGCCTGCAGTGAGAACTCCTCTGTGCCAAGTGTGGATTATATCAGCTTAGTGGGGAACTGGAGTCTGCAGTGTCTCAGTTACATTGTGTCTCTCTTGCTTTTGGTTGGCCAGACTGTTCACAATTCCCCTTGCTGATTTATTCCATGCTGTGGAATTATACATGGTCTTCATCCGTGGCAGGATCATCTGAGGGGTGGCTTTTTGGGAAGGGTGTCTTTTCAGAAAGAATAGGCTCAGTTACTGTACTTTCTCACAAAGCTATATCTGTTATGTTTTTTTGTTATGCCCTTTCTTTAATAGTTGGATTGAAAAAGGTTCTTCAATTCCCATCCCGGTCTTCTGTCTTCATTTTGAGGACTTGGGATTTAGGGAGTTTTATGAGTATATAATCAATCAACTGTAACTGATTATTTGACATGAGGATAATTAGTTAAGAAGGTAGGGGTCTTGGAGCTTAAGGATCAGTGCCAAGCAACAGACGTGAACATTTTTAAACAAATGGTTTTAACAAACCCGGTATTAGGAGCAAGCTTCCCAGGAGTACTAAGCTTTCATTTTTTAATTTTGCCCTTGCTGGGATGTAAAACTTCAGTCTAGTCTACCAGAATAGAGAGGAGCTGGATTCTCCACCACACCAGGGCTGGAGAGGAGAAAATGTCAGAGAAGCGTTAAGGGAAGCTGGTAAGTACAAATAAGTGAAATAAATATAAACAGTGAACTGACAAAATGGCAAAAAGTGAATGAAATTTGAAAATCCTCAGCTGAAGATTATTGTGTAACCAGTGGTCCTGTGAGCTAGTGGACACTTTATAAAAATCTGTGATCTCTAAAACATATTAGATACCCCAGTGTGAATCTGTGTTCAGAATACAACCATTAGCTAAGCAAGACAGAGAAATGATAAGTCCTGTTGGCAGATATTTTGCTATTGACTTCTATAACATATGCTGCAATTTTTACTCAGCAGCTTTGGAATGGATTTCTATGTCCTAGGTTGAAAACTAAACTAAAAGAAAAACAGAATAGAAGTTACTGCACTTAATTTCTAAGGAGAAAATTTTAACTTTAGTTTGTGCATGTATATGCCTGCAAAATAAGCATTACCCTTTATGTTAATACAAACTTCACATGAATGTTTAATTTTCAAATATGCACTGACCAGTAATAATGATGGCAAAATTAGACTCTATAGTAGGTTTATGTTTTATAACTTAGGGATTCTATAATGTATCTTAGTTGATGTCGTAGTTAATAGTAAGGATAGTAATATCTTATACAGTTTGCACTGTCGTCTGAGTAAAGATTATCTTTAAACATTTGTTCCTGTCAGAAAAATTTTAAGGCTAAACCTATTATAAGATATTAAGCATCTGATTTTGGCTATAATGGACTATCTGTGAGTAGATTTTTACTCCTATACAGGACATCTAGAAAAGCTGAGTTTTAAAAATCTATTTGAAGGCATAGAAGACCTAATAAGGCAGCTAGGACTTGAGAGCTAAGACCTCAGAAAGAAGAGAAACTCATTGAGTGTTCCAAATTCTAGGCTACTTTTTCCCTGTAGACACTTACCATTTTTAAGTAGCACATGAGGAGAACCCAAACAATAAGCAGCTGCTAAAATCAGAGAAGCCAGGCAGATTATTCCACAGTCTGATAGGGCTGGGGAGGAAAAAAAAAAATTGAATTCAAGGAAACCAAATGATTCAGGACATGAGAAACCATGATCATGGACAGAAAAGAGGCCCAGAAAAATCAACTCAATAGTCTAAGCAATTTTCCTTCCAAGTCATTCACTGATTTATAAGTAGCGCAGACCAAGAGGTTGCAAAAATCCAAACACAAAGAAGGTGCTAAAAAGCTGAGAAGCTAATCAGAGCTACTTGCAATCTTATTACACTAGGAAGATAAAAATTATTATAGAATGTAAAGCCCACCAATGTGGTATGGCCTGAAAAACACCCTAAGCTTTCAGTTGGGACTGCTGACGGATTATGCCTGACCAGTTAAAGGAAACCAGAAATAGACCCGGTCAAATAAAATATTGAAGTCCATTTCCCGATCAACTTAGTCACTGATTAGATTAAAGTAATCTGTTCTTATTTTAACACCCTAGCATAAGTCTTCTCCATATTCTTTGGAGAAGAAAAAATGATCCAGAACCTGTGTATTTTTCATATGTGGTTTCTGGTATTCAGCAAAGCAAAACAAAACAAAAACAGGCATACCAAGATATAGTTTCCAGAATATGGTACAGAGAGAACCCAGACTTCCTGAGTTGAGAAGACAGAGCTCCCCATGTCTGGGGAGACCAGGGCAACTAGAGTTTGTAGGACAGAGTATTGGAGAGGAGAGAGCTGCAGAGAGAACCCCAGAGTTCCTCACAGGGTACACCTCAAGTATAAAGCTGAGTACTGAGCAGCACATGCATGTAAGGAAACTACCTGGGATAAAGAAAGAACTACCCAAAAGGATTAGAAGAAATAGTGCTCATTGTTCACACAGGGCTGGGAATTGTGCCTATTCCCACCAGCTAGACTTGAAAAGCTCATAATTCATGGAGGGTTGGGTAGTATACTTTGAAAGACCATGCCTTAGTAGTGGGAAGTAGCCCTAGATTGAGCACTGCACTGATCCTGTCTAACAAATCTTTTAAAAAGACCCAAAAGGAACAAATTGTTCCAGTTAATTTGACTGCATCCCAGAACAAAGCTCAAAACTATTTAGAGGTATTTGGAATAGCAGTATTAGTAATATTGCAGAGGGAAGAATATTGCCAGGGATAAAGAAAATCATTTCATAATGATAAAGGAGTTGATTCATCAGAAAGACATAACAGTACTAAACATTTATGCATCTAATAACAGAACTTCAAAATACATAAATGAGAAATTGATAGTGTTCCAAGGAGGAATAGACAAATCCATAACTGTAGTCCAAAGTTTCATTAACCTTCTCTCAGTAATTGATGAAATAACAGAAAATAATTAGGTATATAAAAGAAGATAAAAATACAATCAACTAGCTTGACCTCATTGATCTTTATAAGATACTCTACCCAGCTACAGCAAATACATATTCCTCTCAAGTGTACATGGAACATTTATCCAGTTAGACCATATTCTGAACCATAAAACAAGTCTCAATAAATTTAAAAGGATTTTAGTTATATAAGGTGTGTTCTTGATCACAATGGAATTAATTAAGAAATCAGTAACAAAATTCTCAAATATTTGGTAACTAAATAACATCCTTCAGAATAACTCATTAGTCAAAGGAGAAATCAAAAGGAAAATTAGGGCCGAGTGGAGTGACTCACATTTGTATTCCTAACACTTTGGGAAGTTGAGGCAGGAGGATTGCTTGAGGCCAGGAGTTGAAGATCAGCCTGGGCAACAGAGTGAGAGCCTGTCTTTAAAAAAAATAGAAAAAAAAAATTAGCTGGGCATGGTGGTGTGCACTCATAATCCCAGCTACTTAGCTGGAGGATTGCTTTAGCCTAAGAGTTTGAGGTTGCAGTGAGCTATGATCATGCCACTGCATTCCAGCCTGGGCAGCAGAGTGAGACCCTGTCTCTAAAAAAATTATTTTTAATAAAAAATAAAGGGAAATGAGAAAATATTTGGGGCTGAAAGTAAAAGCTCATATATCAAAAGCAGTACTTAGGTGGAATTTTATAGTATTATAAGCTTATAAGGTGGGGCACAGTGGCTCACGCTGGTAATGCCAACACTGTAGGAAGTCGAGACAGGCGGATTGCTTGAAATCAGGAGTTCGGGACCAGCTTTGACAACATGGCAAAACCCTGTTTCTATAAAAAATACAGAAAATTAGCTGGGTATGGTGGCACGTGCCTGTAGTCCCAGCTACTTGATGGGGGCTGAAGCAGGAGGATCACTTGAGCCCAGGATTTCGAGGCTGCAGTGAGCCGAGATCACACCACTGCACTCCACTCCAGCCTGGGTAACAAAGTGAGACCCTGTCCCCCCACACCCCCGCAAAAAAAAGCTTATAAGAAGAAAGGTCTCAGATTAGTGTCCTCAGCTTTCATCTTAAGAAACCAAAACAGAAAAAGAGCAAATGAAATTCAAAATAAGCAGAAGAAAGAAAATAAGAAATATCAAAGCAGAAATCAATAAACTAGATTTTGAAAAGTAGAGAAAATCAATGAAAGCAAATGCTGTTTCATTGAGAATATTAATAAAATTGATTAACCTCTTGACAGAAAACAGGAGGAGGAAAAAGAGAGGAGTTACAATTTACCAATATCGGAATGAGAGAGGTGACATCACTACAAATTCTACAGATACTAATGGATAATAAGGAAACATTATAGCTTTTCTCCAATAATTCCATCAACTTATTAATAGATGAAATGAACAAATTCCTTGAAAGACACAAGCTACCAAAGTTCACTGAAGAGGTAGTAGAGAATGTAAAAGCCCAGATCTATTATAGACAGTCTCGAAAGTTAGAAATAGAAGAGAACTTCCCTAGCCTGATAAAGGGAATCTATGCAAAACGTGCACCTAACATCATATTTAGTGGTAAAGCAAATAGTAATATAATCGATTTTTTTTCTTTTTTGAGACAGAGTCTTGCTCTTTCACCCAGGCTGGAGTGCAGGGGCGCGATCTTGGCCCACTGCAACCTCCACCTCCCGGGTCCAGGCGATCTTCCTGCCTCAGCCTCCTCAGTAGCTGGGATTACAGGCACATGCCACCACACCCTGCTAATTTTTGTATTTTTAGTAGAGACAGGGTTTCACCATGTTGGTCAGGCTGGTCTTGAACTCCTGACCTCGTGATCCACCCACCTTGGCCTCCCAAAGTGCTGGGATTACAGGCGTAAGCCACTGCGCCCAGCTTTTTTTTTTTTTTTTTTTTTTTTTGAGATGGAGTCTTGCTCTGTCGCCCAAGCTAGAGTGCTGTGGCGTGATCTTGGCTCACTGCAACCTCCAACTCCTGGTTCAAGTAATTCTCCTGCCTCAGCCTCCTGAGTAGCTGGGATTACAGGTGCCCACCACCATGCCCAGCTAATTTTTTTATTTTTAGTAGAGAATGGGTTTCACCATGTTGGACCAGGCTGGTCTCGAACTCCTGGCCTCAGGTGATCCGCCCACCTTGGGATCACCAAGTGTTGGGATTACAGGCGTGAGCCACTGTGCCTGGCCTGCCTAGACTTTTAACTTATTTGTGTAATTACTTCAAGTATAGATTACTCCAATTTAAACACAAAGATTGTGAAACTAGATGAAGAATAAACATATTCAAAATGATTATTAAATGTTTTAATTGGTGACAGAGTTTTTCATAGCCTTTTATCATCTCAGTGCATCATGTTTTATTTGTAGGTAGCCACAGAGAAACAGCTACATTTATAAGAACACCATGAAGAATAATTAAAATGTTCTTTTTTTTTTTTTGAGACAGAGTCTTGCTTTGTCACCCAGGCTAGAGTGCAGTGGCAAGATCTTGGCTCACTGCAACCTCTACCTCCTGGGTTCAAGTGATTCTCCTGCCTCAGCCTCCCTAGTAGCTGAGATTGCAGGTGTGGACCACTACACCTGGCTAATTTTTTGTATTTTTAGTAGAGATGGGGTTTCACCATGTTGGCCAGGCTTGTCTTGAACTCCTGACCTCAGGTCGATCCACCTGCCTTGGCCTCCCAAAGTGTTGGGATTACAGGTGTGAGTGACCACACCTGGCCTAAAACATTCTTTTATCCCTGACTTCAGCTGAGTTTAGTTTGAAATGAGGCTCTTTATTTGGGGTGATTGGGCTTTGCAGGAGGGTTGGTGGGTGGCCTATAATTCCCCCCAATATTGTATGTAAGATATTACATGTTTGTATACAGTTTTTCAGGAGAGAGTCCGTAGCTTTCATCAGTCTCTCATGACCAAAAACTATTTAAGAATCATGGCTTGAAGAATGAAAGAATCGAGTGCCATGTTAAGTGTCTAATTTCTCAATAATACTTCCCTGAAACTAATTTCTAGAGAATAATTCAAATGACTTGATCTAAATATGTGTGCATGAGTCATCAAAGCAGCCTGGAGTAACATATTAAAAGTTATCCCAAGGGTCTGTCTGGTTCAAACTCTGATGAAAGCCCTATATTTCTTATCCTGGACTGGGTTTCTCATAGTATGATTCCCAGATCAGCAGCAGCATCAGCATCACCTAGGAACTTGTTAGAAATACAAATTCTCAGGCCGGCCCCAGGCCATACCTACTGAGTTACAAATTGGAGATGGGACCAGGAATCGGTGTTTTCTAAGGAGCTTTCCAGGTGATTCTGGTGTGCACTAAAGTTTGATAACCACTGGGTTAGGCTATAATTAGAAAATCCTGTTCTCCGCCCCGCTCCCAAGCCAGGTTTAGAACAGTTTGTTAAGCAAGTATCTGCAGAAAGACCAGTCTAATGTTGACAGCTTCTATTTTCCATCTTTATGGAAAAATCGTAAAGCCTCAAAAGCCCAAATCACCCTCACACAAGTGTCTTGGGTTGCACAGCAACACCAAACAACAGTTTAGAGTAATCCAATGTCCAGCTGAAATTGGAATTATAGAGACACAGCATGTGAGTTCACTCACAAAAATTTTTACCAGGAGGCTTTTTAGGGATGAGCCCCGTAATTCCAAGGGCCTTGGCTCTCAGCCTCCTTTGAGGCATATAACACAGTCTCTTGAACAGACTGACCCTCAGTAATGAGGTTTCATTACCCTCTTCCAGACATGTGGCACCCTCACAAACATCCTTTAACAGAGTGCTCAGTATCACCATGCTTCGTTTGCAAAGTAACTTAATGAATTCGCTCAGCCTATATTCTTAGTACCCAGTGGTAGGGATCTCAGCTGTAGCAGCATAAAACTTGAACTGTCCAAAACCAGTCTCTGAAACCTTCAAGTGTTTATTCTGTCTACTCCTGCTGTTGCTTGAAGCTTGATTTGTTGTTACACCTTACTGTTTTGCTGATGAGAAATAGCACAGGGTACTTCTCAGTGGTTCTCATTAAAGGAGGGCAGCCAAGTGGAATTCATTCTTGGCTCTTAATAGTTTTCAAATGAGAATTTTATTGCATACTAATGAGCACTAATTGACATTTGTGACTGTTTTTTATGGAAATAATGCATGTACAATTTGCATAATAGTACCTAAGTGCTTTTAGGTAACAGTACAACTCTGGGAAGTTGGTGAAGGTTTTTGTATGATGCTTTTTAAAAAAGTTCCCAAACCCCAGCCCCTAGAATAGTATAGAATATTAACAGGTCTCTGGGATCCAAATATAAGGCAGTAGTAGTGACTCAGTTCCTGTAGTTGTACCAGCTTGTACCTGAGAGTCAGAAAATGCATCAGGGCAGGTCTCTAAAAGCAGGAAGCGCTCCCACAGTAGCCAGGGAGGATGTTCCAGCCCTCTCTACCTTCATGTGTCAACCCTCCTGCTTCTCCTAAGTCATGAGTATCTAGACAGTGCTGAGGATTGTTCCAAGGACTCCTACACTGTAAAATGTTTTCTAAACATCACTTGGTTGATATCAACAAACATGGATTGATCACCTACTATGTGCCAGGCACTGTGCTAGATGCCAGAGTAAGCCCATGTTGGCTTGCTGCCTGCTGCATCCCTATCTCTTAGCACAATGAGGCAACAGTTATCCATCAATGTTTATTGAATTAATGAACATGCTGTCTGCCCTCAGGGATCTGAGGATTCATTATTCTTACAAAATCTGACGTTGAATACAGTATAAAATTTGTTGCTCTTCATGTTAGAAATATTAATTATTCAGAACTTGGAATTCTGTTAGGAAATTTAGAGAAACAAGATAATCTTGGTTTTATGTGCCCCAAGTTTTCTGTATATCAAATGACCCTTTTAAATTTTGTGAAAATGAAAGAAGCCAATGTTTACTGAAGATCTAGTACGTATCAGTTACTTTTGCACACATCCTATACATCCTATGATTTAAGCATCAACAAAACCTATGAGGTGTAGATAGTATTATCTGTGTTTAATTGAGCAAGCAGCTAAGAACTGGAGAAGTGACTAACCTAAGGCATCACAGATAGAAAATTGTGGAACTGGGACTTAAATTCAGCCTAGGCTGTGTCTGTTGCACTGCCGCTTATTACATTAAATGATCCTAGGATATGTTAAGCAAAGCCAAACTCTGAAGTATTGTACTAGTGATACGGCTCCGATGACTGGAGGAACACTGGGGTTCTTGGTCTCATGCCGGTTTGGATAAAATGACATGGACACACGTGGAGTGGTTTTAGGGAGGGAAAAGTTTAATAGGCAGGAAAGCAGGAAGGAAGAAGAAAACAGCTCCCCGGTACGGGGAGAGAAGTAGGGGGATTCAAACAAAGAGAAAACCTCATGTGCGGCAGAAAAGTGGCTGCTTATATGAGGATGCAGGAGGAGGTGGTGTCTGATTTGCATAGGGCTCAGGGGATTGGTTTGACCAGTCATGTCATTCCTGCAGCCTGTGAAAAAACTGACCCTCCCACCCTAGCTTTTTAATATGCAAATGCAGGGCGCCATTATGTTTTACACACATGGGGACATGTGGGGGTGGCCATGTTGCCAGGCACATGTAGGGGCAAGGGCAAGAAGATGGCAGGAATCACCATGTTTGGATGGACCCAGTTTCTAATGGCTGGCATTTGCATATCAAAGCTTGCTGGCCCAGCTCAGAGCCGGGGCTTTCCTGCTAGACAAGAAACGTTTCTGGAGCTGCTTTAAAAGAAATAAAAACTCCCCAAGGACCCCTTTTCCTCTCTATCTGCCTAAAATAATTTATTAATAACTCCTGTAACACTAGGATGGAGGGATGAATTGGTCCAGGGGTCTTGGTGTGTGCCCTGCATTCAGTTGACCTACTGTTTACAATACACCTACTGTTTACAACACTATTTTCTAGATCTTGTGGGGAACCCAAACCAAGGGCCAGTCTGGCTCACCTATAATTCCACCAAGCAGCCAGAAAAGTATAAACGCTCTACAGCAAAGGGATAAATCAAGGTTTAGTAGAAGAAAAGCTTTATAAGTAATGTGGAACTAAAAGGTTGAATATAGTTTTCAATAATGTTGAGCATAAATGTTCTCCAGATTGTGGAAAGATCACTAACTGTTGGCTGGGAAGGGTAGGAGAGGAGAGAGTTTGAAACACAGAGAATAGGAAGGAGTGGTGATGTAGTCCAATAACTCACCCAGAACCCATGGACGTGAAAGCTTTGTTTGCTCTCAGATCCATAACTAGACTAAAGGAGTGAATCAGATCTGCTCCCCTGCACCCCACCCTGCTCACCTTCCACACCTGCCAAGGGCCACCCAGCAATTCCATTCTGCTTGTCAAATCCCCTAAGGAGGATATGTCTGGAACAGCCACCACTCCTCCCCCTGCTCTTCCCTCTGGTATGTCAGGATTCCCTGCACAACCGTGCTCCAGGGTCCTTGGGATGATTATTCAGAAACCAGAGAAGTATGTAGAAAACTTAATCGGAGGCACTTAAAGGCTTTAAAAGGGAATTTTAAAAACCATCTTTCCCTCTTTTATAAGGCAGTCTGAGTATTTAAGAAGCAAATTAATTGAGTCCACTTTACAGTGTTGGGGCAAAAGCATGCAAGTTCCAACATTTACACACTAACAGAAAATTCTTTTCCCTTCCACTGTGCTCCTTTTCTTTCTTGGGCCTGCTCCACAAACTTCTAACCACAGTCCTAAATTGGTACCCCATGACCCTGTGTGCTTCGATTGCCTACACTGGTTTCAGACCCACGCTGTGGATTCAAATCAAACCTGCCTTTCTCCCTGTTACTATGTCCACCCAGCACCCTCCTTGCACACACAGTCTTTCTCTTCTTTCCTCCATGTGCAGACCTTTACCACAGCTGTCCCAAATGTGTGAAAGGCCAACCATAACTCTTCCTTTAAAGGTCCTTTAGAGCAGTATGGAAAGAGTGCTGAACTTGGAAGACCTAGATTCTCTTTCTATACTCATTATGTGATCCTGAGCCCCTCACTTAACCTTGCAGGGCACTTACAAAATAAAGAGATGGAGTTCATGATATCTTAAGGTCATTTTCCATGTCCAACATTCTCTGACTCTTCATCTTTCCCTGACTCAACATTCTGTTCCTATATAGTCAACACCTTCCCACCTTAATCTCATGCTCATGCCCTCTTAGAAAGTCTTTACAACTGTTGAGGGTGCAGTGGCTCATGCCTGTAATCCCAGTACTTTGGGAGGCCAGAGTGGGCAGATTGCTTGAGCTCAGGAGTTTGGGACCAGCCTGCATAACATGGTGAAACCCCGTCTTTATTAAAAATACAAAAAAAAAAAAAAAAAAGCCAGATGTGGTGGTGCTTGCCTGTGGTCCCAGCTACTCAGGAGGCTGAAATGGGAGGATCACTTGAACCCAGGAGGCAGAGGTTGCAGTGAGCTGAGATCATGTCATTGCATTCCAGCCTGGGTGACAGAGAGACACCCTGTCTCAATTTAAAAAGAAAAAAAAGAAAGAAAGCGGCGGGCCGCGGTGGCTTACACCTGCAATCCCAGCACTTTGGGAGGCCGAGGCAGGTGGATCATCTGAGGTCAGGGGTTCGAGACCAGCCTGGCCAGCATTAAGAAACTCTGTCTCTATTAAAAATACAAAAATTAGCTGGGCATGGTGGTGGGCACCTATAATTCCAGCTACTCAGGAGGCTGAGGAAGGAGAATCGCTTGAACCCGGGAGGTGGAGGTTGCAGTGAGTTGAGATCGTACTATTGCACTCCAGCCTGGGCAAGAAGAGTGAAACTCCATCTCAAAAAAAAAAAAAAAAAAGAAAATATTTGCATCTGTGAACTGTCTTCTGTGTTGAGGATGTTTGTGGCAGAAGGAGATAGACGTAGGCTCTGTCTACGTCTGCCTGGTGCCTCCACAAGGAGCAGTGTATGCTCAGAGAATAGAAGTGAATTTTACTATTAGTATAGGTGACCCATATTGAAAATGTTTGTAAATCTGCTACCAGAACAACACAGTCATTCAAAGACAATTAAAAATGCATTTTATACTTCCTGCTATTTATAATTATTCATGGATCTGCTGCCTACAGTCAGGTAGTAAAAGGAGAGCCAGAAGGAATCATAGTGAACATCTCATACAATGCTATCTTTGTTGTTGGTTTGAACATAAGCATTTTTGCGTGAATTTGCGTGTAGGTCTCTTTTATTTCTCTTATTGCATAACCTGAGGCTGAAATACTTCAAGTAATGTATCTATTTGCTCATATTGGGTAGAAACATCCCTATTATTCCAATTTTCCCTTCTCCTGCTTAAAACATATAGTGAAATGAAAGATGCAGAGATAAGGAAATCAGGGAAAAGAAAAATAGTCATAGGATACTAAAATGAGCCACAGATACCTGAAACTGCATAGTTGCTATAAATGAGCCATAAATTTGATTCTGAGCTTTCCAGTGGCCCCAAAAAGATAAACATAATAGTATTTATTCCATGACATAAAAATGTATTTGTATTTCTCTGTGTTCAAGAGGAAGAGAAATTTGTACTATGGGTCCTCATGAAGGAGCCACTAAGTCAGTGTTGTAGACCACACATTCAACGATATCGTATTAATACCCATGATGATGAATTCATTCATTCAATAAGCATTTATTGAGTACTTACTTTGTGCTGTATATGTTTCAGTGTATTGCAGTAATTATTCTTTTTGATGCTCAAATTGTCCTATTGTGGGTCAGTAGGAGCCCGTTGATTCATGTCCTTTTGACATTATTCTGTAGTTTTTGATACTTTTTTTCCTAGCATGATGAGATGTTCCAGGCTTATGTCGTATATTTCTTGTTCCGTAACTCAAATTGACCATTTTGTTAATGAAACTTGATTTTTTTCAGTGAAAAGTGGTTTTATAGAACACAATCTGGGCACTTGAAGTGTTTATTGTTACTGGGTTGTCATTACTTACAAGACTCAGTTAACAAATTAGGAAAAAGATTGATTTAGAAAGAAAATAAATCCTGAGTTCATATTGTTATTTCCAATTTAAAGATTAAAGGGTTTTCGTATAACTTATTTTATATGTGTATGTCTTTTCTCTTACTTTGAAATCTTGGTTTCCAATAACATGAACATAATTACTTCCTTTATCCTAATAGGTACGTATATGTGTATATGTCTATGTATGTATGTATGTAGGTATGTATGTGTGTATGTTTCTATCTGTAAAACAGGAAAAATACCCACCTAATGGAGCTTAAGATTTCTTTATGAGTATTTTTTGTCCTTAGGGTATTTAATCAAATTACTGTTACTTAAAATAATGTTTCTCTATGTGGTTATGCCATCAACTTCATATACAATTATTTTATTTCAATTTGTCTTCGATTTTTAAGGATGGTTTTCTTCTTCTGATTTAATTTTGTTTTTAAATTATGTAAAATATTTTCTTGGTTTCAGAGTCAAATCTATGAACATTGAGAGGTCTATTTTGCCTCTCTGTCCCCTCCCCCTTATTATTTTACTCCCCTTATAGATAATGCTTTTATTTTTCCATTACTTTTTTTTTTTTTTTTTGGAGACAGGAGTCTCGTTCTGTCACCCAGGCAGGAGTACGGTAGTGTGATCTCGGCTCACTGTAACCTCCACCTCCCAGGTTCAAGCAATTATCCTGCCTCAGCCTCCTAAGTAGCTGGGACTACAGACACTGACCACCATGCCTGGCTAATTTTTGTATTTTTAGTAGAGACAGGGTTTCACTGTGTTGATCAGGCTGGTCTCAAACTCCTGACCTCAAGTGATCCGCCTGCCTTGGCCTCCCAAAGTGCCGGGATTACAGGTGTGAGCCACCGTGCCCAGCCTCTATTACTTTTTGAAAATAAGCCAATGACCTATATGTATCCTATCTCCTTTCTTACACAAAAGGTAGCAGGCCAGAGTTCAAGATTACAGTGAGCTGTCATCATGCCACTGCACTTTAGCCTGGGCAACAGAGTGAGACCTTATCTCTAAAGAAAAACAAACAATAAAAAATTTTAAAAATAATTTCTATGAATTAAAAATAATTTTAAACACAACTGCATATGAAGACAACAAAGGAAAACTCTCAGGAAACACTGAAATATGAAAATCAAGTGAGATTAGAGCAAATAAGGATGTGTATGGGAAGGTTCTGTAGAAGACAGATTGAGGCCCAAACAGAGAGAGCTCTAAATACATCATGAAGGTTACCAGAAATGTGAGAAATTCCTGAAGAAGAGGGAAGAAGCAAATCCTCTCCAAATTTAGTTCACTTAGTTGATAATCATTAGTTGATTCCCAGTAGAGTCAGTCTTTTATCATCAGTGCCACCACTGTTGTTCTCTGCATTAACAAAGGAGATATTAATCTGGAAAGCTGCAATCATTTTCACTGTAGAATCAGCCTTTTATTTTTTAGGGTTTTTTAATTTTTTTTTTTTAGGACACCTTCATTTAAGATCACTTCATATCTCCTCTGGCTTTTGCAAATGCTCTTTGGCTGATCTACTGTTTCCACCACTGTCCTCAACATTTTTTAGTATATTATTTAATTTATGTATGTATTGGTGTCCACTGATTATTGTTTGCCTTCCCCCATTGGAACACAGATTCTATAAAAGTAGGGATCTTTATTTTGTTTACCACTGTATTCCAGGTGCCTAGAACAGTTCCTTTCACATTGTTGGTGCTCAAAAAGAAAAAAGTTAAATGAATGAATATCAGCAGCAAGAGCATTTTGAGGAGAAAGCAAAGGTGTAACTGTGGGGGTCTCCATTAATGTATGTATATCATCCTCTTATACATTTGTCCCATCACCCGCTAGCCCTGGAACTCTCATTATTTTTTTTTCTGGTAATGCAGGCTCCAACTCAACTGGCAATGAGAATATGAACTGAGGCAACTGTATTTGAAAAATGAAAGAATATAGGTGATATGGGTTTAAAGAATTCAGTATTTGTGTATTTTTCCAATAAGTACATGCTTATGAGCATAGCCTTACAAAATAACAAAAATAATTTTTTACATTTACTCACACACTTACCATTTCCAGCACTCTTCATTCCTTTGTATAGATCCAAATTTGTATCTGGCATCATTTTACTTCTGCCTAAAGAACTAACTCTAACATTTTTTTATAGTGCATGTCTCTCAGATTTTCTTTGTCTGAAAATTACTTTATTTTAACTCCATTTCTGAAATACATTTTCAGTGGGTATTGTATTCTGGGCTGACTTTTTTTTTTTTTCCCAGTGCTTGAGAGATGCCATTCCATTCTCTTGTGGCTTTCATTATTTTTGATGAAAAATCAGTTGTAAGTCTTACTCTTGTTCCTCTGTACATAATCTGACTGCTGCTTCTAAAATTTTATCTTTATTGCTGGTTTTTAGCAATTTCTGTGCCTTGTTTTGTTTTTGTTATTTAGTGTTTGTTCTGCTTGGGATTGGTTGAGCTTGGATCTGTAGGTTTATACTTTTCATCAAATACGAAAAATTTTGGTCATTATTTTTCAAATATTTTTTCTACTCCTCCCTCCTCACTTTTTCCCCCTCAAACAGCAGTTACATGTATGTCAGACAACTTGCTATTATTCTATAAGTCATTGAGACAATGTTCATTCTTTTTTATTTTTAATTTTTGTGGGTAAATAGGTGAATATATTTAGGGGTTCATGAGATGTTTTGATATAGGCATGCAATGTAAAATAAGCACATCATGGAGAATGGGGTATCTATTCCCTTAAGCATTTATTCTTTGAATTAAAAACAATCCACTTACACTCTTATCACTTCTCAGCCTTTTGGGATAAGATCATGTGTAAAAACAATGTACTTACACTTTTCATTTTAAAATGTACAATTAAGTTATTATTGACTATAGTCACCCTGTTGTACTATCAAATAGTAAGTCTTACTCATTCTAACTAATTTTTTATAAACTTTAACTATACCCACTTCTCCTCCCACCTCCCACTCCCTTTCCAACCTATGGTAACCATCCTTCTATACTCTGTTCATGAGTTCACTTGTTTTGATTTTTAGATCCCACAAATAAATAAGAAGATGTGATGTTTGTCTTTCTGTGCTTGGCTTATTTCACTTAACGTAATGATCTCCAGTGCCATCCATGTTGTTGCTAATTACTGGACCTAATTCTTATACATGGATGAATAGTACATCATTGTGTAGATGTACCACATTTTCTTTATTCATTCATCTGTTGATGGAGACTTAGATTGCTTCCAAATCTTAGCTATAGTAAGCAATGCTGCAACAAACAGGAGTGCAGACATCTCTTTAATATACTGCTTTTCTTTCTTTTGGGTATATATCCAGCGATGGGATTGCCAGATCATACAGTAGCTCAATTTTTAGTTTTTTGAGGAACCTCCAAACTGTTCTCCATAATGGTTGCACTAATGTACATTCCCACCAACAGTGTACAAGGGTCCCTTTTTCTCCACATCCTCACCAGCATTTGTTATTGCCTGTCTTTTGGATATAAGCCATTTTAACTGGGGTGAGAAGATATTTTAGTTTTCATCTGCATTTCTCTGATGATAAATGACATTGAGCATCTTTTCATATACCTGTTTGCCATTTGTCTGTCTTTGTTGGAAAAATTTCTGTTAGCTCTTTTGCCCATTTTTTTAATCGGATTATTAAATTTTTTCCTATAGAGTTGTTTGAGCTCCTTATATAGTCTGGTGATTAATCCTTTGTCAGATGGGTAGTTGGCAAATATTTTCTGTCATTCTGTGAGTTGTCTCTTGACTTTGTTGATTGTATCCTTTGATGTACAGAGGCTTTGTAACTTGATGTGATCCTATTTTTCCATTTTTGCTTTGGTCGCCTGTGCTTGTGGCATATTGCTCAAGAAATGTTTGCCCAGACCAATGTCTAGAGACTTTCTGCAATGTTTTCCTGTAGTATTTTCATAGTTTGAGGTCTTAGATTTAAGTCTTTAATCCATTTTCATTTGATTTTTGTATATGGTGAGAGATGGGTGTCCAGTTTCATTCTTATGCATGTGGATATCCAGTTTTCCCAGTACCATTTATTGAAGAGACCCTCTCTTTCCCAGTGTATGTTCTTGGCACCTTTGCCAAAAATGAGTTCACTGTAGTTTCTGGGTTCTCTCTTCTGTTCTATTGGTCTGAGTCTGTTTTTATGCCAGTACTATTCTGTTTTAGTTACAATCATTCTGTAGCATAATTTGAAGTCAGGTAATGTGATTCCTCCAGTTTTGTTCTTTTCACTCAGGATACCTTTAACTATTCTGGGTCTTTTGTGGTTCCACATAAATTTTAGGATTGTATTTTCTATTTCTGTGAAGAATGTCACTGGTATTTTGATAGGGATTGCATTGAATCTGTAGATTGCTTTGGGTAGTATGGACATTTTAACAACATTGATTCTTCTAATCCATGTATATGGGATATTTTTCCATTTTTGGTGTCTTCTTCAATTTTTATAATCTGTGTTTTATAGTTTTCATTATACAGATCTTTCACTTCTTTGGTCAGGTTAATTCCTAGATATTTAATTTTATGTGTGGCTATTATAAATAGGATTACATTTTTATTTCTTTTTCACATAGTTCACTGTTGGCATATAGAAATGCTACTGATTTTTTATAAACTTTTATGTTATGTTCAGGTGTATAGGTACAGGTTTGTTATATAGGTAAACTCATGTCATGGGGTTTGTCGTACAGATTATTTCATCACCCAGGTACTAAGCTAGTACCCATTAGTTATTTTTTCTGATCCTCTCCCTCTTCCCACTCTTCACCCTCAGTAGGCCCCAGTGTCTGTTGTTCCCCTCTGTGTGTCCATGTGTTCTAATCATTTAGATCCCACTTGTAAGTGAGAACATGCAGTATTTGGTTTTCTGTTCCTGTGTTACTTTTCTAAGGATAATGGCCTCCATCTCCATCCATGTTCCTGCAAAGGATATAATCTCATTCTTTTTATGGCTGCATAGTATTCCATGATGTATATGTACCACATTTTCTTTTTTTTTCCCTTCAACTTTTATTTTAAGTTCAAGAGTACATGTATGTACAAGATGTGCAAGTTTGTTACATAGGTAAATGTGTGCCATGGTAGTTTACTGCACAGATCATCACATCGCCTAGGTATTAAGGCCAGCATCCATTAGCTATTCTTCCTGATGCTCTCCCTCCCTCACCACACCCCCTCCGACAAGCCCCAGTGTATGTTGTTGCCCCCTCACATGTGTCCATATGTTCTCATCATTCAGCTCCCACTTATAAGTGAGAACATGTAGTGTTTGGGTTTCTGTTCCTGCATTAGTTTGCTGAGGATAATGGCTTCCAGCTCCATTCATGTCCCTGCAAGGAACATGATCTCATTCCTTTTTATGGCTGCATAGTATTCCATGGTGTATATGTAACACATTTTCTTTATCTAGTATATCATTGATGAGCATTTAGGTTGATTCCATGTCTTTGCTATTGTTAATAGTGCTGCAGTGAACATATGTGTGCATGTATCTTTGTAACAGAATGATTTATATTCCTTTGGATATAGACCCAGTAATGGGATTGCTGGGTCAAATGGTATTTCTGCTTCTAGGTCTTTGAGGAATTGCCACACTATCTTCCACAATGATTGAACTAATTCATACTCACACCAATAA
Source organism: Homo sapiens (assembly GCF_000001405.40). NCBI lineage: Eukaryota > Metazoa > Chordata > Mammalia > Primates > Hominidae > Homo > Homo sapiens. The sequence continues at coordinate 120,254,843 of NC_000003.12, read as the reverse complement.
TTCCTTTTTCTCCACAACATTGGCAGCTTCTGTTGTTTTTTTTGACTTTTTAATAATAGCCATTCTGACTGGCATGAGATGGTATCTCATTGTGGTTTTGATTTGCATTTCTCTAATGATCAGTGATGTTGAGCTTTTTTTTTCATATGTTTGTTGGCCAGATGTATATCTTCTTTTGAGAAGTGTCTGTTCATGTCCTTTGCCCACTTTTTAATGGTGTTGTTTGTTTTTCTTGTAAATTGGCTTAAGTTCCTTGTAGACTCTGGTTATTAAACCTTTGTCAGATAGATAGATTGCAGAAATTTTTCTCCCATTCTTTAGGTTGTCTGTTTGCTCTAATAATAGTTTCTTTTGCTGTGCACAAGCTCTTAAGTTTAATTAGATTCCATTTGTCATTTTTGCTTTCATTGCAATCACTTTCGGCATTTTTGTCATGAAATCTTTTCCTGTGCTTATGTCCTGAATGGTTTTGCCTAGACTTTCTTCTAGAGTTTTTTTTTATAGTTTTGGGTTTTACATTTAAGTCTTTAATCCATCTCCAGTTAATTTTTGTATGTGGTGTAAGGAAGGGGTCCAGTATTAATTTTCTGCATTTGGCTAGCCAGTTCCCCTAGCGCCATTTGTTAAATAGGGAATCCTTTCCCTATTGCTTGTTTTTGTCAAGCTTGTCAACAGTCAGATGGTGGTAGGTATGTGGTCTGATTTCTGAGCTATTTTGTTTCATTGGTTTATGTGTCTGCTTCTCTACAACTACCATGCTATTTGGGTTACTGTAGCCTTGTACTATAGTTTGAAGTTGGGTAGTGTGATGCCTCAAGCTTTGTTCTTTTTGCTTAATATTGCCTTGGCTATTAGGGCTCTTTTTTGGTTCCATATGAATTTTAAAATGATTTTCTTCTAATTCTGTGAAGAATGTCAATGGTAATTTAATGGGAATAGCATTGAATCTATAAATTACTTTGGGCAATATGGCCATTTTCATGATATTGATTCTTCCTATCCATGAGGATGAAATGTTTTTCCGTTTGTTTGTGTCTTCTCTGATTTCTTTGAGCAGTGGTTTGTAGTTCTCCTTGAAGAGGTCCTTCACTTCCCTTATTAGCTGTATTCCTAGGTATTTTATTCTTTTTGTAGCAATTACGAATGGGAGTTCATTCACAATTTGGCTCTCTGCTTGCCTGTTGTTGGTGTATAGGAATGCTAGCAATTTTTGCACATTGATGTTTATATCCTTAGTCTTTGCTGAAGTTGCTTATCAGCTTAAGAAGCTTTTGGGCTGAGACAATGGGGTTTTCTAGATATAGGATCGTGTCATCTGCAAACAAAGATAATTTGACTTCTTCTCTTCCTATTTGAATACCATTTATTTCTTTCTCTTGCCTGATTGCCCTGGCCAGAACTTCTAATACTATGTTGGATAGAAATAGTGAGATAGGGCATCCTTGTCTTGTGCCAGTTTTCAAGGGAATGCTTCCAACTTTTGCCCATTCAGTATGATACTGGCTGTGGGACTGTCATAGATGGCTCTTATTATTTTGAAGTATGTTCCTTCAATACCTAGTTTATTGAGAGCTTTTAACATGAAGGGATGTTGAATTTTATCGAAGGCCTTTTCTGGGCCTATTGAGATAATCATGTGGTTTTTGTCTTTTATTCTGTTTATGTGATGAATCACATTTATTGATTTGCATATGTTGAACCAAACTTGAATCTCAGGGATGAAGCCAACTTGATCGTAGTGGATACGCTTTTTGATGTGCTGCTGGATTTGGTTTGCCAGTATTTTATTGAGGATTTTTGCCTCAATGTTCATCAAGGATATTGGCCTGAAATTTTCTTTTTTTGTTGTTGTATCTCTGCCAGGTTTGGTATGAGGATGATACTGGCCTCAAGAATGAGTTAGGGAGAAGTCCTTCCTTTTCAATTTTTTGGAAAAGTTTCAGTAGAAATGGTACCAGCTTTTCTTTGTACCGCTGGTAGAATTCAGCTGTGAATCTGTCTGATCTTGGGCTTTTTTTGGTTGTTAGGCTATTTGTTACTGCCTCAATTTCAGAACGTGTCATTGGTGTATTCAGGGATTCAATTTCTTTCTGCTTCAGTCTTGAGAAGGTGTATGTGTCCAGGAATTTATCCATTTCTTCTAGATTCTCTAGTTTATGTGCATACAGGTGTGTGTAGTATTCTCTGATGGTTGTTTGTATTTCTGTGGGATCAGTGATGATATCCCACTTAACATTTCTGATTGTGTCTGTTTGATTCTTCTCTCTTTTGTTCTTTATTAGTCTAGTTAGTTGCCTATCTTTTTATTAATTTTAAATAAAACAGCTCCTGGATTCATTGATTTTTTTGAAAGGTTTTTTGTGTCTATATTTTCATTTCAACTCTGATCTGATCTTGGTTATGTCTTGTCTTCTTCTAGCTTTGAAATTTGTTTGCTTTTGGTTCTGTCATTCTTTTAGTTGTGATATTAGGTTGTTAACTTGAGATCTTTCTAGCTTTTTGATGTGGGCATTTAGTGCTATAAATTTTCCTCTTAACACTGCTTCAGCTGCACCCCAGAGATTCTGGTATGTTGTCTCTTTGTTCTCATTAGTTTCAAGGAATTTCTTGATTTCTGCCTTAATTTTGTTATTTACCCAGGAGTCATTCAGGAGCAGGTTGTTCAATTTCCATGTAGTTGTGTGGTTTTGAGTGAATTTCTTAATCTTGAGTTCTAATTTGATTGTGCTGTGGTCAGAAAGACTGTTATGATTTCAATACTTTTGCCTTTGCTGAAAAAGTGCCATGTGGTGATGAGAAGAATGTATATTCTGTTGTTTTTGGGTGGAGAGTTCTGTAGATATCTATCAGGTCCTCTTGATCCAGAGCTTAGTTCAGGTCCTGAATATCTTTGTTAATTTTCTGTCTCAGTGATATGTCTAATATTTTCAGTGGAGTGTCAAAGTATTTCACTATTATTGTGTGGGAGTCTAAGTCTCTTTGTAGGTCTCTAAGAACTTGCTTTATGAATCTGGGTGCTCCTGTATTGGGTGCATATATATTTAGGATAGTTAGCTCTGCTTGTTGAATTGAACGCTTTACCATTATGGAATGCCCTTCTTTGTCTTTTTTTTATCTTTGTTGGTGTAAAGTGTGTTTTGTCAGAAACTAGGACTGCAACCCTTGCTTTTTTCTGTTTTCCATTTGCTTCATAAATTTTTCTCCATTCCCTTATTTTGAGCCTATGTGTGTCTTTGCACTTGAGGTGGGTGTCTTGAAGACAGCATACTGATGGCCCTTGGCTGTTTATCCAGCTTGCCATTCTGTGACTTTTAATTGGGGGCATTTAGCCCATTTATATTTAAGGTTAGTATTGTTATGTATGAATTTGATCCTGTCATCATGATGCTAGCTGGTTATTTTGCTGACTTGTTTTTGTGGTTGCTTCATAGTGTCACTGGTCTGTGTACTTTAGTATGTTTTTGTAGTAGCTGGTAACAGTTTTTCCTTTCCATATTTAGTGCTTCCTTCAGGAGTGCTTGCAGGGCAGCCTGGTTGTGACAAATTCCCTCAGCATTTGCTTGTCTGAAAAGGATCTTATTTCTCCTTCACTTATGAAGCTTAGTTTGGCCCGATGTGAAATTCTGGATTGGAAATATTTTTCTTTAAGAATGTTGAATATTGGTTTCCAGTCTCTTCTGGCTTGTAGAGTTTCTGCTGAGGAGTCCACTGTTTTCTGTTGGGCTTCCCTTTGTAGGTGACCTGGACTTTCTCTCTGGCTACCCTTAGCATTTTTTTTTTCATTTTCACCTTGGAGAATCTGATGATTATGTATCTTGGAGTTGATCTTCTTGTGGAGTATCTTACTGGGGTTCTCGGCATTTCCTGAATTTGAACTTTGGCCCATCTTGCTAGCTTGGAGAAGTTTTCCTGTATGCTATCCTGATGCATGTTTTCCAACTCAGTTCCATTCTGCCCCTCTCTTTCAGGTACCCCAGTCAAGTCATAGGTTTGGTCTCTTTACATAATCTCATATTTCTCTGAGGTTTTGTTCATTCCTTCTCTTTTTATTTGTTTCTGTATTCTTGTCTGCCTGTCTATATGCAGAAAGATAGTGTTCAAGCTCTGAAATTCTTTCCACTGCTTGGTCCATCCTATGGATACTTGTGATTGCATTGTGAAGTTCTTGTGTATTACAAGAACTTTATTTTTTTATCTTTATCCAGTCTACCATTGATGGGCATTTAGGTTGATTCTATGTCTTTGTTATTGTGAATAATGCTGTAATGAACATACTAGAATGATTCATGTTTATTTGGGTAAATGTGTGTTGATTTCGTATCCTGCAGTTTTATTGAATTTATCAGTTCTAATCATTTTTCTTGTGGAGTCTTTAGGTTTTTCCAAATATAAGATCATATTGTCTGCAAACAATGATCATTTGAGTTATTCCTTTTCAATTTGGATGCTTTTTATATCTTTCTCTTATCTAATTGCTCTAGCTAGGACTTCCAGTAGTATGTTGAATAACAGTGATGGCAGTGGGCATCCTTGTTGTGTTCCAGATTTTAGAGGAAAGGCTTTGTCCTTCCCCTATGCCCCAGGTAGGTCCAGGAGTCAAGGACTAGAGTCCAAAACCTTAGAAGTCTACCTGGTATTCTATTATACTGTGGCTGAGCTGGCCCTCAGACCACAAGACACAGTCCTTCCCACTCTTCTCTCCCCTTTCCAAAGGCAGAGGAACTGCCTTTAGTAGAGACAGGGTTTCGCCATGTTGGCCACTGCCAACCCAGCCCATGAGGAGGACTGCCAGACTACTGCTGATGTTCCCTTAAGGCCCAAGTTCTCTTAAATCAGCTTGTCCTGAATGTTACCTAGCCTGAGACTCACCCTTCAGGACAGTGGGCTCCCCTCTGGCCCAGGGAAGGTCCAGAAATGCTGCCCAAGGGTCAAGTCCTGTAATCAGGGACTCCAAGAGCCCTCTTGGTATTCTAACCCCCTGTATCTGTGGTGGTACCTAAGGTGCAAGACAAAGTCCCTTTTACATTTCCTTCTGCTTTTATCAAGCAGAAGTTTTGTCCTGCAGCCACCACAGCTGGTAATGTACTGAGTTCTACCTGAAGCCAGGAAGTCTCAGAGGCTCACCCAAGGCCCTCAACATAGTCCCTGGTTATTGCTGCTGGTTATTCAGAACCAAGGGCTCTTCACTTAGCAGGTGATAAATGCCGGCAGGGCTGGGTCCTTTCCTTCAATGCAGTGGGTTCCCTCTGGCCCAGGGTGTGTCTAGTAATGTCACCTGGTTTCTAGGGCCTAGAATGGAGGCCTCATGACTCTGACCAGTGCCCTATCCTGCTGTGGCTGCGCTGGTATCCTAGACGCAAGACAATGGTCTCCCCACTTCTCCCTCTCCTATTCTCAAGTGGAAGGAAGGGGTCTCTTTTGGAGCTGTAAGCTGTGTAGCCTGGGGTAAGGGGAGGGGTGATGCCAATACTCTCTTGGCTGCCCCAGCTGGTGTCTCAGTAGGTTGCATGCACTCCCAGTCTGCTGTCTCTGGGCCTAGTTCAGCACCAGGACTCACCTAAGAGTTGCAGTCCTTATGGCCTAGACTGCTTTTGAAGTTTACTTGGAGACAAAGAGCACTGTGGCCTTCACTGGTGAGGTTTACAGGCACTCAAGTTTAGACCACTGGGATTGGTGATTCTTCTCTGGCTAGGGCTGTTTTAAATCCTCCCTCCGTTTGCACATTTCAGCTGAGTTTGATCTAGTTTGCCTTTCTGCTCTGATTTCTGGTTCTTATGAAGGTGTTTTTTTCTGTGTAGACAGCTGTTAACTTGGTGTCCTTGCAGAGGGAATGATCAGTGGAGCCTTCTATTTCGCCATCTTGATCCGCCGCCATATATCATTCTTATCAATCATTTTCTGTTTATGCACCTGAAAATACACTGGTATACAAAATTAAGATCCTTACTTTCACAGAATTTGTGTTCTAATGGGGGAAGTCAATAATCGGTGGACACCAATACATATATAAATTAAATAACACATTAAAAGGTGTTGAGGACATGCTGGGCATGGTGGCTCATACTTGTAATCCCAGCACTTTGGGGGGCCGAGGCGGGTGCATCACTTGAGATCAGGAGTTTGAGACAAGCCTGGCCAACATGGTGAAACCCTGTCTCTACTAAAAATACAAAAATTAGCTGGGTATGGTGGCAGGTGCCTGTAATTCCAGCTACTAGGGAGGCTGAGGCAGGGGAATCGCTTGAAGCTGGGAGGCAGAGGTTGCAGTGAGCTGAGATCCTGCCACTACACTCCAGCCTGGACAACAGAGTGAGACTCTGTCTCAAAAAAAAAAAATAAATAAAAATAAAAGCTGTTGAGGACAATGGAGGAAAAGGCAGATCAGAGAAAGAACATTTACAAAAGCCAGAGGGAGTGTGAAGCAATTTTAAATGAGGTCAGATTTTTGGATAATTTCTATTGCTATGTTTTTAAGTTAACCAATGTTTCTTTTTGCAATGTCTGATCTGTTACATTTTTATTTCAGATATTATATTGTTATCTCTAGAAGTTCTATTTAGATCTCCTTTTTATCTTTCAATTCTCTCCTCATTTTGTTCATATTTTGCTTTATATCCTAGAGCATATTTATAATAGTTGTTTTAAGGTTCTTGTGTGATAGTTATATCATTTCTGTTATTTCTGTGTCTGATATTATTTATCTATTTTTTAAAACTTTATGGGTATAGGTCATATTTTTTCATTTCTTTGAATGCCTGGTGATTATTTTGAATTTTACATTGTTGAGCACTGGATGTTGTTATATTCCTTTTAAGAGCATTGAGTTGTGTTCTGGAATGCAGTTGAGTTTTTACAGATCACTTTGATCCATTTGAGACTTTCCTTTAGGGTATATCCAGAGTAACATCTAGTTTAGAGTTAATTTGTTTTTACTACTAAGATGTGGCTTTTCTGAGGATTTTATCCAATGTCCTGTGTATTTTGGGGTCTCTCCACACTGGCTGATGGAAACACAGGGTAGTCTCAGCCCTGTGTGAGCTCCAGGAATTACTCAGCTATTGCCTATCAGTGTTTTTTTCTTCAACTCCAAGTAGTTTCTTCCAGCTCATATCCAAATCATACTTAGGAGAAGACTGGGGGGGATCCTCTGCAGATTTCCAAAGTGCTCTCCCCACTCTCTGTATCTCCCTCTTCTTCATTACTCTGTCCCACAAATTCTAACCACCTCAACATCCTTAAATTCCAATCCATTCCCCCTTACCTCAGGTAGAATTCTAGGTTCTGATTGGTTTTCCCTCCACGTGCTGTGACCTGGAAATGACCTCCAGGCAGTATCTCTTAGGAAGCCCAGTTGTGTGGCATCTGTTGTACAATGCCTGAAAATGATTCTTTCATGTGTTTTGTCTGGTTTTCAACTTGTTCACAGAAAAAAGCAATTTGCACAGCAGTTAATTCTTCACAGACAGAAGCAGAAGTTCTACCAACTGCAAAACAACCAAAACAACTTGTTAAAAGACAGTATTTGTATGACTGGTCATAAATTACGTATAGAAGAATAGAGATTTTGTGAGAAAGATATGGGCCTGTACAGAGGGGTGAACTTGCAAATGACCATCTTGCTTGGGGATAGTGTCTGTTTTCCTGATCCTAATCACTGGGAAGGATTCTGTAATCTCTGTCAAATAAATTGCAAACACTACCACACATGGCCTTGGGTCTACTACTGTCTATGACATAAACAGTTTCTCCCTAGAGACTTAGTTGTGAGGGTACAGGGGGAAGGTAGCTTTTGGAGGGGCCTGGAAGACCCTTCCCTTTGTGCCTTCGATTCTGTATATATCTTGTGGTCAGAAGTCTTACCATTACCCTCTCTGATAACTCCCCACCCACTTTCCCAATCACTAAACACTTTTTGAAACCATTCAACTCTTTCCTTTCAATGATTGAGCCCTTCATTGTTTCATCAGCTCCTCTTGTGTGAATCTCTCTGAATGTGTGCCAAGTTTGCAGTTTAATGCCTGTCCCATGTAGGAGCCCAATATCACGGTATATAAAGTTTCTACACTGGATATCCATGGACTGAAGAGGGGCCTAGCATTCAGGGTTCCAAGCCAGTGAGTTTAGCTTATCCAAGGGTACCTCTAGAATGTGCTCAGAAATTTATTCCAAGTCAGAGTTGCATCCCCCAGGACTTTAGGCTCAGATGGACAACCCCATCATATTTACAGAATCCCTCAAAGATAATTTAAGTTTAAGATTGTCAGCCCACCTGGGGTGCACAGTGTTGACCAGGGTTTCTTAACCTTAGCACTGTTGACATTTGGGGCCAGATAATTCTTTGTTGTTCAGACCATCCTGTGAATTATAGTATGTTTAGCAGCATCCTTGGCATCTACCTACTAGATGTGAATAGCATCCTTCTCTTAATTTTGACAACCACAGATGTCTCCAGAATTGCCAAATGTCCCCTAAAGGTGCAAAATTGCATAGTTGAGAACTACTGGTAAAGAGGCACTATGGCATGCCAAGCTCTAGGGAGCCCACAGAAGTGCACCTCTGGGAACTAAAGCTGAAGAAACCCAAGAGGCCCCTTGGTATCTTCTTGGAAGAAGTTAGTCCAGAGTGTCTGCACCATGTGGAGTGTATACTGGGATGACATTGACCTTGGAATGTAAACTCCTGGGATTCTTGCCTCTGCAGATTTGGAGCAGGGTTTTCTTCTTCTCTGCTTTTCAGTTTACTTATTTGAAAATGAGGAATGGTGTTTACATCACAAAACACTGTAGTGAGGACAAAATGAGGTTTTATGTATATATACACCCATACATATACATATACACTTCTTCCAAATGATATAATAATATATAAACATTGAATGAATAATGGTTCAAATATAAGTGTACTTATTTGCCACTATGATTAAAAGGGCAATATAGGAAAAATACATTTTCTTCTAATCCATCATGTTGTAATAATCCTCCCTGTGGTTGCAGTATGGTTCTGTGCTAGAAGGCACAATAGGAAATCTCTAACTTTAAAAAAAAAGAAAAGAAAAAATATCTTTCTAGCAATTAAAATCTCAACTAAATTAGAATGCAAATAGGTTTTTATATTTGCTTCTTAATTTTGCATTCAATAATCTGACTAGAATATGCAATAATTTAAATGCCTTGATGGGAGATAGTGGCTTTTAGTTCTCTTGGGATTTCATTGTAATAAACCTGGTAAATAATTCAGGAACATATGAGAGGCCAATGAATGGTCAGCACCTGGTGCTATATTATTTGTGCCTAAGCACACAGACTCCAAAGATGGCACTCTCCACCTGTCACTGTTGTTCTGGCTTAAACATGGGCCCTGTGTTCAGTGGCTATTGAGATAATAGTAATGGATATTTTTGCCTTGTCCAATTTTCCTCCACAATCAAAGAAAACTGTGCTAAGCTGTTTAAAAAATACAAAGCAGAAGTGGCAGCCTCTTTTAGATTACCACTGGTAAAATTTCAAATCTATTTTCTCTATTAAGGGATTGATTGTTTTAAAGAATTAGGGATATGGCTATCTTTTCTACTGGTGCTAATTTGAGCCTTTTTGCCTTTCTGTCTTTGTTCCACAAGGCTGAGCTTCTCTTTAGATCACATTATTCATATTGCAAGGATCTTCTGAGAGAAATAACACCATCCTCTGGCCAGCCACTCACTCTGCAGGAGTTCCTAGAGCTCCCCAGTTTCTTTCCCTATTGCCTGAGTAGTCTATCTCACGCCTGTTAGTCTCACAGTTTAAATACAAACACACAAAGACTCTTGCAGGCAGCTTGGGTACCTTTCTTTGACCCCAGCCGACTGGACATAGAGAACAAGAGCTAGAGAGAACAAGAGCTAGAGTGACCGACAGATCATGTGTGGAGACAGCATGGGGCACCTGAGCCCAGCACCATCCAGGATCAGACAGAACTTAAGCCATGAGCTGCCTAGAAAGATCTTGGGAGGGCACTGGGTTTCCCAGTATGGAAAAAAGAAAAATGTGGCTCACAAGTCTAAGCTAAGGTCTTTACAGTACTGGGCCATAAACAGGATCTGAAAAGAAACTGCAGAAAATGTTAGATATGCTTTATCTTTGTTTTAAAAATATTATTTACTATAATGGCTTAAAATATGTTGATTTAAATATATGATATTTGATACCTTTGTAATATATATAATAAAGTGTATAATAAAATATAACTATATAATTAAAATAGATGATATTTTAAAACCTCTCTAATAAACCATTTACGTGTGTGTGTGTGTGTGTGTGTGTGTGTGTGTGTGTGTGTGTGTGTATACATGCCTTTGTTTAACAGGTTTAATTGCTTTCCTTTCTTCAGGAACCAGAGTGAGGGTACTCGAACAGTGACTGCCATCTGGTGGTTAACCAGAATCATCACCTTGTGTAGCCTGATGGTTACTAAGATGTCCACTCTTGACTCACATGGCATGCACTCGCAGCAGGGGACCAGTTGAAGGATGTCTGACTTTGGAGGGTCACCAGTTGAAGGATGTCTGATGAAGGAGCCTAGCGAAATAACCCTTTGCTTCTACCTGAATGGGTTGTTCACTCTGGATTCTGAGCCTGCAGCCAGCTCCAAAATGGGGCCTCTGAAGAAAAGATTTGAGTTGCTCTTGTGTCTTAGTCAAAGATCTACATCCCTACCAGTGGGTAACCAAGACTGTGAATAAGCACACACCAACAGGGGCATGTGGTGACATGGAGCCTGAAATAAACTGCTCTGAATTGTGTGACAGTTTTCCTGGCCAGGAGCTGGATCGGAGACCCCTTCATGATCTCTGCAAGACAACAATTGTAAGTGAGCAGCCACAGGATGCCAGGGCTGCTCAGATGTATGTGGTGGTGGTGGTGTTGGGGAGGAGGAGGTGGAGGGAAAGGGGGATGAGGAAGGGGAGGAGTGGGAGGAGAAACTGCTCATGCAGGATACATATTTCCCAGCACTTGGTGACGATGGGGCAGTTTGTTTTTGACCTATAGAAGATCCTTCATTCCTAACAGCTCCTCCTTATTCTGTCCTCAGACATCTTCCCACCACAGCAGTAAGACCATCTCTTCATTATCTCCTGTCCTCTTGGGTATTGTTTGGACTTTTCTCAGCTGTGGACTTCTGCTGATACTTTTCTTTCTTGCCTTTACAATTCACTGCAGGAAGAACAGGTAAGCAGCCCAGTTTCTCATCACACATAGCTCAATCATGAAATCCCAAATGTTAGTATCTTTTGGCAGCACAAGCCACTATCTGGTCTCCCACTACAGGATTAAACCACATGAGACATTCCCTCTGAAATAGTCTACCTGTTGAGAAGGGGAAAGATCTAGGTCGGTATTGTGCTAACTACTGCAAGGGTATCCAAAGAAGAGAATGAAGAGTCTCTCTCTATAATGGAGGTACAATCCTTCTGAGAAGATGAGGTATCTGTATTTAAAATGAAGACCATGTAGAGGATTCCAAAACAACACAAAAACTTGAGGACAGCACAGCAGAACCAGTCTGGGTGAGTTAGGGTTTCTGCAAAAGCAGTGAAGCACTGCTACCTGGCTATTTGCTAGATAATTCTGGCTGACTAGAAAGTCATCAGCTTATCAGGGTAAGTATGGCTCCCAGGATTCGCAAAAGAAGCAAAATGGTGACTTTTTTCTGAAGGGACTTATAGCACCTTGCCTTGGATGCAATTTCATCCTTCCTCAGGGCCCATCCCATCTCTCCCACCCCCACACTGTACCCTCATCCTACCACAGCCGTCCCAGGGTGCCTCATGAGAAGCCCTGCTCCAGCCCTCTCCTTAGCCCACAGCTGACTTCTAGATGGAGCCCACAATCAGAAATTAACAACTTCCTCAAACCAGCCAAACTCGTCCAGCCCCACTCCAGCCTTACCCTGTGTGGTGACCAAGCATGTCGTGCTCCATTGCCTGTGGATTTGACACTCAGATGAGAATTGGTCAGTTGCATTTTGGGATGCTGTTTTGCCATGTTAGGCATGGAGGACGTGGAATTGTTAAGCAGCAGTGATTGGTTGTTGGGTCAGCCTCAGCATGGTGGTGATACGTGGCACTCCAACTAGAGTATACCCCAGAGACTGCCTCAGCCACTTTTCATTCTGTTCCTCAAGCACACTACGCTGACTCCCATCTCAAGGCTTTTGTACTTACTGTTCCTGTACTGTTCCCTCTGCCTGGAAGTCCTCCTCAGATATTCCCATGACTAGTTCCTTCTCATCTTATAGGTCTTGGCTCCAGTGTCACCTCTTCAGAGACACCTTCCCTGATCATCCTATCTAAAGTAGTATCCCTACCCATGATCACCCCCTCATCTCATTCCATATCCTATCAGCCTGTTTTATGTTCCTTATAGCAAGCATAGTCTGCTATTACCATATTTGTTGATTTACCTGTTGATTGTCTGTATCCCCTACCAGAATGGAATTCTGTGAACACAGGGACTTTGCCTGTCCTCTTGTGCCCACCACTGTGTCTCCAGCATTTAGAACAGACTCTGGGATATAATAGGTGCTCAGTAAATATGCATCCAGTGATCCTGGGAGGAAAGAGATTTAAATCCCAACGGTGGCTGCTGCCAACAAAGTGACTGGGAAAATCATGCATTTCAAGGTTAGAGAACTATGGAGTACAGTCTTTTCAGCTGTAACATGTTTCTATAATGCAAAGTAATACTCAATTGGTATTACCCAGTTGGTAATAAGAAAATTATGTCATTGATTCATATGTTACTTTTCCCCCAGCAAATCAATAATTTAAACATTCAGGGGCAAGCTTTCTCACAGCTAGTAAAGGAAGCTTTAAGCTTGGCAGTTCCTTCCCTTGGTGCAAGTAGTGTCTGGCTTAATGGCTTAAGAACTTGTGTCTTCCCTACAAGATGAGGCTGTAGGAGTAGATGAAGAAGTGGAGAAGACATTTGCCTTATGTTTAAAAACTTCAGTTGATTGTTAAAGAAAGCACAGATCCAGAGCAGATTTTTAATTTTTTGACAATGTTATCTACTGGAGATGAATGCCCCTGAGGACCTGTGTCTTGAGATTTAAGACTGTAGAAGTTGACTTTGATCCTGGGTACAAATGCTAGTGGACATTTACTGGGTGGTAGTGTTTTAGTTGGAATAATTAATATTTTATTAATACTCTTGTTACAAAGTTAACTGTTTTGAGTGTTATGACCCCATCCTATTTTCCCCACAGTCTATTATTTTTACATATAATTTTGCAGAATACAAGGTTTATCAAGTATTTATATATCCTGTTAAAACAGGAACACCTGTAAACAGCATTATACTAGAAACCCTTATATTTCTTTCACTCTATTAAATATTTTGCTGCCTGTTTTGTTTGCAGTGGGAGCATGACTTGGCATAAAGAATAAAATATTAAGAGGTATTGTGAATAAAAACACATTTTACAATTAAGTGGCTTACAAGGTCAGACAAGGAAAGATAAAATAACCCAGTTTCAAAAGTGTTTTATTGAACAATACATTTGTTAAAAGATGCAGCATCACAATCAGATGCTTTATTTCGTTACAATTCTGTGGTCTCTAAATTTGGGACTGTGTGTGTGAGTATTCATGTGTGTGTATATGCAAGAAAGGAGAGGAAGAAAAATATTTTAACACAATAAAAATAATACAAAAATGTTTAAATCCAGTTGCAGATATTGAATTTTTATAAAAATTTCAAAAACCAGTAAAGATAAAGAAAACTTGAACACTATCAACCAACTTGACCCAATTGACATTTATATTACCTTTCACCCAACAACAGCAGAATACATATTCTTTTGAAGTACACATGGAACATTTACCAAGATATATCATATTCTGGGCCATAGAAAAAGTCTCATTAAATTTAAAAGGGTTCAAGCCGGGTGCAGTGGCTCATGCCTGTGATCCCAGCACTTTGGGAAGCTGAGGCGGATAGATCACCAGAGGTCAGCAGTTTGAGACCAGCCTGGCCAACATGGTGAAAACCCATCTCTACTAAAAATACAAAAATTAGATGGGTGTGGTGGCATGCACCTGTAGTCCCAGCTACTTGGGAGGCTGAGGCAGGAGAACCCGGGAGGCAGAGGTTGCAGTGAGCTGAGATCATGCCACTGCACTCCAGCCTGGGTAACAGAGCAAGACTCTGTCTCAAAAAAAAAAAAAATTAAAGGATTCAAGTCATATAAACTATGTTTTCTGACAATGAAATTAAAATGGAAATCAATAACAGAAAGATCTCTGGAAAATCCTGAAATATTTAGAAACTACATAGAACACTTTAATCCATGGTCAAAAAAGAAATCAAAAGGAAAACTAGAAAATATTGACCAGAATTAAAATGAAAATACAACCTAGATTTGTTGGATGCCACTAAAGCAGTATTAGGGGGAAATCTAGAGAACTAAACCCCATATTAGAAAAGAAGAAATGTCTCAAATCCATGACCTCATCTTCCACCTTACAAACAGAAAAAAAGAGCAAATGAGACCCAAAGTAAGTAGAAGAAAGGAAATAATAAAGATCAGGTTAGAAAATAAAATAGGAAACAGAAAACAATAGGAAAAAAAAGTCAGTAAAGCCAAAAGCTATGAAGATAAGTAAAACTGATCAACCTCTAGCCAAAGTGATCAGAAAAAAAAGAAATAAGATACAATTACCCAAATAAGGAATGGGAGAGGTGACATCACTATAGATTCTGTAGATATGACGGATAAGGTAATGTTGTAAACAACTATGGTAGATAGCCTCTAAGATGTTCTTCGATGATTCCCACCTCCTTGTAGTCACACTCCTATGAAGTCCTCTCTCCTTGAGTATGAGGTGAACTTACTAACTTGCTTTTTAGTGAGATGTCGCTTTTGGCATTAGTTCACAAAAACTGTGGCTTCCACCTTAGAGCTCTCTCATTGTCCCACTAACTCCCACTCTGTGGGAGGCCAGCTGTTGTGTTATAAGCTGTCCTGTAAAGAGGCCCCCATTGGCAAGGAACTGATGTTTCCAGCCTGCAGCCAGCAAGTACCTGGGGCTTGCTAACAGCCATGTCAGTGAACTTTGAAACAGGTGACACCTTGACTGTATTGTTGTGACACCTTGACTGTATTCTTATGTGAAAACCTGAGCCACAGGCACCCAACTAAGCTGTGACTTAGAAATATTACCAGTTCAACTTCAAACTCTTCTAAAAAAACTGAAAATAAAGAAGTAATTCCCAACTCATTCTATGAGGGCAGTATTACCCTGATTTCAAAATTGAATAGGAAAAAGAAGAAGGAGAAGGAGAAGAAGGAGAAGGAGAAGGAAGAGGAGGAGGAGAAGGAGAAGGAGGAGGAGGAGGAGGAGGAGAAGAAGGAGAAGGAGAAGAAGAAGAAGAAGAGGAAGAGGAAGAGGAGGAAGAAGAAGAAGAAGAAGGGAGGAGGAAAGCTATAGGCTAATATGTCCTATAAACATAGATTCAAAATTTTAAACAAAATTTTAACAAATTGAGTATCACCAAATGTTAAAAAGAGAATACATCATTGTGACAACGTGAGGTTTATCCCTGGAATGTAAGCTTTGTTTAATATCTAAAGATTGATCAATAACTCATGACATTTACCAACTAAAAAAGAAAACTATATGATCATCTCAGTAGATACAGAAAAATTTTTGACAAACTTCAACATCAATTTCTGATAAAGTCTCAACAAACAGCATAGAACAGAACTTCCTCCCCATTGCGCAGCACAGCTGCTGTGGCAGATTGTGGCCAGACTGCTTCTTTAAGTGGGACCCCGATCCATCCCCCCTCACTGGGCAGGACCTCCTTGTGAGAATTTCAGCAACTCCAGCCAGGGTTTTATGGACAGAACTCTGATCTCTCTGGGACAGAGCCCCTCAGGGGAAGGGTGGCCACAGTCTCTGTGGTTCAGCCAACTTAGCCTTTCCTGCCTGCTGGCTCTGGAGAGTCTGGGCAGTCTGGACAAAAGGGGATCCCCCCAGTGCAGTGCACCCAGTCCCCCAAGGGGCAGCCAGACTGCTTCTTGAGGCAGGTCCCTGATCCCATTCCTCCTGACTGGGTGAGAACTCCCAAAGGGATCCCCAGACACCTCTTACAGGAGTGTTTGGGCCAGCGTCAGTTTGGAGCAGGCAGCCATCTTTGCTGTTTTGCACCCTTTGCTGGTGATAGTGATACCTCCAGGTGCAGAAGGGACCCAGGTGATTAGGGTCTGGGGTGGACCACTAGCAAACCACAGCAGCCCTGCAGAAGAGGAGCCTGACTGTTAAAAGAAAAACAAAGCAGCAACAACAACATAAACAAAAAAGATCCCCAAAAAAACCCATTGAAAGGTCAGCAACCTCAAAGACTGAAGGTAGATAAGCCCACAAAGATAAGAAAGAATCAATGCAAAAATGCTGAAAACTCAAAAAGCCAGAGTGCCTCTTCTCCAAATGATTGTAATACCTCTCCAGCAAGGGCACAGAACTGGGCTGAGACTGAGATGGCTGAATTGACAGAAGTAGCCTTCAGAATGAGGGTAATAACGAACTTTGCTGAGCTAAAGGAACATGTTCTAACCCAATGCAAAGAAGCTAAGAATCATGATAAAACATTACAGGAGCTGATAACCAGAATAGCCAGTTTAGAGAGGAACATAAAACACCTAATGGAGCTGAGAATCACAACGTGAGAACGTCACAATCCAATCACTAGTGTCTATAGCTGAGTAGACCAAGCAGCAGAAAGAATCTCAGAGCTTGAAAACTGTCTTTCTGAAATAAGACAGGCAGACAAGAATAGAGAAAAAAGAATGAAAACAAACAAAACCTCCAAGAAATATGGGATTACGTAAAAAGACCAAACCTACAACTGATTGGAGTACCTGAAAGAGATGGGGAGAATGGAACCAAATTGGAAAACATACTTCATAATGTCATCCAGGAGAACCTCGCCAATCTAGCAAGACAGGCCAACATTCAAATTCAGGAAATGTGGAGAACCCCAGTAAGATACTCCACAAGAAGATCAACCCCAAAACACATAATCATCAGATTACCCAAGGTCAAAATGAAAGAAAAAATGTTAAGGGCAGCCAGAGAGAAAGGCCAGGTCATCTACAAAGGGAAGCCCATCAGACTAACAGTGGACCTCTCAGCAGAAATCCTAGAAGCCAAAGAAACTGGAGGCCAATATTCAACAATTTTTTTATTTTTTGTTTTTTTGAGACTGAGTCTCGCTCTGTCACCCAGGCTGGAGTGCAGTGGCGCGATCTCAGCTCACTGCAAGCTCCGCCTCCCGGGTTCACGCCATTCTCCTGCCTCAGCCTCCCGAATAGCTGGGACTACAGGCGCCCGCCACCGCGCCCAGCTAATTTTTTGTATTTTTAGTAGAGACGGGGTTTCACTGTGTTAGCTAGGATGGTCTCGATCTCCTGACCTCGTGATCTGCCCACCTCGGCCTCCCAAAGTGCTGGGATTACAGGCGTGAGCCACTGCGCCCGGCCTCAACATTCTTAAAGAAAAGAATTTCCAACCCAGAATTTCATATCAGGCCAAATTAAGCTTCATAAGTGAAGAAGAAATAAGATCCTTTTCAGACAAGCAAATGCTGAGGGAATTGTTACAACCAGGACTGCCCTGCAAGTGCTCCTGCAGGAAGCACTAAATATGGAAAGAAAAAACTTACCAGCCACCACAAAAACACACTGAAGTACACAGACCAGTGACACTATGAAGGAACCACATAAGCAAGTTGGCAAAATAAACAGCTAGCGTCATGATGACAGGATCAAATTCACACATAACAACACTAACCTTAAATGTAAATGGGCTAAATGCCCCCATTAAAAGACAGAGAATGGCAAGCTGGCCAAAGAGCAAAGACCCGTCAGCATCAGCAAACACCCAGATGCTGTCTTCCAGAGACCCATCTCAAGTGCAGAGACACACATAGGTTCAAAATAAAGGAATGGAGGAAAATTTACCAAGCAAACGGAAAACAGAAAAAAGCAAGGGTTGCAGTCCTAGTTTCTGACAAAACAGACTTTAAACCAACAAAGATAAAATAGACAAGGGCATTCCATAATGGTAAAAGGCTCAATTCAACAAGTAGCGCTAAGTATCCTAAATACATATGCACCTAATATGGGAACAACCAGACTCATAAAGCAAGTTCTTAGAGCCCTACAAAGAGACTTAGACTCCCACACAATAATAGTGAAAGACTTTAACACTCCACTGACAATATTAGACAGATCATTGAGACAGAAAATTAACAAAGATATTCAGGACCTGAACTAAACTCTAGATTGAATGGACCTGATAGTTATCTACAGAACTCTCCACCCAAAAACAACAGAATATACATTCTTTTCATAGCCACATGGCACTCTAAAATTGATCATATAATCAGAAGTAAAACACTCCTCAGCAAATGCAAAAGAACTGAAATCATAACAAACAGTCTCTCCAACCACAGCACAATCAAATTAGAACTCAAGAATAAGAAATTCACTCAAAACCATACAACTACATGGAAATGAACAACCTGCTCCTGAATGACTCCTGGGTGAATAATGAAATTAAGGCAGAAATCAAGAAGTTCCTTGAAACTAGTGACAACAAAGAGACAGTGTACCAGAATCTCTGGGACACAGCGAAAGCTGTGTTGAGAGAAATTTATAGCACTAAATGCCCACATCAAAAAGCTAGAAAGATCTCAAATCAACAACCTAACATCACAACTAAAAAAACTAGACAACCAAGAGCAAACAAATCCCAAAGCTAGCAGAAGACAAGAAATAACCAAGATTGGAGTGGAACTGAAGGAGATAGAGACACAAAAAAAAATTTCAAAAAACCAACAAATCCAGGAGCTGATTTTTTTTGAAAAAAAAAAAGTTAATAAAATAGACTGTTACCTAAACTAATAAAGAAGAAAGAGAAGAATCAAATAGACACAATGACAAATGATAGGGGGGATATCACCACTGACCTCACAGATACAAACAACCATCAGAGAATGCTATAAACACCTCTATGCACATAAACTAGAAAATCTAGAAGGAATGGGTAAATTCCTGGGCACAAACACTTGCCCAAGACTGAACCAGGAAGAAATTGAATCCCTGAATAGACCAATAATGAGTTCTGAAATTCAGGCAGTAACAAATAGCCTAGCAACCAAAAAAAGCCCAGGAACAGACGAATTTACAGCTAAATTCTACCAGAGGTACAAAGAGGAGCTGGTACCATTTCTTCTGACACTATTTCAAACAATTGAAAAGGAGGGACTCCTCCCTAACTCATTCTATGAGACCAACATCATCCTGATACCAAAACCTGGCAGAGACACAATAAAAAAACAAAACCTCGGACAAATATCCCTGATGAACATCAATACAAAAATCCTCAATAAAATACTGGCAAACCAAATCCAGCAGCACATCAAAAAGCTTATCCACCACGATCAAGTTGACTTCATCCCTGAGATTCAAGGTTGGTTCAACATATGCAAATCAATAAACGTAACTCATCACATAAACCACATGATTATCTCGATAGACACAGAAAAGGCCTTTGATAAAGTTCAACATCTCTTCAATAAACTCTCAATAAACTAAGTATTGAGGAATATACCTAAAAATAACAAGAACCATCTATGACAAACCCACAGCCAGTATCATACTAAGTAGGCAAAAGCTGGAAGCATTCCCCCTGAAAACTGGCACAAGACAAGGATGGCGTCTCTCACCACTTTTATTCAACCTAGTATTGGAAGTTCTGGCCAGGGCAATCAGGCAAGAGAAAGAAATAAAGTGTATCTAAATAGGAAGAGAAGAAGTCAAACTGTCTTTGTTTGCAGATGACATGATCCTATGTCTAGAAAACCCCATCGTCTCAGCCCAAAACCTTCTTAAGCTGATAAGCAACTTCAGCAAAGTCTCAGGATACAAAATCAATGTGCAAAAATTGCTAACATTCCTATAAACCAACAACAGGCAAGCAGAGAGCCAAATCATGAATGAACTCCCATTCACAGTTGCTACAAAGAATAAAATACCTAGGAATACAGCTAACAAGGGAAGTGCAGGGCCTCTTCAAGGAGAACTGCAAACCACTGCTCAAGGAAATCAGAGAGGACACAAGCAAATGGAAAAACATTTCATGCTCATGGATAGGTAGAATCAATATTGTGAAAATGGCCATATGGCCCAAAGAAATTTATAGATTGAATGCTATTCCTATTAAACTACCATTGACATTCTTCACAGAATTAGAAAAAACTATTATAAAATTCATATGGAACCAAAAAACAGCCCCAATAGCCCCAATATCTTTTTGCTTAGGATTCTAAGCAAAAAGAATAAAGCTGGAGGCATCATGCTACCTGACATCAGACTGTAGTACAAGACTACGGTAAACAAAACCTCATGGTACTGGTACAAAAACAGATACATAGACCAATGGAACAGAATAGAGAACTCAGAAATAAGACCACACACCTACAAACATCTGATATTCAACAAATCTGACAAAAATGAGCAATGGGGAAAGGACTCCCTATTTAATAAATGGTGCTGCAAAAACTGGCTAGCCATATGTAGAAAATTGAAAGTGGACCCCTTCCTTACACCGTATACAAAAATTAACTCAAGATGGATTAAAGACTTAAATGTAAAACCCAAAACTGTAAAATCCCTAGACGAAAATCTAGGCAATACCATTCAGGACATAGACATTTCATGACGAAAATGCCAAAAGCAATTGCAACAAAACCAAAAATTGGCAAATGGGGTCTAATTAAAGAGCTTCTGCACAGCAAAAGAAACTGTCATCAGAGTGAACAGACAACCTGCAGAATGGGAGAAAATTTTTGCAATCTATCCATCTGACAAAGGTATAATATCCAGAATCTACAAGGAACTTCAACAAATTTACAAGAAAAAAATAACCCCATTAAAAAGTGGGCAAAGGGCATGAACAGTCACTTCTCAAAAGAAGACATACATGCAGCCAGCAAACATGAAAAAAAGCTCAACATCACAGATCATAAGAGAAATGCAAATCAAAACCACAATAAGAGGTGGGTGGGTCACTTGAGGTCAGGAGTTCAAGACTAGATCTAGAATCAGAAATACCATTTGACCCAGCAGTCTTATTACGGGGTATATACCCAGGAATATAAATCATTCTATTATAAAGATACATGCATGCATAACTTCACTGCAGGACTATTCACAATAACAGAGACATGGAATGAACCCAAATGCCCATCAATGATAGACTGGATAAAGAAAATGTGGTACATATATACCGTGGAATACTATGCAGCCATAAAAAGGAATAAGATCATGTCCTTTGCAGGGACCTGGATGGAGCAAACTAATGCAGGAACAGAAAACCAAACACTGCATGTTCTCACTTATAAGTGGGAGCTGAACTATGAGAACACATAGACACATATGGGGAGAACAACACACACTGGGGCCTGTTGGGGAAGGTTGGGGGAGGGAGAGCATAAGGAAGAACAACTAATGGATGCTGGGCTTAATACCTAGGTGATGGGTTGATCTGTGCAGCAAACCACCTGGCACATGTTTACCTATGTAACAAACCTGCACAGGTACCCTGGAACTTAAAAGTTAAAAAAATTTTAAAAAGAAGAGAACTTCCTCAACCTGATAATGTGCATCTATAAAAAAACCTATACCTAACATCATTTTTAATGGTAAAAGACCGAATCCTTTCCCATTAGGATCAGAAAGAAGACAAGATATCCACTCTCACGACTTCTATTCAACACTGGAGGTTTTAGCCAGTGCAATAAGGTAAGAAAAATAAACAAAAGTCACCTACTTTTTAAAAAAAGTAAGAATGAAAATATTTTTACCCTCAGATGACCTGATCACCTATGTAGAAAATCCAGTGAAACATTTAAAAGGAAGAAACAGGGCAGGCATGGTAGCTCACCCACCCAAAGTGTAATCCCACCACTTTGGGAAGCTGAGACAGAAGGATCACTTGAGGTCAGGAGTTCAAAACCAGCCTGGGCACAGAGTGAGACCTTGTCTCTATAAAAAATTAAAAAATTAGCTGGGCATGGTGGTGCATAGCTTTAGACCCAAACACTTAGAAGGCTGAGGTGGGAGGATTGCTTGAATCCAGGAGCTTGAGGCTACAGTGAGCTAAGATTGTGCCACTGCACTCCAAACTGGGTGACAGAGCCAGACCCTATCTCTAAACAAAACAAAACTACTAGAACTAATACATGAGTTTAGCAAGGTTGCAGGATACAAGATCAATGTACAACACTCAACTGTATTTCCATATACTAACAACAAATAATTGAAAAAGTGAAATTAAAAGCAATACCATTTACAACAGCATCAAATAGATGAAATATTTAGGGATAACCTAACAAACAATGTGAAATGCCTGTACACTGAAAACTTTAAAACATTGCTAAGAGAATTTTTAAAAATCTAAATAAATGGAGATACATTGTGTTGCTGGGTTGGAAGACTCAATATTGTTTAAATGTCAGTTCTTCCCTAGTTGATTTATAGACTTAATCCAATAACAGTCACATTTCCTTTTTTTGTATAAATTGACAAACTGATTATAAAATTCATGTGAAAATATGAAGGACCTAGAATAGACAAAACAACTTTTAAAAAGAATGAAGTTGGAAGACTAGGACCACCTGATTTCAAGACATATTACAAAACTAACAGTAATGCAGACAGTTTGGTACTGGGCAAGGATAGACATATTCATCAACAGAACAGAA
Source organism: Homo sapiens (assembly GCF_000001405.40). Classification (NCBI taxonomy): domain Eukaryota; kingdom Metazoa; phylum Chordata; class Mammalia; order Primates; family Hominidae; genus Homo; species Homo sapiens. The sequence goes on along the minus strand of NC_000003.12, from coordinate 120,232,035 downwards.
TAGACTACAGAAATAAATCCACATGTATATGGTCAACTGATTTTCAACAAAGGTACAAAGGCAATTCAGTGGAGAAGGGACAGTCTTTTCAGCAAATACTGCTGGAACAAATGTATATCCATATGCAAAAATGAACTTTGATCTAGCTACATGTTACACCATATTAAGAAATTAACTCAAAATGGATCACAGACCTATTTATAAAACCTAAACCTGTAAAGTTTATAAAAGAAAACATATAAGAAAAATTTTGTGACCTTGGAATAAGCAAATATTTCTTAGGTACAATACCAAAAGCATGGTCCATAAAAGAAAACACTGATGAATTAGACTTTTTAATCATTAAGAACATCTTCTCTTTCAAAGAGAATCTTAAGAGAATGAGAAAAAGCCACAGACTAGAATAAAATATTTGAAATCATATATCTGGCTGGGTGTGGTGGCTCACGCCTGTAATCCCAGCACTTTAGGAGGTTGAGGTGGGTGGATCACCTGAGGTCAGGAGTTCAAGACCAGCCTGGCCAACATGGTGAAACCCCGTCTCTACTAAAAATACAAAAAAAAATGAGCCATGCGTGGTGGAGGCACCTGTAATCGTAGCTACTCAGGAGGCTGAGGCAGGAGAATTGCTTGAACTCAGGAAGCAGAGGTTGCAGTGAGCCAAGATTGCTCCATTGCACTCCAGCCTGGGTGACAACAGTGAAACTCCATCTCAAAAAAAAAAGAAAAAAAAAAACTCTAAAAACGCAATACAGTGGTGCTCCCTTATCTGTGGTTTTGCTTTCCATGGTTTCAGTTACCTGTGGTCAACCATGGCCTGAAAATATTAAATGGAATATTCCAGAAATAACCAATTCATAGGTTTTAAATTGTACACCTTTCTGAGGAGCATGGTGAAATCTCATGCTGTTCCACTCTGGCCCACCCAGGACACAAATACTCCTTTTGTCCAACATATCCATGCCATATACACTACCTGCCTGTTAGTCTCTTAGTAGCCATCTTGATTATCAGATTGCCTGTCATGGTATTGAAGTGCTTTGTGTTCAAGTAACCCTTATTTTGCGGTGGCCCCAAAGTTCAAGAGTAATGATGCTGACATATTGTTATAATTTGGTATGGTTTGGCTCTGTGTCCCCACCCAAATCTCATCTCAAATTGTAATCCTCACATGTCAAGGGAGGGACCTGGTGGAAGGTGATTGGGTGATGGGGGCAGTTTCCCTCATGCTGTTCTCATGATAGTGAGGGAGTTCTCACAAGATCTGGTTGTTTGTTAAGTGTCTGGCCCTTTCCCCTGCACACTCTCTCTCTCCTGCCACCTTGTGAAAGTGTGTCTTGCTTCCCCTTTGCCTTTCGCCATTATTGTAAGTTTCCTGAGGCCTCCCCAGCCATGCAGAACTGTGAGTCAATTAAACCTGTTTTTCTTTATAAATTATTCAGTCTCATGTAGTACCTTTATAGCAGTGTGAGAACAGACTAATACATAATTGTTTTATTATTAGTTATGGTTGCCAATCCCTTACTGTGCCTAATTTATAAATTAAACTTTATTATAGGTATATATGTATAAGAAAAATCAGTATATATGGGGCTCAGTACTATCCATGGTTTCAGGCATCCACTGGGGGTCTTGGAATGTATCCCCCCTCAGATAAGGGGGACTATTGTAATAAGAAAACAATTCAATATTTTAAAATGGGTAAAAGATTTCAACAGATACTTCACCAAAGAAGATATATGGATGACAAATAAGCATATGAAAAGATGTCCAATACCATTACTCATTAAGGAAATGCAAATTAAAACTACATTAAAATACCACTACACACTCATTAGAATGGCTAAAATTAAAAAGACTGAGTAAATCCCATGTTGGCACACACTGCTGAGGAGAACATAATTTGGTCCAACCACTTCACTTTGGAAGGCAGTCTGGGAGATTATTTATTTATTTATTCCATTCCTGGCTGATTTTTTTTATAGAAATAGAGTTTCACTATGTTCCTCAGGTTGGTCTCAAACTCCTGGGCTGAAGCAATCTGCCTGTCTTGGCCTCTCAAAGTGCTAGCATTGCAGGCATGAGCCACCGCGCCCGGCCATGGCAGTTTCTTTAAAAGTTCAGCATATACCTATGATGTGATCTAGCTATGCCACTCTTAGGTTTTTACCCAAGAGAAATGAAACTGCATGTCCATACAAAGACTTGTACGCCAATGTTCATAGCAACTTTCTTTGTAATAGCCAAAAACTGGAAATAGCACAAATACCCATTAGCAAGTGAATGGCTAAACAAATTGTAGTATATCCATACAATAGAATCCTGCTCAGCAATTTAAAACATGAATTATTGATACTTGGAAGAACAAAGATGAATCTCAAAATAATTACACTGAATGAAAGAAGCCAGGCAAAATGACTACATGCTATGTAAATCCAATTCCACAAAGTTCTATAAAACTAAACTAATCTATTGTTAACTAATCTGTAGTGACAGAAGCAGATCAGTCGTTGCCTGTGGATGAGTAGGGTTGGCAAAGAGTCAGGAAAGGAGGATGACAAAGGGGCATGTGGAAGCTTTTTGGGGTGATGGATATGTTTATACCTTGATTATGGTATTTCACAGGTGCATACATATATCAAAACTTATCAAATCATGTACTTTAAATATGTATGTCATGCACTTTAAATTGTGTGCCAGTTATACCTTAATAAAGCTAGTAAAACTATTATACATTCTTATTTTTCTGAGCAGGTTCTCATGGAGAACAAAATACACCATACCTAGTGTTCGTTTTCTTTTTTTTAATTAATTAATTAATTGATTTTTATTAGTGTTCATTTCAAAGGACCTTGCTAGGTGTCCTAAAACCTATCTGATGACTTTGCCTGATACTGATGATTTTATTATGATTTTAAAAAATATTTTTAGTAGAGACGGGTTTTCGCCATGTTGGGCAGGCTGGTCTCGAACTCCTGACCTCAAGTGATCTTCCCACCTCAGCCTCCCAAAGTGCTGGGATTACAGGAGTGAGCCACCATGCTCAGCCAATACTAATAATTGATATGGGAGAATGTTTTGTTTTTCCTAGATTCCTCATGCAGCTTAATAAGGACCATAATAACTTAACTCTTAGAACAAAGGAGATATTTCAGGCCCAAAGGGAAGCACATCTGGTGCCTCCTCTGAAATTCACAAAATAAGGGCGTTGTTGTAAGTTCTGCATGAAGCTAAACTTGTTCAAAGTTTATAAGTTCAAAAGTAAATAAAAGGACTATCTTTTATTCTGAGACCTTATTTCAATATCACTTGTGATAATGATTATAGATCGTAGCTGTTATTTACATATTGCTACTTCTCAGGGTTAAAGGTGGCATTTCCACAGCAGTATCTGGGATTTTATTGCCTATGAAATCAAGAAGGTAGAGTAACAAGAATTGTGTAGGGTATGAGCTTTTACCTTACATGCAAGTTAACAAGTTAGCCTGGTAATGTTTGATGGATGTTAGCTAAAGACATGAGACTCTTGGGTCAGAGAAAAAACACTTGATTACTCATGGCAAAAGCAGTAATCAGAACTTAATATTGAGCTTTTACTGGTTTCCATGCCCCACGTGCCATGAGGGGAATGAAAGTCCCATAATGGATGTTTATGGATGTTTGCACACACACAGTGGGCTACCATTTAAGGAGAGGAATCCTGAGCCTGGTAAGTCCACTGCTTTTATAGTGAGTTGTAACAAGCCTGTTCTTTGTCTAGGGGAAGATGTTACCTGATCCCTCAAGGTTGCTCATTACAAACACAACCCTGAGAAATGGCCTGGATAAAGAGCAGTCAGAGCCTTGCTTCTTGGCATACCTGACAAGAATGCACAGAGCTGCTCAGGGCCCCTGGTAGGTTTGCCTCCCACACTAGGGACTGTGCATGGAGGCACCTGCCACTTCTGCCTGCATCCTGGGCTAGCGTGACAGTCAGAGACACAGACACCAGTGAATGGCTGAAATATGTTCCTGTGGTCTTCTCACTCCACTACAACTTCCTTCCCAGTTAGGGTCCCCATGCAGGCCCTTTGAGCTGCACCTGGCAGAGTTGAGTTACATACTTTCATGTACCCTGCTGAGTTTGTCTTCTTTGCCTTCAGAAATTCCAACATACTACATGAGTCATGGTTCTTGGTATTATTGTTATACCCTTCTCAGAATCTCTCTGACTCCCCAGATTTCACATCGTTTTCCATTTTTGTAAAAGGCCTCAAGGTCTCCATGCTATGGAGAAGAGTTATACTCATCTTTTCTTTATTCTTGCATTCCTGAAAGCCTTACATTAGCATCCAAGTGAGGTTTCTCTATCAATATCAACAGTAAATATTTAGTGAACTAAACACCTACTATGCTCAGCATAATGTATAAAATATGATTTAAGGGTTCCTGGGAGCTTCAAATGCATCACCTGGGTGCAAAAACATGAGGAAACCAAAAAGTACATTCTGGTGGTTTTTTTAATAGCATTTAAAAAATAATGCCTTGCTGCAGGGATAGGAGCTGTGCTGCTTTCATATCAATTCTGTTCTCTTTGTGGTTTGAGAAACTGGAGCTGAAGGGAAGGTGATTGGGAATAAAAGAAAGCAGTACTGATTTTTCTGGCTAAAAGAAAGTTTGCACACTGTCATGCACTATTAGAATTTCTGGGATCTTCTTTATAATCCCCGGTTTGATGGTTATTGGCCAAGAAGGAAGAAGGGGAGCTAGTCAGGCCTAGAATAATTACCAGCCATACAGCATAATCTGGGGCTAGTGTTGCAGGGTCAAGGACTGAATGAGGCAGAGTGACCAGGAGCAGATCCTGCAAGGCCTTGACCAAAAAGGAAGCTAAGGTTCATAGAAGGAAAATATTGTATTGATCATCAATTCTAGAGGATTGGGCATAGAGCCAAAAATAGGAGGTGTATCATGAGATCAAAAGCCATTGGTGGCCAAGCGCGATGGCTCACACCTATAATCCCAGCACTTTGGGAGGCCAAGGCGAGCAGATCACTTGAGGCCAGGAGTTCAAGACCAGCCTGGCCAACATGGCAAAACCCTGTCTCTACCAAAAATATAAAAATTAGCTGGCCATGGTGGCACATGCATGTAATCCCAGTACTCAGGAGGCTGAGGCAGGAGAATCACTTGAACCTGGGAGGCGGAGGTTGCAGTGAGCCGAGATCATGCCACTGTACTCCAACCTGAGTGACAGAGTGAGACCCTGTCTCAAAAAAAAAAAAAGCCACTGGTATGTAGGAATGGTGCAGGAAAAAAGTGCAAAGCAGAAATGAGGTGAAAATATATAGAACTATGAACAGGAATGAGGTCTTTCTTGAGTACTGGCTGCCAGATGGAGTACGAGTGGGTCAGCAGAAGTTAATGAGGTAGGTTAAAAGTTAATGCATAGGAATAGTTTCTGCACAGTCTTCTGATGCTGTCCATCCTGCAGTCAGGCCTATATCAATATCAGCCCTAGATGAAGTGGTCACACCCTCCTTTGTGCACCTACTGTTACAAATAGTCATGGCTGTCATTACTCCATCACAGCTGATGGCACTTACTAGGTTGAGAGAAGCGGGGCTCTGTCTCCCTTACCATACAGTGAGCTCCTTGAGTTTATTCATCTTTGTGTTTCCATTGTGCCTGGACTGCGCACTGTTTCCCGAATGAACAAATTAACTGGCCTAGAATATATCTATGATGATAAAGGTCAGTTCTTAGATTATTGTTTTCATTCTTTAACTGTTTAAGATAATGTCAACTCTATGTAAAAATTGTGCCCTAGGTAAGCAGTTGCTTTTTATTATTATTCTCTCTCTTTCTTGATGGTTACTCCCTCTAGGAGCCCAAAGCATGACGTCCAGAGCCCCAGATTCCCAGCCATCCTGGTTGTGACCCTTCATTCTCAACTTTCATTTCAATCTTAGTATGCCATGAAAAGCCGTCTGCTTTTGAAGCACTATCAGCCACAGAGTTCTGTACTTTTAGAAGGCCTTCTCATAGTCAGATTCTCACAAATATACCTATTGTTTCAATAAATATTTATTGAATTGGCCAGCAATGTTTCAGATACTGTTCTAGGTGCTGGGGTTACATCAAAGAACAAGGTAGGCAAAATCACTACCCTCGTGGACTTTGCTTTCCTGGAGGGGGAATAGGCAGGACATAAAATAAATTGTAAACTATTCGGGATGTTAGTGATCAGAGAAGAAAAGTAAAACAGGGACAGTGAATGGGGACTGTCAGAGTGGTAGTTGCTATTCAAGATCATTTGACCAAGGAAGGCCTCGCTGAGGAAGTAACATTTGAGAATAGACTTGAAAGGCATAAAAAAACAAGTCATTAGGTAAAAACCATTCCAGGCAGAAGGAACAAATAATGCAAAGGGCCAGGGATGGAAACATCTGTAGTGTTCAGGGGAAAGCAAGGAGGCCAGTGTGACTGGAGCAGAGTAGATTAGGCAAAGAACAGGAGTAGATAAGATCAGCAAGGTAATGGGTGCCACATCACGTAAGGTCACACAGGACAGTGTAATGACTTTGGCTTTTACTCTGTTATGGGGAGCCATTGCAGGATTGGGAGCTGTGAAATGGCACACCTTGCTTACATCTAATAGGAAATCTGCTGCTGCATTGAGAATAGACCTTTAAATTTTAAAAGAGATATCTATGGCATTACCTTAAATAAAGTCATGCTCCTTGGAGTGCCTCAATTCATGTACATTAATGGGTAAAAGTGGAATTCAAGAAACCCTGGAAATGTATGGGGGAGTCCTCTTTGTTTCTCCTCTGCTCATGTCTGGTGGGTGAGCACTAACGCCATCTCTTCCTAAGCGAGGGCTCCCTAGCAGAGCACCGTGCACATGGATTCTTCCTATGCTCTGCATTCTTTGCCACAGGGATGCCATAATTTGGCAATATGCAGTAGAGACTGCCTCAAGAGGCAGTTCCCTTCTTTATCTAAGCCAAGAGAAATTTGGTTCTGCAAGTAACAAGTAATTACTGCTGATGACATTCCTTGTACACACTTGAAGAGAGCGTGGACCGCAAAATAAAAACTGGAGCAAAAAGGGACTATCAGATAATCCAGATTAAAGATTGGAAAGGAGGAAAACACATTATTTACACATACAACACTTGATTTTATGAGTAGAGAACACAACTTATGTGTATGTACGTTGTACACTTGATTATATGTGTAGAGAATTCAAAAGTGTTCAGATAAATTATTTAGACTTAAAAAGAGACAAATAATTTTGGGAAGGTGATAGTGGCAGTAGTAGCATAGGTTTTAGATATTCCTGAATCTCCACATAAAAACAGCAACTAGATAGAAGACACAAAACTCATGGGCAACAAAATAAAATCCATTTACAAGAAAATTAGATGATGAGGTATTCTTATGATCCTCAAAATATAACCGGTTGGGGAAAGACCACCCACAGCCACAAGAGCTGTGTTATTTGTGTCTACGTAGGAGAAATAAGAGAGAGGCAATGGACATCTGACAGACCTGAGAACAGAGAACTCAAAATAGCCCAAAGGTATTCACTGGAAAGCATGGGTGGGGCAATTTGAGATCAGCAGCTGAAACTTAATAAGGGGTGAGTGCAAGGGATCCACCTCTGGAAGGTCTAAAAGGAATGCAGCAGTCTAGCTGCTGTGAAATTTCTAGACTGATCTGGTGGGGCTCCCTTCCAAGATAGGATCTCATGAAGAAGAGAAACTGTGGGGAGTATTGAGCTCAAAATTGAGCAGAATGAAGACAATACAGATGAAGAAGGAAGAGGAATATCCAAATGAAAGCATATCAGAGTCAGGAAATCTCCTTGGAAAGCAAGCCAGAGTATTTTTTAACACCATATTAATACAATATAGCAAAGGAACCATGTGAAGTTAGAAAAGCTATCTGAACCAAATGTCTTTTTAAAATCACATAAAAACTAAATTCACACCCACAAAAATCTACAGCAGGAAAATATCAAGGCCAAATCCAACACAACATTATTAACCTAAGAAAGAGAATAAGGGGAATATCTGCAGACAATGAAAGCATGCCAAAAAGATATGATTGAAAATAGATTGAGACCCTAATGTACTATTTCAGGTGCATTCAAAGACATTGAAGAAGTCATATAAGACATAGAAAAGCAACATAAATCAAATTAGGAAGCTCAGAAATGAGACAATTCAAGAAAAAATTAGAAATAAACATCTAAAAATGAAGGCTGATCTAGAAGGAACTCAACAACAAATGAATACAACATAATTCTTTAACATAAATAAAAGGTAGAAAGGAAGAAAATTTTTTAAATGGAATGAAAAAAGATTTTTAAAAAGTTTTGAAAGAAAACAACAAATATTGAAAATAGGCAAAAAAGATCAATTTATCAATAATAAGAGTCCCTGAAAAAGAAAATAAAAGCAAGGAAAGAAAACAAGTATAAAACAAACAAAACCCTCTAATTTAAGAAAACTGAAAATTTGAAACTACGTATGGAAAGAACACACTGTGTACTTGAGTATATCATAATGACTAAGTTCAGCAGAGTTGTTGGATGAAAGGTCTATGTGTAAACACCATTTTATGTAACATTTAAACAAATTTTTTAGATCATTTAAAACAGCATAAAAAATATAAAATCCTATTTGTGACGGCTTTCTAGTGTGTCAACTTGACTAGGCCAAACTACATTTCCTAGAATTCTCTTTCTTGTATGTTTTCTGACCACAAAGGAGATTCTTTCTAGATTTGGAAAGCTAAGGGAAGTTCCAGCCATCTTATAGCACACACATTGTTGCGAACCTGCTGATCCACCTACTGGGGTGAAGCAGAGCTGGACATGCAATTGCTCTACCTTCCCCTGGACCCTCCATTAACTTGTCAGGCCCCTGGGCCAGGTGTGTGTGATTAGCTCCACGACAAAGGGCCACAGCTTCTGCAGGATATACTCATTACCTAGATCAGAGGCAACAATAACTGACATGGGTTTCAGTCTCTTCACAGGGGTGTGAGCATGCTCTAATCTCTTGATTTTCCCTCCTGACTGCCTGCCTTGTAGACTTCAAGCTCTAGCATCAGATGTGGAGACAACAGCCTTACAGAGACTGCTTAAAGAGCTCCCAAAATTGCATAACTCAACTGCCTGTGACACATCCATATATCTCTTTTTGAATCCTGGCTAATACAGTAGGAAAAGATATGCATTATCTCTATATAGAAAATCATAAAATATTTTGAGAGGAATTAAATTCTATATTCATTGATCAGAAGACTTAATATTGTAAAAATATCATTTCTCCCCAGATTGATATATAGGTTCAATGCAATAGAAATTCCAACAACTTGCATATGTGTGTGTGAAACTTGACAAGCTAAATCTCAAATTTATACGGAAATTCAAAGGGCTAAAAATAGGCTGGAAAGAAAAGGACAAGCTGGGCGCGGTGGCTCACGCCTGTAATCCCAGCACTTTTGGAGGCCAAGGCGGGCAGATCACATGAGGTCGGGAGTTCGAGACCAGCCTGGCCAACATGGCGAAACACCCTCTCTACTAAAAATACAAAAATTTGCCGGGCATGGTGGGGGGCGCTTGTAATCCTAGCTACTTAGGAGGCTGAGGCAGGAGAATCACTTGAACCCAGGAGGCAGAGGTTGCAGTAAGCCAAGATGGCACCATTGCACTCCAGCCTGGATGATAAGAGTGAAACTCTGTCTAAAAAAAAAAAAAAAAAATAGGACAAAGTGAGAGGATTTCTTCTTCTGGATATCAATATTTACTATAAAGCTAGTAATTAAAACCTGCTAAATATGGTATTGGAGCAAGGAGAGACAAATAGATCAATAGAACAGAATAGAGAGAATCCAGAAAGAGTCAAGGATATATAGATGCTTTTCAATAAATGGTGCAGGGTCAGTTGGCTATCCACATGGAGAAAAAAGTGCAACCTGAATCCACCTCAACAAAATTACTTCCAGGTGAACTACTGAAATGGAAAACAAAAAAACTTCAGGAAAGTCATAGAAGAGAGTATCTTTATGAACTAGGGACATGAAAATATGTTAAACAGAACACAACAAGTATTATTCATAAGGGAAAATATTGTTAAATTGCTCTACATTCGTTCAGGAGCAGCCTGGGCAACATGGCAAAATGCCGTCTCTGCTAAAAATACAAAAATACAGCCAGGCATCGTGGTGCATGCCTGTGGTCCCAGCTACTCTAGAGGCTGAGGTGGGAGGATCACTGGAGCCTGGGAGGCAGAGGTCACAGTGAGCTGAGATCACGCCATTGCACTCCAGCCTGGGTGGGTGACAGAGGAAGACCCTGTCTAAATTGAAAAAAAAAAAAAAGCTCTACATTAGAAATTGAGAACTTCTGTTCATTAAGGACATCACTAAGGAAAAAGGCAAGCCATAGACTGGGACAATGTATTCACAATGCATATGTCATCAAAGAATCTTTATTCAGAATAAAAAAGTGGGAATCTATATGAAAACATAGAAAATCCACTTTTTTAAAAATGTGCAGTCTTATGTTTATCACAGCACTGTTCACAGTAGTAAAGTCATAGAATCCATCTAAGTGTCCATCAACAGATGATTGGATTAAAATGTGGTATATTTTTGCCATGGAATACTATACACCTATAAAAATAAATGAAATTATGTCTTTTGCAGCAATGTGGATGGAACTGGAAGCCATTATGCTTACTGAAATGACTCAGAAACAGAAAATCAAAAACCACATGTTCTGATTGATAAGTGGGAGCTAAACAGTGGGTATACACGGACATACAAGGGGCATAATAGACACTGGAGACTCCAAATGGTGGGAGGATGGGAGTGGGTGAGGGATGAAATACCACCTTTCAAGTACAGTTCAGGTGATTGGTACACTTAATGCCCAGATTTCACCACTGTGTAATATATCCATGTAACAGAACTGCATTTGTATCCCTAAATCCATAAAAATAAAAAAATTTAATTTCAAAAAATAAAAAATGTGCAAAAGATATGAACAGGTACATCACAAAAGAACAAATCCAGATAGCCAATAAACAAATGAAAAAGGGCTCAACTTCATTAGTCATCAGAGAAATGCAAATTAAAGCCACAGTGTGATAATACTACATACTCACTTGAATGTCTGCAATTAAAAAAAAGACTGACAAAACCAAGTGTTGAGAAGGATGTAGAACAACTGGAATTCTCATGCATAGTGTGGAAGTGTGCATTGATACAATCACTTTTGAAAACTGTTTAGCAGTATCTACTAAACTTGAACATATTCATACCCTGTGTCCTAGCAATTCCAGCAAAATTGCATACATATATTCACCAAAATAATGCACTAGAATATTCATAGCAACACTATTTGTAATAGGCCCAAATTGTAAACTGTTTGAATGTCCATCAACAGTTATAATATCTATTTATAATGTCCAATATATCACAGTATACTCCATGCCACAATATAGATGGCTCTCACAAAAATAATAAATAGTGTTGAGCAAAGGAAGCCAGAAAAAGAGATTATACCCTATGTTACTCTTTTTACATGATGCACAAAAACAGGCAGAGCTAATCTAAGATGTTAGAAGTCAGATTGGGTGGGTGGAGAAAAGGGAGAATAGAGCAAGAGGAAGACTTCTGAAGCACTAATAATATGTTTTTTGACTTGCATGCTGGTTGCCCAGGTGTGTCAGTTTTTGAAAATTCAGTGAATTATACATTTATATATATGCATTTTTGTTTATGCATATTTTTCTTCAGCAAAAGTTTAAAAAATAATCTTTGGGCTTCCTGAAAAGATAAAAAGGAAACGTTTAAAGGATACATGTCAATTTTTTAGCAGAGACAAAATTTTTAAATACTATTTTCTGAAAAAAAATTCTCCCTCACAGCTTTATATTTATTATTAATATTGAAGGATATAATGAATAGTTTTACTGTAAATGCAGAAGTAAATTTTATAAGACTTGTTTATGGCACCATTAGGAATAGTTTTTAAAAATCAGAACTTGTGTTTATCAAAAGACACTATTAAATGACACCAAAAGCACAAGTAACAAAAGAAAAATGTGTTTAATATCATCAAAATTAAAAATTTCTGGCCAGGCACCGTGGCTCACGCCTGTAATCCCAGTACTTTGGGAGGCCGAGGCAGGCAGATCACAAGGTCAGGAGTTTGAGACCAGCCTGACCAACACGGTGAAACCCCATCTCTACTAAAAATACAACAAATTAGCCAGGCATTGTGGTGCGCACCTGTAATCCCAGCTACTTGGGAGGCTGAGGCAAGAGAATCGCTCGAACCCAGGAGGTGGAGGTTGTAGTGAGCGAGATCTTGCCACTGCACTCCAGCCTGGGTGACAGAGCAAGACTCCACCTCAAAAAAAAAAAAAAAAAAAAATTCTGTGCTTCAGATAACACCATTAAGAAAGTAAAAAGAACCTACAGAATGAAGAAAACGTTTTCAAATTATATAATAGACCTGATAAGGGACTCACATCTAGATATATAAAGAATGCTTACAACTCAATAATACAAAGACAAATAAAACAATTTTTAAGTGGGCAAAGAATCTGAATAGAAGTATCTCAAAAAAGATATATGAATGGCCAGTAGGCACATCATTACCCCTAAGGGAAATCAAAATCACAATGAGTTACCACTTTGCATCCCCTAAGATGGCTATAATATAAAAATTAACAAGTGTTTGTGAGGCTGTGGAGAGATTAGAACCCTCATTCACTCCTCCTAGGGATGTAAAATAGTGTCTGAGCTAGGGAAATAGTTTGGCAGTTTCCCAAAATGTTAAACATAGGGTTACCATATGACTCAGTGATTAAGCTCCTAGGTATATACTCAAGAAAATCAAAACATATGTCCATGTAAAAACTTGTACATGAATATTGATAGCAGCATTGTTTATAATATCCCTAAAAGGAAACAACCCAAACATGTATCAACTATTGAATGGATAAGTGAAATGTGTTATATCCATACAGTGAAATATTATTCAGCAATTAAAGTGACACACTGACTCATGCTAGGACATGGATGAAACTTGAAAACATGATGTTAGGTGAAAGAAGCTAGTCGCAAAAGATCACATTTGATTCCATTTATATGAAATGACCAAAATAGACAAATCTATAGGGACAGAAAGGAGATTCGTGGTTATATGTGGCTGGGGAAATGCAAATTAAAACTACTAGGAGATACATACCGATGGTATGTATGCTTATCTTTAAATTATCTTTAAATTTTTTAAGATAATAAGATAAAGATGTGAAACTATGAAACTCTCATTTACTCACTGGGAGGGTATAAACTGGTACAACCACATTAGAAAAGAAATTGGCGTATCTTTTAAGATTAACAACACATATACCTTGAGAGCCAGCAAATCCATTTCTAAATTCTACTCAGTAGAACTATGTGCATATTTATATCAATAGGTGTACAAAAATATTCATAGCAGCATTATTGTAATCACCCAAATGTTCATCAGAAGTATAAGGAATAAATAAATTGTGGTATATTCCTGCAATGGGATATTATATAGCAGCTACAGTTACACCCAGCAACATGTATAAATCTCACAAACAACATCAAATAAAAAAGCCAACCACAAAGTAGCATCCACTATGATTCCCATTTATGAAGTTTAAAAACAGGCATAACTCAACTATAGTATTAAAAGTCAATATAGTAGTTCACCTTAAGGGAGAAGGGAAAGAGTAAAAAGTATAATATGAGGTAGAATTTTGAGGTATTGTAATGTTCTCTTTCTTGGGTTATAGTTTTCTATATGATGTTTTCTTTGTTACAATTTACTGAGCTATACATTTTTAATTTGTACACTTAAAAATACATTTCCTGGCCAGGCGTGGTGGCTCGTGCCTGTAATCCCAGCACTTTGGGAGGCTGAGGCAGGCAGATCAGGAGATTGAGACCATCCTGGCTAACACAGTGAAACCCTGTCTCTACTAAAAATACACAACAAAAATTAGCCAGGCGTGGTGGCGGGCACCTGTAGTCCCAGCTACTCAGGAGGCTGAGGCAGGAGAATGGCGTGAACCTAGGAGGCGGAGCTTGCAGTGAGCCGAGATTGCACCACTGCACTTCAGCCTGGGTGACAGAGCAAGATTCTTTCAAAAAAAAAATATATATGTGTGTGTGTGTGTGTGTGTGTGTGTGTGTATGTGTGTGTGTGTGTGTCTGTGTGTGTGTGTGTGTATTCTGGCCCAAGATTATAGTTTTTTTTAAGGCAGTCTGTCAGGGGTCTACAATTGTATGAGTTATAAATAAGGAGTGACAATATCTTCAGTGAACTCCTGAACATGAAAACCAAGGGTCGACTGCGAATACCTTCTTTACATACAACCAGACATTATGGAATGAATGTGTTCCCCCCAAATTCATATGTTGAAGCTCTAACTCCCAGTGTGTCTGTATTTGGAGATAGGGTCTTTGGGGAAGTAATTAAAGTTAAATTAGGTCATACAACCTACAGAATTGGAGAAAATATTTGCAAACTGTGCATCTGACAATGGTCTAATACCCAGCATCTATAAGAAACTTAAATTTACAAGAAAAAACTAACAACCCTATGAAAAAGTGGGCAGAGTTAATTTTTTCATGAGCAATGGAAAAAAATTAAAAAGTCTGAAAGCAGGCAAAGAACATGAACAGACACTTTTCAAAAGAAGACATACATGCAGCCAACAGGCATATGAAAAAAAGCTTAGTATCACTGATCATTAGAGAAATGCAAATCAAAACCACAATGAGATACCATCTCACACCAATTGGAATGGCTACTATTAAAAAGTCAAAAAATAACATGCTGGCAAGATCGCAGAGAAAAATGAACACATACACTGTTGGTAGGAGAGTAAATTAGTTCAACATTGTGGAAAGCAGTGTGGCGACTCCTCAAAGAGCTAAAAACAGAACTACCATTCACCAGCAATTCCATTTGTGGTTGTATACCCAAAGGAGTATAAATCATTCTACCATAAAGACGCAGGCACATGAATGTTCATTGCAGCACTATTCACAATAGTAAAGGCATGGAATCAACCTAAATGCCCATCAATGGCAGATTGGATAAAGAAAATGTGGTACATATACACCATGGAATACTATGCAGCCATAAAAAAGAATGAGATGATGTCTTTTGTTTGAACATGGATAGAGCTAGAGGCCATTATCCTTAGCAAACCAACACAGGAACAGAAAACCAAATACTGCATGTTCTCACTTATAAGTAGGAACTAAATGATGAGAACACATGGACACAAAGAGAGGAAAAACACACACTACACACTACCTGAGGGTGGAAGATGGGAGGAGGGAGATAATTAGAAAAAATAACTGTTAAGTCCTAGGCTTAGAACCTGGGTGACAAAGTATTCTGAACAACAAACCCCCCGACACGAGTTTACCTGTATAACAAACCTGCACATGTACCCATGAACTTCAAATAAAAGTCTGTGTGTTTTTTAAGGCAGAAGTCAGCCCCTACCTTGAAAGAACTTTCTACATAGATGGCTACAGTGTTACTGAGCGTTTTTTTTTTGGTCTATCCTGAATGTCATGGGAAAACTTTTAAACTGCTCTGGATCAAGATTAGTGCCTGTGGTATTTCATTTCTCCTACTCAACTGTTGCAGTTACATGATCTTAGAAATTCTTTTTGGCATATTGATGACTGTTATCATTCAAGTTACATCAAGAGAGACTTCTTTCTATGAGGAGCTATTAAGACCCTCTTTTGGACACATACACAACTTCAATTTACATCTAAGACAACTTATTTTAATGAAATTGCTTATTTGTTTGCTTTAGTCCTTAGATTATATGATCATTTGGGCAGGGACTATTCTTTGAATATTTCCTGGCACATTTTTGTCTCAATAAAGAGGAAGGTGAAGGAAGAAAGAAAGGAAAGGAAGAAGGGAGGGAGGAAGGCATTCTTGTTTTCTATATCCTAAACCTATAATTTTGTCAAAAAAGAATATTAAATTTGCCTAAAATGTTAACAAAAAATAGGTCATAATGATGGGGCCCTAATTCAACAGGGCTGGTGTCCCTATAAGAGGAAGAGGCATTGAAGTTTGCTCTCCCTGCATGCACAAAGAGACTATGTGAGGACACAGCAAAAGGACAGCTGTCTACAAACCAGGAAGAGGCCTCGCCAGAAATCAGCCCTTGAAAAAACCTGGGTCTTGGACTTTTTGCCTCCACAACTGTGAGAAAATAAATTTCTGTTGTTTAAGCCACCCAGCCTGTGGTGTTTTGTTATGGCAGCCCGAGCAGACTGATACACCAGACATTCACTGTATCCAACTGTTTCACCATAATAGCCTTTCTTATTTTGATCAAATTACTGCATCAGGATTTGATCTTAAATTTCATGTTTCCTTTGCTTTTGTAAATGTAGCTGAGCATCCAAATTTCACTCAGTTTGGATGCTAACAAGATTAGACAGTTATCTGACAGTAATCAGTGCCTGATCCTATTCTGTGTCTTCTTCCATCACCATCCCACTAAAGAGCTTGCATTTTTTGTTTCTTTTAGCCAGATAGTAAACATTTTTCAGGCATTTTGAATTTTGCCATTGTAAATGGTGAAAGATTCTCTCTCTCTCTCTCTCTCTCTCTCTCTCTCTCTGTGTGTGTGTGTGTGTGTGTGTGTGTGTGTGTATTAGGAGGGGGTGGTGATCGGGATGCTAATCTATGCACAGTGACCTTTGTTTCTATCTGGCTGAGCAGATGTAGGAATTAATCATTGTCACTCCTGGATGGTGCTGCTGCAGCTGTCCCCCACTGCCTTTCTGCCCCTGATAGATTTATTAGTGTGTTTTGTTTGCTGAAAAGCATGCCTCAGCACAGAAGAACTGGCAAATTAGAGAAGCTTTATCTGTGAGTATAATTTTTTGGAAACATGGTTTTTTCTACACATCTGTACCTATATACTCTGAGCTCTTTAAAAAAAAGGAGGAGGAAGAGAGCAAAGAAAGAAAAGGAAAACAAACAGGTAATATTGTTTCTGTAACATCAGAACGATTATTTCCCAGCTGAGAATGTTCATACTGGAACAGTGTCATGGCCATCCACCTTAGGATTGCAGAGAACCAATTGTTTTCTAACCTCTGTATTTCTTTTTGCAACTGCCCACCCCCTCACCCACTTAACTGCCAACTATCAGCCAGAATTTTGGCATACTTTGGCTCTAGGCACAAGAAAATAAGTGGTCTGGGTTACTTAGTGCTAAATTTATTTTATAGTAGGCGTCACTACAACCTTGAGACTGTAACTAACACTTTCTAGGCTCCAAGCAACCCCACTACGTAGATATCCCTGCAGCCTCATCAAATTCAACCCGTGGGGATATTGATACCGTCCTGGATGGAAATCAGAGTAGCCACACCCCTTTCAATGTTGGGAATCTGCCAAACAATTCAGTATAAATTTCCTGGGCCTGGGCTGTGTATTTTCATTCCACCCCACCCCCAAATCAGTCAGCATGCCCTGGGGCAGAGACTAAAGAGCCGCCAGTGCCTATTCAGAGTTGGCTTATTCCTTTCTGATGGCCCATCCCCTCCCCGAAATCCAAGACCTTGGCCTTAGATATCTTGGCTAGCCTGGGCCTTTCTGGTACCACCCTTCACTCTCTAGGAGCTCTGAGAATTTTCTGCACTTCCCGACGCTGCTTGATAGAGTGACTCACAGCTTACTCTTTCATTGACTCTTTCTGTATTTCTCTTCTTCAGAATTTCTCTTCTGCTGCTGCTTTTAGACATCCTTGCATGTTCAGTCCCTAAATCACCACTGCTTGTTATTACTTTCATGTTCCCAACATCTGGCATATGGGTCTTAATCCCATGGGTCCACCCAGACTCATGAATTTAAACTCTTCTGGTCTAAACTCTTCCACCACCATTTGAGCCTCAATTCTGTGAACAGTTTTGTCTCTAAAAGCCACATACCTTAGTGTAAGAAGGCAGATTAATCCTCTGAATGTCAACTTAACAGTTAGGCCTATCTCCCAAGAAAGAGAAATGAAAACTCCTAATTAGTAATGACTCATTTTGATCAAATAATCAATTTTTGGACCATTTTCTTAAAACTATATTTTATTGCCTGTAACTATTTCCTGGAGGATAATAATCATCCTTAAATTACTATGTGTTTTGTGAAGTTGGTGCTTTACTTTTCGTGTCCTAAATATGCATATCTGAATCTTTAAATTGTAGCTTCTCTTTCAAGTGTTCTAGGATTTCATTTGCCATGGTTGGGATCTCTTTGTGATTTGATAGGTTTCGATCACATCCTCACTAGCCTTCTTTCCAAGCCACAGAACGGTCTGTCTTCATTCAGTAGAGACCCTGCCATTCTAGTTTTCTCGCTGGAATTTGTTTTCCCATATCCTTCTTGAGCAAAGGTGACTAAAGCCAAATGTTTCATTCTGGCACTTTGTGAGACGTGGGCTTTAAGCTCTCAAAAGAAGAGAAAATCTCATAGTTTTATATGAGATATACAATGAACAATAGTAAAATAGAAATGTTATTGGCAAGAGGAGTTTTTCTCCAATATCCATGAGTAAGAATTCCTTGGACACATAAGATAACAAGAGGAATATACTTACTCTGTTTTCCTTTTGAGATATTCTTTACATACCATGAAGTTTTCCTTTCTAAAGTTTGCAATTTAATAGTTTTTAGTATATTCACAAGCTTGGGTAACCACCATCACTATCTAATTCCAGAACATTTTTATCACCTGCAAACAAAACCTTGTACCTGTTAGCAGTCTCTCCTCATTTCTCTCTTCCTCCCACACCTGGAAACCACTAGTCTACTTTCTATCTCTATAGATTTGCCTATTCTGGACATTTCATATAAATGGAATTATTGAACATGGGGCCCTTTGTGTCTGGCTTTTCTCATTTAGCATAATCTTAGCATAATATTTATAAGGTTTCCCTGTGTTGTAGCATAAAGCGTTACTTCATTCCTTTTCATGGCTGAACATCCCATTATATGGATATTCCACATTTTGTTTATCCATTCATCAGTTGATGCTATCTGTTGTTTCCACTTTGAGGCTCTTAAGAATAATATGCTGCTGTGAACATTTGTGTACAAGTTTTTTCATGAACATGTTTTTACTTATCTGGGTATATACCTAGGAGTGGAGTTCCTGGGTTATATGGTGACTGTTTAACATAAGTGTAGAACTGTTTTTCAAAGTGACTATACTATTTCACAATCCCACCAACAATGTATGAGGGTTCCAGTTTCCCTACATCATCACTAACACTTGTTTTATTATCTGCCTTTTTAATTCTAGCCATCCTAGTGGGTATCTCATTGTGGTTTTGAGTCGTATTTCCCTTATGACCAATGATGCTGAGTGTCTTTTTATGTACTTATTATCCATTTGCTTATCTTCCCTGGAGAACTGTCTATTCAAATCCTTTGACATTTAAAAAAATTAGATTGTCTTGGGGCCGGGTGCGGTGGCTCATGCCTGTAATCCCAGCACTTTGGGAGGCTAAGGCAGGCAGATCACCTGAGGTCAGGAGTTTGAGACCAGCCTGGCCACATGCTGAAACCCCATCTCTACTAAAAATACAAAAATTAGCTGGGTATTGGTGGCACATGCCTGTAATCCCAGCTACTCTGGAGGCTGAGGCAGGAGAATCACTTGAACCCAGGAGACGGAGGTTTCAGTCAGCCGAGATTGTGCCACTGCACTCCAGCCTGGGCGACAGAGTGAGGCTCTGTCTCAGAAAAATAATAAATAAATAAATAAATAAATATTGTCTTGGAAATATACTTAAATTAATTGGCCTATAGTCCCAGCTACTCAGGAGGCTGAGGTGGGAGGATTGCCTGAGCCCAGGAGTTTGATGTTTCAGTGAGCTATGATTATGTCACTGCTCTCCAGCCTGGGTGACAGAGTGAGCCCCCATCTCTGAAAAAAAAAAGGAAGAAAGAGGAAGAGGAAGAAGAGGAGGAGGAGAAGGAGAAGAAGAAATGCTCTTAAGTCAATAGTTCTCAAACTTGGTTCACATTAAAGTTTCCTAAAATCCTGATGCTCAGGCTTTACCCTAGGCCAGTTAAATGATAATATCTTGGGGTAGGACCCAGGCAACAGTTTTAGAAACAAATCTCCAGTTGATTCTAATGTTTGAGAGCCATTGCTATAGACTACATGACTAAGCTGATGATACCAATATAAAAATGTTAAAGATTTGATAATTTAGAAATTATGCCAGGTATTAAAAATGGGAGACTTAACTCAAATGTGAATCATAAAATGCCTAATCAGGTCAAAAGATAGAGTTGAGATTTGTAATAAAGATTGATAAACTTTCCTATAATAGGAAGTTTCAAACCACCTATAGCTAGAGAAAATGTCTGGCTGTGGTTCTTGCCTAGTGAGCAGGAATTGGTTTTATGAGGTAACCATGGGAGAGCCAATAAATGTGAGTGATCATGACAATTAAATCTTTAAGCCCAGATAATTTATGTCAATTATTCAATGTTCATTAAGGAAAGTGAAAAAAAATGAGTATTAGCTAGGAGAAATGGAAAGGGAGGCTTTTGAAAGGCATAAAAAGATTGGAGGCTATTTTAAGAGACTTTATTGGAAGCATAGAAAAAGAGTATCTGAGAATTTTTAAAAATCCAATCACATAAAAATGTGACAGTCACAGTGGTTATTGTGGAGGGAAAATGACATCTCTCAAAGAATGTAAAAAGCTCCCCAAGGGAGAGCAGGGAGCCCACAGAGTGTATTAGGTTAAGTACAAAATAGGAAAAAAGACTTTAAGAAACACTTTCGAAGAGAGTCCAAAACACATAAAGGGATTATTTAAAATCTATTAAAAGGAAGAAGCTAGAATAACAGTGGGATCTTTTGCTGAGAATAAGGGGGCACAGGGAGTGCTGAGGCACCAAAAGACAATAGACAAACTAATTATGTGCCTCTGAATGTATTGAGAAAGATACCAGAGTGATAGCACATTCAAATTGCCTACTACGAATGGATCAGTAGTAGTTAATTCAATGGTTTTCTGTGTTTTGCATATTTCAAGTCAGGTAGGCAGAATAAATACTGATTAATCACTGGAAACTCTTGGTGTTTATCTTGAGATTTCTGAAGGCCTCCAGAAGAAATTTTTCTCGTCTTGCCTCTCCCTAAAGCCACTGCCCTTGTCCTCCCTCTCCTATTACCACCAAGGCTCCTAAGTGTATAGTCTACCCTAGTCACCTCACTTTCTCATCTCCAATTCATTCTTCAACCCATTCTTCTAACTCCATTGAAAGGTCATTAAATCTGACTCATTGCCAAAGTCATTAAATCAACAGATCGCTTTTTAGACTAAATTCTTTCTAGCCTTTAGATATATAACACCATTAACTGTTTCTTCTGTTCTTCCTTTCTGAAACCTCTTTTCTTAACATTTATTATATGTGAATGTCCTGGTTTTACCTGTCTACTTCTTGCTAGCTACCTTCACTGGCTCCAGAATTACTTACGTATTTCTCTTTTTTGTTTTTTTTTTTTAAGGCTAGTCAAGTGAAGCAGTGGGAATGGAGAAGGAACACAGAAATCTGTAACTGGTTGTGATCAATTAATTGTAGACACTACTGACTTCAGACAAGCCTTACCTATTTAATTTTGGTAACACTCTGGGTTCCAGTCTCGATTCACTTCTTACACTATATCCTTCACCTTGTTTTAACCTCTCCTGTGACATATCCTAGTGCTGCCTCTCTTCCCATTTTCTAACTTCATGGTTGATATAGTCATATAGATGTTTCACAGTTTATTCTGATCCAGTAACCAAAACCAGATTAATATCTTACCAGCAAACTTGCTCTTCCTTTGTGTAATTCCTGTCGTGGTTAATAGCACTACCATCCACCCGTTCTCATTCTGGATTCCTTTGTCTCCCTACACATCCGGCTAGTTACCAGGTTTTAGATATTTAACCTCTGAAATGTCTTTCAAATCTTTCTATTGTCCATCTCCATTGCCCAACCATAGTCTTCATTTGTTTTTCATCTGGACTATTGCAATAGTCCCCTAACTCATCTTGCCGACATTTTCAGCTACTGATCTCTTGCCAGCATTTTTTTTTCCCCAAACACAATCTAGTTTTAAAATACAGACTTCTACTGCCTACATAACTCCTTAGGTAAGTATTTAAGGTCTTTTGTAGTCTGGCCCTAACATAAAATATCCACTTTTCCCCTTGAAATTAAGTTGTGCCCTGGTCGTACATGAGAATGGCCATTCCTTGAGCACACCATGCACATTCCTCACCATGTCTTTGTTCATGCTCTTCCTTGTTTCACAACTCTTCTCATTTATCACCTGACAAACTCCTATCTATCCTTTAAGACAAATTTCTGTCTCTCAAAATGTGGGCCCTGGGCCAGAGCAGCAGTATCACCTGGGAACTTGTTAGAATACAACTTCTTGGGGCCCCACTTTAGACTCTGTTTAATCCAAAACTTTGTGTGATAAGGACCAGCAATGTGAATTTTAACAAGCTCACCACATGATTCTGATGCATTCTAAAATTTAAGAACCACTGTTCTAGGGAACAATTTTTTTATCAATGGCCATAGCACTTTACACATACCTGTATTACTTACTGCATTATTTAATAACCATGTTTACTTATTCACTTATTTATCTGGTCTGCTAAGTTGTGAGTCCCCAGAGTCAAATACAATGGTGCTGTGTTCTGACACCTGCCATAGTGTCTAGCACATAACAAGTGCTTGATAAGAATTCAGCATACTAAAATATACCCCCTTCCCTCCAGGATTCAGTCTAGCTAGAGTAAATAGAGAGGGCAAGATCAAATGGTGTCCAAGGCATCTACTCTTAAAGGTCGATATACACCACACAAACCAAAAGCTTACACACTGACAATAACAAATGTCAGCAAAGTAATAACCAACGGGTACTAGGCTTAATACCTGGGTGATAAAATAATCTGTACAGCAAACTCCAATGATACTAATTTACCTATGTAACAAATATACACTTGTACCCCTGAGCTTAAAATAAAAGTTTTTAAAAAAATAAATAAAGCAAATGTCAGCAAGGATGCAGAGAAGCTGAATCTCTCATACATTGCTGATGTACCTACTCTGGAAGACACTTTAGAAGTTTCTTATAAAATTATTCCCTCACTGTGCGATTCAGCAGTTTCACTCCTGTGTATTTACCGTAGAGAAGTAACTATGTATGTTCACACAAAAAGCTGTATGCAAATGTTTTTTAGCAGCTTTGTTTGTAATAGTCAAAAACTGGAAACATTAACAATCAAAAAAGAAATCAAGAAAACAATTCCATTTGTAATCGCATCAAAAAATGAAAACTTGGGAAAAAATTTTACCTAAAAGATGAAAGACCTATACACTGAAAACTATAAAACACTGATGAAATAAATGAGGAAGGCACAAATCAATGGAAAGATATCCCATATTCATGGATTGAAAAAATTTATATTGTTAAAATAGCCATACTACCAAAGCAATCTACAAATGCAATGCAATCTTACCAAAATTCTGATGGTGTTTTTCACAGAAATATGAAAAAAACTAAAATTCTTATGGAACCACAAAAGACCCCAAATAGCCAAAACAATCTTCACCAATAAGAACAAAGCTGGAGGTATCACCCTAGCCTATTTAATTTCAAAATCTACTATAAAGCTATAGTAATCAAAACAGCATGATGCTGGCATAAAAACAGACAAACCAATGGAACAGAATAGAGAGCCCAAAAATAAATCCATCCACTTACAGTCAGTTGATTTTTGACAAAAGTACCAAGAAAACACAAAAGAGAAAGGACAGCCTCTTCAATAAATGGTGTTGGGACAACTATGTATCCACATGCAAAAGAATGAAATTATGCCTGTTACCCCAGCACTTTGGAAGGCCAAGGTGGGCCGATCACTTGAGGTCAAGAGTGGAGACCAGCCTGGCCAACATGGTGAAACCCTGTCTCTATTAAAAATACAAAAATTAGCCAGGTATGGTGGCATGCACCTGTAATCCCAGCTACTTGGGAGGCTGAGGCAGGAGAATCATTTGGACCCAGGAGGCAGAGGTTGCAGTGAGCTGAGATCGCACCACTGCACTCCAGCCTGGGCAACAGAGAGAGACCCTGTCTTAAAAAAAAAAAAAAAAAAAGAAATTGGACATTGGACCCTTATACCATATACAAAAAATCCACTCAAAAATGAATTAAAAGCTTAAATGTATGACCTGATACTGTAAAAACTATCAGAATAAAACACAGGAGAAAAGCTCCTGCCATTGGTCCGGGCAATGATTTTTTGGTTATGGCCCCAAAAGCACAGGCAACAAAACAAAACATAGACAAATGGGATTAAACTAAAAAGTTTTTGCACAGCAATGGAAACAATAAACAGAGTGAAGAGACAACCTACAGAATGGGAGAAAATATTTGCAAACCATACATCTGGTAAGGGGTAAATATTCAAAGACTATAAGGAACTCAAATCAATAGCAAGAAAACAAATAATCCAATAAAAAGTGGACAAAGGACCTGAATAGACACTTCTCAAAAGAAAACATACAAATGTCCAGCAGGTATATGAAAAAATTCTCACATCACTGATCATCAAGAAATGCAAATTAAAACCATGAGTTATTAGCTCATACCTGTTAGAATGGCTCTTATGAAAAAGAGAGATAGCAAGAGTTGGGGAGGATTTGGAGAAAAGGGAACCCTATACACTATTTGTGAGGATGTAAATTAGTACAACTATTATGGAAAACGGTATGGAGGTTCCTCAAAAAATTAAAAATAGAACTATCATATAATCAAGCAATTCTACTTCTGGGTGTGTATCTAAAGGAAATGAAATCAGTGTATGAAAGAGATACCTGCACTCCCATGTTCACTGCAACATTATTCCCAATAGCCAAGATATGGAACCAACCTAAGTGTTCATTTACTAATGAATGGATAAAGAAAATGTGAGATATATATGTACACATACACACACACGATGGAGTACTATTTAGTCTTAAAGAAGGAAATCCTGGCATTTGCAAAAACATGGATGAACCTGGAAGACATTATGCTAAGTGAAATAAGCAAGACATAGAAAAACAAATACTACATGATCTCACTTACATGTGGAATCTAAAAAAGTTGAACTCATAGAAGCAGAGAGTAGAATGGTAGTTGCCACAGACTAGGGTGGAGGTGGTTGACAGAAATGGAGAGATGTTGGTCAGATCAAAGAGCACAAAGTTCCAGGTAGGACAGATAAGTTGTGGAGAGCTATACAGTATAGTGTCTATAATTAGTAATAACGTGTTGTATACTTGAAGAATTCCAAGAGAGTATGTCTTAAATGTTCTCACCATAAAAAAAGATAAGTATGTGCAGTGATGGATGTTGATTAAATTGATTTAATAATTTTAATTATTTCACAATATATACAAATATCAAAATACCATGTTGTATACCATAAATATATAATATTTGTCAATTCTGCCTTAATAAAGCTGGGAGAAAAAAACTGGAAACCCAAATATCCTTCAACAGGTGAATGGATAAACTGTGGGACATCCATACAATGGAATACTATCTAGCAATAAACATGGGACAAAGTATTGATAGATGCAACAACTTGGATGGAGCTCAAGGGCATATGCTGCGTGACAGATGTCAGTCTCACAAGCTTACACACTGTAAGAGTCCAGTTCTATACAACATTCTTAAAAGACAAATTTATAGTGATGGAGAATGGGTTAGTGGTTCCTAGGAGTTAGGTTGGGGAAGCGTGTCACTATAAAGGATAGCATGAGAGAGTTGTGTTTATAAGTGTGTATGTGTGATGGAACAGTTCACTATCCTGATTATGATGGTGGTTTCGTGTGGTGAATTTCATAGAAATCTATATATGTGATAAATTTCATAGGACTACACACACACACACACAAAGTGCACATAAAAACTGGTGAAATTTAAATAGAGCCTGTAGTTTATATAATAGTATTGCACTAATGTCAATTTCCTGATTTTGATCATGAACTCTGGTTATGTACGATGTTATTGGGGAAAGCTGGGCGAAGGATACACAGGAACTCTCTGTACTGTTTTTGCAACCTCTTGTGAGTCTTAAATAATTTCAAAATGAAAAGCTTTTGAGAAAAATAAAGCACAGGGATTTCTGACAAAAGCTAAATTAGAAAGCACTGCTTGACATAATGCTAAAACAGGACCCAGGAAGTGGAGAGCTCACTGCCTGGTGGAGGTGGGAAAGGGGTAAAGGGAAGTGGAGATTCTTGCCTTGAAGAACATTTGGTAGAACGTGGGCCAGGCCTCTCAAACAGGTCACTCCTGGCTTGGGGAGGAGCTAATACTAAGGTGGAAAGGGAAATGAAAGCTTACTTCTCATCAGCTTCCCATATGGGGAAGGGGGCCGGAATCTCTCCTCAATAGGCCTCCATTTTCTCAATAGGGAAAACGGAGAGAAGGGGAAAAGGGTTCCTCTTTAACAATGGTCACAAAAGGTGATGTGTGCAGTGAAAGATTAAATGGTATAAGAACTCAGGCTCTGGAATCAAACCCAGCCTCAAATCCAGTGGCTTGATTTTCTATTGAACTTTGCTATACCCTGTTTCTCTATTTAAAAACAGGGGTAATGATACTACTTAACTCTGAAAGCTGATTACATTAGATTGTCTATGTAGAGCACTTAGCAACCACCTAGCACATAGATAATCAGTGTTGGCTACTCTTTTTAATACTATTCTATGCCATTACCAATTTTCTAAGACGTAACAATAATACACTCAGATGATTCTGACCATAATGTAATTTTTGATTAAAGTTTCTTCAGGATCCTTCAATGCTTCCAACTCATAAATTATATCAGCCCTCAGTCCCTATATATGTAAATACAATTTAAATTAAAATAGTTGTTACTTTCTATTACATGTCTTTTATGTGCTTTGCACTTTAAATACACTATTTCTAACCTTTATAGCATGCAGGATAAATACTATTTTCCCCATTTTCAGATGAGGAAACTGCTTCAGAGTGGTTAGGCAAATCTCCAACATCTATAAACAACACAGTAAACCTAGGCAGTCTGATGGCAAAGCCCAAGCTCTTTCCACTACACTGTTACCTCAGTAGTAATCCATAAAAGATGCTTAAACACATACATATTGTCTATTAGTTGTTCTTTTTACATCACATTACATGGGCAGACTCTACAACTCCTGCCACAGCCTGGCGCAGACACTTCCAGGCCATTGCTGAAGCCAGTGGAGACACCAGACGATGACAGAAACCAAGAACCCAAAGCTGATTGTAGCAAGAATTCAGTCTGGAGTTCAGTCAGTAGATAAATCCGAGAGGCATCATGGAAATTGTGCCAAGGTCCAAGGTTCAAGCCAGCAGTCAGAATCTAAAGGGGCAGGCAAAACCCAGCAGGAGGCTCTGCAGGCTCTGTGCCCCCCGGGAGATTCATGGCTTCCTCTCTGTCTCCTCTTGTTGACACTGCCGGCTATAAATGGGGGCTTTGTGGATCCTCAGTTGAGGAGGCAGGTGAAAATTCTTGGCCTACCAGCACTACTACAGGACGTTAGAAACTAGGGCAGGAAGACCCTGGGTCTTCATTAATCAGTGTGATGAAAACAGGCCCCAGGCAGTTGGGTCCACTAGTGGGAAGTGAAAGAACACTGAAGGAAACCAGGAGTCAGGACATCTGGATTTGCTGTCCCAACATGGTCCCTATCTGGCGATAAAACAGCATGCAAATTTCTTCATCTAAAAATGAAGGAATCAGGTCAGATCACTGATTTTCAAACTGTGTTCCTCAGAACCCAAGGACTCCAGTCCTGCTGTGGAGAGATAGGTGGGAGCAAGCAAGGCCTTCCTGTACAGCACGCTTCCTTTCATCTCTTCCAAGTACTGAACCTTCTAATTCTAATGATTTATTCAGCGTAACAGGCATTTAATAAGTTTCTACTAGGCTCGGGGCCTTGTAGAAGGTGCTGATGGGGACAAAGCTGAGTAAAACCCAGTCCCAACATCATGAATTCCTAGATTCTGGCTTAATGGGGAACCATTCCAGCAGCTGTCACTGTTCAGGATTCCTCTCAGATTCCAAGATACACCAAGGCCCGGAGTTCTGCCACAGAATTGAAGATAAGAAAGAGAGGAAAGAGGCCGAGTGCAGTGGCTCATGCCTGTAATCTCACCACTTTCGGAGGCCGAGGCAGGCGGATCACCTGGGGTCAGGAGTTTGAGACCAGCCTGACCAACATGGAGAAACCCTATCTCTACTAAAAATACAAAATAAATTGGGCATAGTGGTGCACACCTGTAATCTCAGCTACTCGGGAGACTGAGGCAGGAGAATCGCTTGAACCTGGGAGGTGGAGGTTGCGGCGAGCCGAGATCGCGCCACCGCACTCCAGCCTGGGCAACAAGAGCGAAACTCCGTCTCAAAAAAAAAAGAGGAAAGAGGAATCTTCCCCAGTATGGCAGGCAATCTTTCCTGCCTCAAGGAGATCAATTTACATGTCACCTGGAAGCCCATAATATTCTGCTTTAGCAGTGACTCCTTGTGATTGGATGTTTCCTATGGCCAATTGTGCCTGTGCTTCATGCCCTACTTAAAATCAGGACATCTGCTCTGCCCTTTTGGAAGAGCTACAAGTCTCCTGCCAGGAATTGCTCAAGGCCTTTTCCTGCAGCTAAACGGAGAAAGGAAGTTGAAATCATTGCCTCATAAATTACAACACATGCCAGGGTTGTAACCTAGAGTCTGAGGTTCTAGGCGAAAAGAGGATTTTGTGTGTGTGTCTAGTGTTTTCCCCACAGCATTTAAAAGCTCATCTAAAATATATTATAATTGCATGAGATATGGCAAAAATACATTCAGAAACTAATTTTTTGAAGATAAACAAACAAAGCAGAATGTGCCCATAATATTCCTAAGTAAAGCCACACAAACTTCCTTTCCAGTAAGGGTATCCTTTGGGGCTTTTTCCCCCTCCTTGTCACCAACTTATCTTGAATTTATCACTATGCTTTTTCACTATTGTTCCTAAACTTCAGCTGTTATATAATGAGATAGTGGGCATTTAGTCTTATATCCAAATTTCCATATTTCAGCTTTTAAAATAGTTGCAAGGATGCTTTTAAAGTTGATCCTGGCCAGGAGAGGTGGCTCACTCCTGTAATCCCAACTCTTTGGGAGGCCAAGATGGGAGGATTGCTTGAGTCCAGGAGTTTGAGACCAGCCTGGGTAACAATGAGACCTTGTCTCTGCAAAAAAATAAAAATTAACTGGGTGTGATGGCATGCACTTGTAGTGCCAGCTACTTGGGAAGCTGAGGTGGGAGGATTGCTTGAGCCCAGTAGATAAATGTTGCAGTAAGCCAAGATCATGCCAGTACACTCCAGCCTAGATTAGAGAGTGAAACTCTGTCTCAGAAATTAAATTAAATTAAATTAAAAAGTTGATCCTAGCAAACTAACACCGGAACAGAAAACCCAACACCGCATGTTCTCACTCATAAGTGGGAGTTGAACAATGAGAACACATGGTCACAGAGAGGGGAACATCGCACACCGAGGCCTGTTGGGGGTTGGGGGCAAGGGGAGGGAGAGCATTAGGACAAATACTTAATGCATGTGGGGCTTAAAACCTAGATGATGGGTTGATAGGTGCAGCAAACCACCATGGCACATGTATAACTATGTAACAAACCTGCACATTCTGCCTATGTATCCCAGAACTTAAAGTAAAATAAAAAAAGAAAGAAAAAAAAAGTTGATCCTTAGGCCTGTTTATAGTCCAAGGGAGCTGTGAATGCTGAAATTTGTACACTGTCAATTTATATGTATATTCACATATTAATATCTATAGTACACATAGATTCAGGAATGTAGACTTTTGTCAAATGGCCTAGTAGATACTGATAAAACAACTTCTAATATTAAATTAAAATTTTATTCTATTTTAAAGAAAAAGAACAAATAAGAAAATCGTCTTTGCAATGAAAAGGTCAGAAACCAAGGATGTGGTGTCCTAATATGCTGATAGCAGAGATTATATCTCCTTTGCCTTCCTATCACTGGTTCTTAATACCTTGGCAAGTTAGTATTTAGGAATTGTTGAATTAATGTTTGGCACATGAAGATCATTAAAGCAATAACTCATAAAGCATGGGGAAAACAAGGTCATTTGCTAAAGGGGAATTTGGGGGCACGATATTTAGCAAGTCTTCTTTCACACTTATAGCTAAATATTTTGTTTATTTGATTATTTGATTGATTTGGGTGTAAATTCTATTGCACCTCTGGTAAACCAAGTCAGCCTGCCCTTCCTGGTTAAGAAAGAGAGACAGAAATGCAAAGTGTAACCAGCTTATTAATAAGCCGAGGATAGAGAAAAGAAATTTGTCTCTGGGCTGGGAGCAGTGGCTCATGCCTGTAATCCTAGCACTTTGTGAGGCCGAGGCAGGCGGGTCACTTGAGCCCAGGAGTTTGAGATCAGCCTGTTCAACATGGTGAAACCCCATCTCTACTAAAATTACAAATATTAGGCAAGGATGGTGGCATGTGCCTGTAATCCCAGCTACTTGGGGTGGCTGAGACACGAGAATCGCTTGAACCCGGGAGGTGGAGGTTGCAGTGAGCTGAGATCGCCTCACTGCACTCCAGCCTGGCTGCACTCTAGCCTGGGCAACAGAGTGAGACTTTGTCTAAAAAAAAACAAAAAACAACTGTCTCTGGCATAACTTGAGAAGGGAGAAGCTAGAAGAGACCTTTGGTTTCATCAGGTCCAAGCACTGCTAACCATTCAGCTATTCTGTGGGCAGAATGTCTTTGTTCTTCCAGGTGCAACTTCAGCAGCTGTGGGCCTGAACTGACAGTGCGGGGTAAGGATATCACTCTCTCCATGTGAAACAAAGCAGGACTACAGGAAAGCAGGCTGATTTGGAAAGGCCAGGCCCACCCAGGACAAGAGGCAGTGCTGAGTGTTTGGCTCATGACAAAACATAATTTACAAATTTACTGGCTTCAAGGATGTAAAAAGTTATAATTTACTGGCTTCAAGGGTGTAAAAAGGCCTGCTTCCTAGCCTAGCTGCAAGCAGCAACTCAGTCCATGATCAGCAGATTTTCTGAAGCCTGGGGGTGGGATGCATGTTGTTAACCTCTGATGCAGATGTCTGCTGAGAGTCTGTAATCTGTGTGGTCATGAAGATGAGATTTCATCCATCAATTGCTTGACAAGGGCTATCATCGTATCTCTGGGCCTGCGTGGCTCTCAACACACGACGTAAGAAACATATTGGACAAAAGCATTTCCTGGGAGAATTCTCCAGCAAGAATTCAGCCATTGGCAAAGAATCTTTCAAGTGGCCCTATCTCACTGGAGACAAGTAAACATATACGCAGTGCATATGTGAATATACACTCCTTCAAGGTGCTGCACTTTCCTAGAAACAAAAAGAATGAGAGGAAAAAGCTTTACAGGCATCCTGTTAGGATGCTTTCTCTCGTTTATTTTTAGGCTCTTTTCAGCTCTGTGCTAAGAGGGGAGGCAAAGGAAGGGCTTACCCAGAATGCAAAGCTTTTTAGTGAGGGTTTGGGGTGTGCAAATTTGTTAAAGTGGTGAAAACCCAGTGTCTATGGAAGTTCACAGCATCCACAGCACTCAGAGCCCCCCAAATATCTCTGGCCCTTGTGTTCACTAATTCCAAGGAATTCTCAGCCATTCCAGGGGACTGTGGGGATCCCCCTGAAACCACTACAATTACCCAGAATGTGCCCCTCCTAACACATAGGCATTGAACCAGTTCCTAACTCTCCCCCAACTCTCACAGATCTCTAGTACTTTAAGAGCCATATGGCACACATGCTTAGCCCTCAGCCTTCTGCCTAATAGGGGAGTGCTTTGCCAGGGAAAAATAAGATTAGGGAAGAGGACAAAGAAAGAAGAAGAGAAGGAGTTTCCATATCCATTAATGAATTCATTCAACAGATGGTTATGGAACACTTACCATTTTCCAAAGACCGTACTATGGTGTGGGTTATAGAATAAGAAACAGCCTGGCTTTTGAGGAGTAGAAACTGTCCGGTGGAACTAACATTAAAAGGTGGTAATATAACATGACAATTGTACTGATGCACATAGACCCTGGGGTGTTTTAGGGACATAGAGGATGGCACCAAACCTAGACTGAGGGCATCATCCAGACAGATACATGCTCTTGTTTCTGTGAGTCCTGTGAGGTGAGTCACTCACAAAGAAAATGTAAAGAAATAACTCAGAATAAATAAAAAGATAGATGGCACAGTAAGCTTGGCAGATTGATGTTGGAGAACGTCAGTTTTGGTGGCAACAATCTGCAAGGTTGTCTAATTTTCTCCTGCACCACTCGGCTGCCCGGATGCAAAAGCAGACAATGGATTGTGGCTCTGATCTGAGTTTTATTGGGCAGATGCTGCAGAAGGGCTTGTTTGAAAAGGGAATAGGATGTTATTGAGAGAACAGTTCAGATGACCAACCAGGGATCTGAAATTAGGTAGAGACAGTAAGAGAGACTGATAAACTATGAGGAAGCAAAAGAACCAAGTGACTGGAGGTCTATAGGCTGTCAATGTACAAATGTGGCAGGAGTAAGCACATGAGAGGGCTGGAGGATAGGATGCTCACTCATTTATTCCTCAGATGTTTATTGAGTGCCTTCAGTGTCCAGGTAGTGTTCTAGTTCTGAGAGTACATCATGCACAATGCTATTGGGAGGAGAAAACAATAAATAAAATCATAATAATAAACAAGTAAATTATGTAATATGTTAAAAGGTAATAAGTACTATGGTTGGATGGGGGCAGGGGAAGAGAATAGAGCAGAATAAGAATTCAGAATTCCGAGGATAGGGTATAATTTTAAATAGGGTTGTCATCATAGCTCTGGTTGAGAAGGTAACATATGAACACACAATCAGGAGAGAAAGAGGATGAGCTATGCAGATACATGTATTGAAATATTCCAGGCAGAGAGAACAGCCACTTCAAAGCCTCGCAGTGTGTGAGTGCCTGGTGTTTTCAAGGAAAAGCAAGGAGGCTGTGTGGCTGGAGTGGAGTGGGCCTGGAGAAGATGTAAGAAATGAGGTCAAGAAACAACAGGGATCGAGTGTGTAGGCTTTGTAGACTCTGGTAAAGACTGGCTTTCCCTCTGGGAAATAGAGAGTCATTGTGGGGTTTTGAGCACAGAAGTGATGTGATCTTATGTCTCTTTAATGGATTACTCTAGCTGCTATGTTGAAAATAGACTTGAGGGAAGTGCCAGGGTAGAAGCAGGGAGACCAGTTAGGAGGCTATTGCAATAATCCAAATAAGAAATGCAAAGTAAGACTTTGATCAGGTGGTGGCAGCAGAGGTGGTGAGAAGGAGTTAGATTCTGGATGTATTTCGAGGATAGAGCCAACAAGATTTATGACAGATTGGATGTGGGTAGTGAGCAAGAGTCAGGATGACTCCAAGGTTTTTGGTCCAGGCAAATTGAAAGGTGGAGTTGCCATTAT
This sequence comes from Homo sapiens, assembly GCF_000001405.40. Taxonomy (NCBI): domain Eukaryota; kingdom Metazoa; phylum Chordata; class Mammalia; order Primates; family Hominidae; genus Homo; species Homo sapiens. The sequence goes on along the minus strand of NC_000003.12, from coordinate 120,198,364 downwards.
CTGAAATGGGGAAGAAGGTGAGCAATTGAGAGGGAGACTTGGAGTTAAATTTTGAACAGATTGTAGTCAAATTGGTGTTGGGATATTGGTGTTTACAATTCCTGAAGGGGAACCATTCTGAGTGACCCTAAGACCCAGAGTGTAACCTGGGGATGGGTGTCTGAAGAGGAATAAAGTGAAATCATTATGATTGAATAATTTAGAACTCTGGAGGCTGAAAAGCTAATGAAATCTCCTAGGATGTTCTACGAGGATGGTGGCCCAGGCACGAGAGTAGGGAACGGGGTCAGGCCTTATGATGGATACTTTAAATACAAATAGTTAGAGGTCACACTAATATTAGCTTGAGGTGTGCAGAATTTTAATTGGGTGCAGATTAGTGTATACATTAGAAATAAGCAAGATATTAAAAGATCAAATTTGCTGAAACACATCAGATAACATTATGATAAAGGTATTTGGAGTTTTATTTGAGTTAGATTTACAATCCCATTGTAGCATGGATCAAAAACAGTAAGTTGATAAAGAAATCAGATAAATTTTCACAATTTAAATTTTAATTGTTTTATTAAAAAGCATTTTGGAAAGACATTCATATTTGGTTTTGGATAGGTTAAAGCTCAGTGATACCATTTACATCAATTTTTATAGCATTTTAGAGAGCATGGTCTTGTGACATCTTAGGATAAGTTTTCTGTTAGTCACAGCATGCCAACAAGTACCTTGTGCTCCATTCTCTGGCCATGTTTTCAGACTCAGTAACTTCAAATAAAATAAACTGCCAAGTTGAGAAATTAACATTTGATAAAGTTTTTGCAACATCATACCATTGAGCTGGTGGATGTGGCTTAAGCATCTGAATTCATTAGAGACTATTGAAATGATAATGCAGAATTATACAGGTTTTGCAGATGTAGTTCAATATTTATCTATATGTATTGAAACCTCACTTGAGGATAGAAAAATCAAGCAAGTTCTTGTCTTACATTTCCACTCAATAAATGAAGAGGAAGAGATAATGAGAAAGCTATATAATCCTTTAAAAAAAAAATTCACCTTGTTTCTGACTGACAGTAACCCAATTCAGGCTTTTTACTCTTCATAAATGGAAGACAAGTAACCTAGATAGTACTGGCTATCTATAATTAAATATACAATATTGAAATCTATTTGCTTTGTGGAAATTATGTGTTTGTGGCTGATTAAAATATTCAGCTATGTAGGCTTCATCTTTTAGCTCAATAGAAAAATATAAATGACATTGGTGACTGAATTCCTACCAACGTGGCAAAGACATTCCCCAGACATACATAATTCACCTGCTGAATTGGAGATGATTCACCTTTCAGTGACTTCACAGGTGTTAACTTGGCCAAACAAAAAAGGGAAATCATCTTGTATTCATCTTTTGTTCCCTGAGGCAAGTTTTCAGTAAGATTGCTCGGGAAAAATATCACAATATACATATATAAGTCCATAGTATGTCTATTTGAATAATGAATTAGCACCACTGTCTGAGAGGTGAAAACTATTCAATGTATATTTTCTGGAAAATAACTAAATTGAGTTCCTCTTAACTAAATCAGAAAGAGAAGGAATCCTCAATCAGGATTTCATGTAGTACTGTATCACTCAAAGGAAAACTGATTGTATAGTGGTACTCAAATAAAGTGGGTCCAAAGAAAAATTATGAGAGAAACGTACCGATCAGTGATCTGGACCAAACAGACATGTGGCTGTGAAATCCAGGCAGTTGCTTGGTGACGAGGTCACCATCAGATAGTCATGGCTTATGTGCAGGAATGTGAGAATGGCCATGGGGAGGAATGGCCTGGGTTATGGGTCTTGCAGGAGTCCCACTGCTTGTGCCATTGCTCAAACTTCTGACTGCCCTGTGCAGCCGGTGCCAGGTCAGCAGTACTCTCTGCTCTGAATCAGTGTCAGCACTGGTCTCTCTAATGTAGTACCTTTCTTCAAAAAATGCTTTGTGAAGCTGCTGGTTAGCACTGTTCTTACTTCTGTAGTTAATATTCACCACATATTCCCCTTCTTTTGTGGAGAGATAAAGAAATTAAGGAAAATCACTCTCCATAAGTCCACAATCTGAAGACATGGAGGCTGAGGAGGCAGACCTGAATGAATAAGTGGATCATATGATAGGGCTAGATCTTAAATTTGGATACAGGAGACTTAAGGTAAACCACAGAAGCTTGTTGTTTATACATGTAGCTCTTTTGCTAAATATAAATGTGGCATGTGAAGATTAATAAATCTGAATGTAATGTACAGAATGTACTAGAACAGGAAAAAATTGGTGTTTACTGAGAGCTGAAGGTTACATCAAAAATCTAAAAAGTAATATTTTTGCATCATCTTAAAGTTTGCAAACAGTTTTGGCACATACATCATCTCATCTTTGCAATAACCTGTGGGGTAGATACAAAAGATGATGTTATTTTCATTTTCCAGATGAGGAAATAGGAGCCTGTTTCCTGGTCAGACAGGCTTAGTCAGCTGTGAGTGGCAGAGCTGGTGTTCCCACCTGTTACCCTCAACCCCAGTTCCATTGCTCCTAACATGATTGTATCCTGGATAAACATGGTATCAAGAATGGAGAGGCCAAGCGCGGTGGCTCACACCGGTTATCCCAACACTGTGGGAGGCCGAGGTGGGCGGATCACCTGAGGTCAGGAGTTCGAGACCAGCCTGGCCAACATGGTGAAACCCCATCTCTACTAAAAATGCAAAAATTAGATGGGTGTGGTGGTGCGTGCCTGTAAACCCAGCTACTGGGGAGACTGAGGCATGAGAATCACTTGAACCTAGGAGGTGGAGGTTGCAGTGAGCCGAGATTGCCCCACTGCACTCCATCCTGCACAATAGAACAAGACACTGTCTCAAAAAAAAAAAAAAAATGGAGAGTGAAATTTGGGAGGCTGAGGCAGGCAGATCACTTGAGGTCAGGAGTTTGAGACCAGCCTGGCCATCATGGCAAAAGCCTCTCTCTACTAAAAATACAAAAATCAGCCTGGCGTGGTGGTGGGCACCTGTAATCCCAGCTGCTCGGGGCTGAAGCAGAAGAATTGCTTGAACCTAGGAGGCAGAGGTTGCAGTGAGCCAAGATCATACCACTACACTCCAACCTGAGCAACAGAGAGAGACTCTGTCTCAAAAAAAAAAAAGGATGGAGAGTGAGAGAAAACTCAGAGACTTTGAAATAAGAAGTGAAAGAGGCCGGGCACAGTGGCTCACACCTGTAATCCCAGCACCTTGGGAGACCGAGGCAGGCAGATCATTTGAGGTCAGGAGTGCGAGACCAGCCTGGCCAACATGGTGAAACCTGTCTCTACTAAAAACACAAAAATTAGCTGGGCATGGTGGCGGGCACCTGTAATCCCAGCTACTCGGGAGGCTGAGGCAGGAGAATCACTTGAACCAGGGAGGCAGAGGTTGTGGTGAGCCAAGATCATGCCATTGCACTTCAGCCTGGGTGACAGAGCAAGACTCTGTCTCAAAAAAATTAAAAAAAGAAGAAGAAATGAAAGAAACTTGGCAATTGATTGGGTGTTTCTGATAAAGAAACAGAAGAAGGAAAAGGTGATTCCTAGGTTTCTAAAACCTGGAAGAGGTGGACAGTGAGATTATAATATAAGCAGCTGATGTTGGCAACATGCCTACTATGTGCCAGGCCATGTGCCAAGCATTTTGCCATATTGCCTTATTAAATCCTTACAACTCTTTGAAGGTAGATCGCATAATTATTATTCTCATTTTAGAAAAGGGTGTGCATGAAAGTTGCTCTCACTTTTAGAAAAAGAAAAAAATCTTCCCTCCAAAACAAGGCTAAGCTCAACTGGATTCACTGGCCTATGCTGACAGTACCTGGGGCCTGGGACAGTGGTTTGGTGTTCTTGTGTGTATGGATGTATTACAATGTCAGACACAAAGTAACTAAGCCGTGCTCCTGGCGGTTATGATGCTTGCAAATCCAGCACTGCCAAACTGTTTAGTGCCTCCTAGGTGCTTTGCCTGTGGTTAGAACAAGCTTCACTAAGTGGATAGTTTTGCCTTGGCCCTGCCTTTAAGGCAGTCTGCCATGTCATCAAGAGACATAGGTAAGAATGCTCTCCTCCTTAGTTATGATTTAAAAATAAAAGTATAACAAAGTATAATTATCAAATGACTATTAGTAGAAATGTTGCATTTATATACACTATTTAGATTACAATTCTTAAATACAATGTCTTTCCTTCTTGTTACTTGTAATTAATTAGTATCAGTCACTGTCCAGTGTGAGCCTGGCATTGCCCTTAGGTTAACCAGTTCACATCCTGAACTTCTGTTGGTGCCCAGGGTATTTGTCTGAAACCCTGATTATTTACATCTCCCTCTAACTTTCAAATTTGTCTCCAATCTCATCTAAAACTATTAATACTTGAGAAAAGGCCTTTCCCCAATTTCCTGCTTCTAATCCCTTTATCCTCTTTCTTTCTTGGAAAAGTAGAGGAAAATGGTTTACATATCAAATAAAGTAAATAGTATATGAAAAAAAAAAAACCTCTAAGGGCTCCAAACTCTGTGGATATCTACCTGCTGGTTATTTATTCACTAAGCTGCACATAGCAATCCCCTAGCAACCATAAACTTCATGCATAAAATCCCAACTCTTCTCCAATACCACCTGTTTGTAGGTAGTCATCCTTCTTTTAAAAGACTTGGGAGTTATACAAGGAATAAGTGCCAGAGTTTAGTTCTTTGTGAAAATAAATTTAAAGAAATTATAAGTTTTCACAGGGCTGTAAAGATGTTTCTTCCCAGTGGTCCTTCACTCCAAGGCTGCACTGGAGATTATGCTGGTGAGGAAGCTTTGGTCTCGTAGGTCTTTGGCCCCAAGGCAAAAGGTCATGGCTGTAAGTGTCTTTCTTCCTGATCCCCTCTAGGATTGTGAAGATGTCCAGTCCCAATCTGAACATTGTGACCTTACTGGGCAGTTGTCTCACTTACAGTAGCGCTTACCTCTTTGGGATTCAGGATGTTTTAGTGGGGAGCTCAATGGAAACTCTCATTCAGGTAGGTGAAGTTTTAAAATTTGGTTTTGACTATAAAGTTTTGATTATTTTTTTAAACCAGCTGCTCCCGTGGGTGGTGGTTTCCTTTATCCTTGGAGTGGGCACTTTTCGAGGGAATCCCAGAACACTTGGTGAGGTTCACTCTGTACCTCGTGCGCTCTGTGGGACCCAGACCCTACAGATCAGAGTGTGTGGAGAACTGATAAAGGTTCCTCTTGTGACTCTTCTGTCCCCTTCCACCCATAGACAAGACTGTCCATGCTGTGCATTGGGACCTCCCTTGTGTTTGGCCCCATTCTGGGAAAGAGCTGGCGACTCTACAAGGTGTTTACCCAAAGGGTCCCGGACAAGAGAGTGGTGAGTAGGCAGCAAGTACACAATGCTTGACTGTAGATGGTAGCTTCAGCATTGGTTAACAGCTAGAGAAGCTCATGCACATTACTGAGCCTAGCCCCTTTCAGGACATCCAAAGTTCCTGTTTCTCATTCCAAACCCTGGAATCATGCAGCCTCATAAGGCCTCAGGTCTGGAAGGCTGTGGATCAGTGCTGTTGAAGATAGGGCTTCAAACGTGGGCTCTGGTTCCTATGTACCCCAGGCCCTGTGGGGACATGTGAGCTGGCCAATACCTGGCACCAGTGTGAGGCAGAACAAGATACCCAGAGACTGTTGTTTGGCACAGGTGCGAGCTGGAAGTGAAGGGAGGAAGAGTGATTACAGAGAAACTATAGCAAGTAAGTAGTTATTTCCTTCCCTGGAGTCCAGTTCTTTTCTATGTAGAAGGCAGTTCTCTGTACTGAGAAGGATGTGCCCAAAGCAGTGAGCAAGGAAGAGCAGATAGAATCAACTCTAAGTTATGTAGCAGCCAGATCACCGACATGTCCCTGGTATCAGTCATCAACTTAACCACATTTCCCCATTTTATCAGGTTGTCTGATGAGACTGCTCAAACCTCAATTCCTGACCATTATCCTCATTGGGTATAGGCCCTGCCCAGACCCAATATATCATTCAGTTGGTGTTTACTTCTCTGGAATGATGGGAATTTATTTTAGCAAATGTTATTGAATCATGGTGCATACTTACCAAAAGCTCAGCTGTGAGCAACCATACCTATGAAGAAGATTGCCTAAAAGGACAAAAACTGCATTCATCCCTCAAGAACACCAATTTCTTTTTTAAACAGCTTTACTGAAGTATAACTGACATGCAGTGAACTGCACATATTTAAAGCATATGATTTGATAAATTGTGACATGGATATACAACCAAGAAACATGGTGCATAATGAACATATCCCTCATCTTCAAAAGCTTCCTTGCAACCCTTTGTTATCTCCCTCCCCTGTCCAATCCTTATATCCCTTGTTCCTATCCTCAGAAAATCATTGATTTGCTGTCACTGTAGATGAGTTTGCATTTTCCAGAGTTTTACATAAATGGAACCATGCAGTATGGACTCTGTTTTCTCTGGCTTATTTTACTCACATAATTGTTTTTATGAATATTATAGTTATTTATCTATGTTGTGTGCATCAATAGTTATTTCTTTGTTATTGCTGAGTAGTATTACAATGCATAGACACAATTTGCTTATCTGTAGATGGATGTTTGGGTTATCGCCAGTTGTGGCGATTAAAATTAAAGCTGCTATGAACATTCGTGTACAAAGTCTTTGTTTAGACATAGGCTTTTATTTCTCTTGGGTGAAAACCTAAGAGTATGGTTGGATCATATGGTAAGTGTATATTTAACTTTTTAAGTAACAGTCAGACTGTTTTTCGAAGTGGTTGTACCATTCTGCATTTCCACCAGCAATGTATGAGAGTCCATTTCCTCCACATTCTTGGCAACATTTGATTTGATCAGTCTTTTTCATTTTAGGCATTCTAATAGGTATGTGTGGTAGTATCTCATTATGCTTTCAAATTTGCATTTCTCTAATGCAGTATTGAGCATTTCTTCACTTGCTTATTTGCCATCCATACACCTTCTTTGGCAAACTTTCTGTTCAAATCTTCCACCCATTTTTTTTTTTTTTCTGAGACAGAGTTTCATTCTTTCGCCCAGGCCGGAGTGCAGTGGTGTGATCTTGGCTCACTGCAACCTCTGCCTTCTGCTTTCCAGCAATTCTCCTGCCTCAGCCTCCCAAGTAGCTGGGATTACAGGCACCCACCAGCACACCCGGCTAATTTTTGTATTTTTAGTAGAGATGGGGTTTCATCATGTTGACCAGGCTGGTCTCGAACTCCTGACCTCGTGATCCGCCTACCTTGGCCTCCCAAAGTGCTGGGATTATAGGCATGAGCCACCACACCCAGCCTCACTCATTTTTAAATTGGATTTTTTGTTGTCTTATTATTGAGTTTTGTGAGTTCTTTTTATATTCTGGATACAAACCCTTTATCAGATGTATGATTTGCAAAGATTTTCTTCCAGTTTGTTCTTTTGTTCCTTTTACTTTCATTTACTTCAGAATGTCTTTCAAAGATAAGACATTTCTCATTCTGATGAAGTTGAATTTACCAATGTGTTCTTTGTTTTTAGGTTTCTTGTTTATTTGTTTGTTTGTTTTTGTATTTTTAGTAGAGACGGGGCTTTACCATGTTGGCCAGGCTGGTCTCAAACTCCTGGCCTCAAGTGATTCACCAGCCTCAGCCTCCCAAAGTTCCAGGATTACAGGCATGAGCCACCACACCCGGCCCCAATGTGTTCTTTTATGGATCATGTTTTTGGTATTATATTTAAGAAATTTTTGCCTAACTTAAGGCCCCAAAAGGTTTTCTCATGTGTTTACTTCCAGAAATTTTAGAGTTTTAGCTTTGACATTTAGGCCTATGATCGGTATATGGTATGATGTATTGATTGAATTTTAGTTTTTTACATATAGACATTTGATTATTCCAACATCATTTGTTGAAAAGATTGTCCTTTCTTCACTGAATTACCTTTGTGCCTTTGTTAAATCAGTTGTCCATAAGTGTGTAGATCTATTTCTGGACCCTCCATTCTGTCTCACTGATGTGTCTATCTCAACAGCAATGCCATATTACCCTGATTACTGTAGCTTTATACTAAATCTTGAAATCAGGTAGTATTAGTTCTTTGACTTTCTTCTTCTCTTTCAATGCTGTTTTGGCTAATCTGGGTCCTTTGAATGCCCATGTGAATTTTTGAATCAGTTCACTGATTTCTACAAAAATTCTTTTGGGATTATGTTGAATCTAATAGATCAAATTATGGAGAATTGGCTTCTTACTAATGTTGTGTCCTTTGACCCATGAACCCATTTATTTAGGTCTTTAATTTTTCCCATCATTTTTTTGTACTTTTCAATATTGCTCTTTCACATCTTTCATCAAACTTATTTCTAGGGATTTTATATTTTTATGCTATTTTATATGTTACTATTTTTTTAAATTTCACTTTCCAGTTGTTTGTTGCTAATAAATAGAAATATAATTATTATTATTATTTTTTTTTGAGATGGAGTCTCACTCTGTCGCTTAGGCTGGAGTGCAGTGGTGCGATCTCGGCTTACCGCAACCTCCGCCTCCCGGGTTCAAGCAATTCTCCTACCTCAGCCTCCCAAGTAGCTAGGATTACAGGTGCCTGCTACCACACCTGGTTAGTTTTTGTATTTTTAGTAGAGATGAGGTTTTACCGTTTTGGCCAGGTTGGTCTCAAACTCCCAACCTCAGATGATCTGCCTTCCTTGGCCTCCCGAAGTTCTGGGATTACAGGCATTAGCCACCATGCCTGGCCACAGAAATATAATTAATTTTTATATGCTTAGCTTGTATACTGCAACCTTGCTAAACTACATGTTAGTTCTAGCAGCTTTTTTATAGAGTCTATCAGATTTTCTACAAAGATGATCATATCAGCAGTGAATAAAGATAATTTATTTCCAATCTCTTGTCTGATTGCACTGGCTAGATACAATAGTACAATCTGAATAGAAGTGGTGAGAGCAGATATATTTGTTATTCTTGATCCTATGGGGAAAACAGTCAAAACTAAGAATGATATTAGCAGTAGTTTTATTGTAAATTCCATTTATCCAGTTGGGGCAGTACTATTCTATTCTTATTTTGCTGAGAGTTTTAATCAAGAACTGATGTTGGGTTTTGTCAAAAGCTTTTTCTGGGTCTATTGAGATGATCATACAGTTTTTCTTTTCTTAGTTTATTCGCATGGTGGATTATGTTAAATGGTTTTTTTTTTAAACCCTTACACAATAGACTTTATTTTTTAGAGTAGTTTTAAGTTAACATAAAAATTGAGCAGAAGGTACAGAGGTTTTACATATACAGTCTTTCCCCACACATGCATAGCCTCTCCCATTATCAATATTCCCCATCAGAGTATATACTTATTACAATTGATGGAACTACATTAATACGTCATTATCACCCAGAGTCTGTACTTGACATTAGGGTTCACTTTTGGTGTTGTACATTTTATGGGTCTGGACAAATGTGCAATGACATGTATCTACCATTACAGTATCATACAGAGTAGTTTTACTGCCCTAAAAATCCTCTATGCTTCTGCTCATTATCTCTTTCTCTCCCCATATGTTAAATGATTTAGGGTGTCAAACCAACCTTCCATCCCTGGGATTAGCTTCATTTGGTCATGCTACATTATCCTCTTCATATATTGTTGGACTCAGTTTTATAAAAACTTTGTTTAGAATTTGTACATTCATGTTTTTAATACATATTGCTCTGTGGTTGCCTTGTAATATATTTTTCTAGTTTTGGTATCAGGGTAATGTTGGCTTTATAAAATGAGTTGGGAACTATTCCCTTCTTTTCAATTTCAGGAATAATTTCTATAGAATAGCATAATTGGCACTCATGTATAAGTACCTTACAATAGTATGCTTCCTTTTATCCCCATTCCTATCTTTGCTGTTACATGTTATAGGCCCCATGCAATTCTTTTGTTTAATAAATCAATTATCTTTAAAAATATTTTATTTTTTTATTTTTAAGACCCAGGACAACATGCTGAATTTTGTTATTTTCTTTAATGATATTTAAATAATGAAAACTAATCATGTATTTTTCTGTTTAGTTACCATTTCCAGTGTTCTTAATTTCCTGTATAGATCCACATTTTTATCTCATATTATTTTCCTTTGCCTGAAGGATATCTAACATTCCAGTGTGGGTGTGCTACTACTGAATTCTTTCAGCTTTTGATTATCTGAAAAAGTCTTTATTTTGCCTTCATTTCTGAAAGATATATTACTGAGTATAGAATTCTAGACTGAAATTTTCTTTTCTTCTTCTAGTACTTTCAAGATGTTCCTGCACTGTCTTCTCACTTGGCCTTGTATCTGATGAGAAGTGTCAGGTTTATTTTATGTCTACACAAAATGTGTCTTTCTTCACTGCTTGCTTTGAGTAGTTTCCCTTTATCACTGGTTTTGAACAGTTTGATTAGGCAATTGGTTTGTTTTTAATTTTACAAACACCTTGAATCACGTAACTGGTTGTGCTTCTTTTCACTGGTTGTCAAAAGCTCAGATCCACATTTCTTCTGCTCCAATTAGTAAATGCTATTATATATACACTCTTCATCTGAGCCTTCATCATAATTCCCTTTATTTTCTCTCTTCCCGGTTGTTAAATATTTTAATCCTATCACAGTATATATTTTTCTCAATTTTATTTTTGTAGTCACAAACTAACACATTCTCTTCATCCTAAGTCAAATACGGATGGTCCCTGACATAAAACAGTTCAACTTACAGTTTTTCTATTTTACAATGGTGTGAAAGCAATCCACATTCAGTAGAAACCATACTTAAAATACCCATACAACCACTCTGTTTTTCACTTTCAGCACAGTAGTCAATACATTTTATGAGATATTCAACACTTCATTATAAATTAAATTAAGCTTTGTTTTAGATGATTTTGCCCAGGTGTAGGCTAATATAAGTGTTCTGAGCACATTAAAGGTAGGCTAGGTTAAGCTGCAATGTTTGGTAGCCTAGGTGTATTAAATGCATTTTTGACTTATGATATTTTCAACTTATGATGGGTTTATCCGGACATAACCCCATCATAAGTCAAGATCATAAGTCAATCTGTAATTCATATGTATATAATGAAAATGCTAATGATTCTTCCTGCATCTCTGAGTCCCACCCTCTCAGTTAATAGTTATTAACATTGTGGTGTGACATTCATATCTATGTGCTTATATAAACATATAGAAATAATAGTTTATTTATTTTATAAAACACCTTGAGTCCTTTGTGGGAAAAGGTAGGATATGAAGAAGTTAAACAAATGGAAATGTGTAATGCTAATAATGATATCAGCATAGAAGTCATTGTAAATGTTTGGTGTCTGTTTCATTTTTGATAGCTACATTTGAAGCTCCTTGGGAGGGCTGACCTTGGAGCATATAGCTGAGAGCACATGGGATACTCTAGCCCCTCTGTCATTTAGCCAGTCAACAAGGAGAAGTTTTGACCTTGACTCTTTTGCAGATTATCAAAGACCTGCAGTTGCTGGGGTTGGTGGCAGCCCTGTTGATGGCTGATGTGATCCTGCTCATGACGTGGGTGCTGACTGATCCCATCCAGTGCCTCCAGATTCTCAGTGTCAGTATGACGGTGAGGGGCCAAATCCCTAGAGAATCTCATCCCCAAACTGGACTGACCTCTGTGGATACACAGGAGTCATCCTTGCAACAAGAAGATAAAGGACTCCAAGAGGAGGGAGAGTCAGGAGTTGTGGCTTCCATGTAATTCTTGCCCTAGTCTGCTGCCACTCCCACTGCTCCTCCTGCCCGAGTGTCTCTTTGTGGGCATACAATGAGATATCAGCATGCTGGAATCTGCCTGGCAGTTCTGCCACTTCCACATTATCAATAATTAAAACTTTCAGCTATCGGCAGTTACCTTCCCCTAATTGTAGAGGTGGAGGTAGTAGTTTAAGGTGGCCTTTGGAGTCAGTCAACCCTGGTTCAAATCCCAGCTCTACCAAGCTCACCAGTTGTGTGACCTTGGGAAAGTTATGTAACCTCTCTAAGTCTGTTTCCTAATTGGTAAAATTGAGATAATAATACTACCTATCTCATAGGGTTGTGGCAAAGATTAAATGAAACAATGTAGGTAAAAGACTTAACCATGTCCAGTACATACTATTCAATTAACAAGAAGTATGGCCGGGCACGGTGGCTCACGCCTGTAATCCCAGCATTTTGGGAGGCTGAGGCAGGTAGCTCACTTGAGGTGAGGAGTTTGAGACCAGCCTGGCCAACATGATGAAACCATGTCTCTACCAAAAATACAAAAATTAGCCAGGCGTGGTGGCACATGCCTGTAATCCCAGCTACTTGGGAAGCTGAGGCAGGAGAATCTCTTGAACCCAGGAAGCAGAGGTTGCAGTGAGCTGAGATTGCACCACTGCACTCCAGCCTGGGTGACAGAGTGAGACCCTGCCAAAAAAAAAAAAAAATTATTATATATCTCCAGCCTCACGAGGGGCTGAGGAATACAGTGGAATCATGGAATCGTGACACTGCAAGATTAATGTTTAAGGATTCAATGATTTGCAAAAAGCAGGTGCATAATGAAATAGTTTATAGTTTTGTTGAGGCACTAATTTGATTGGGGTAGCAAAGCACATAAATGAGGGGTAAGCCCTAGTGTCACCAAGCACACAGCTGTTAGCCCAACTTTATCATCTCTTCTCCTAACACGTAGTCACTCTCATTTAGGTTCTAGTGGAGTCACCTAAATGCTGCAGTTTTTACATACTGAGGGGGTATCATGTACTCTAGAAGAATTCATGCTCCAGCATGTTCACAAAGATCTGCTTTGTGTTCCTGGTAATTGTGGGCACCTCCAGTTCTGACTCTGTGTCCCTTCTAGGTGACAGGGAAAGACGTGTCCTGCACTTCGACCAGCACCCACTTCTGTGCTTCCCGGTATTCCGATGTTTGGATTGCTCTCATTTGGGGATGCAAGGTTGGTAACCACATCTGATATGGTCTCTGTCACCAAGAAAATGGATATGAAGAGGGAATTACAGGAATTAACGAGGTGATGTCTGCAAAGAATCTTGAACTCAGAGGAGACCTCTGTTGATGCATAAACTTCAAAGCCATGACTGTTTTTACTTTTCTATTTGTATTTGTTTGGGGGAGACCCTCCAACTCTTTAGACTCCCTCATTCAGTCCTCCCCCAAATCATCTGGAATTCACCCACTGTTTCTCCTATTTATTGGTCTGGTTTCTTAATTGATTTGACAATACCAGTTTTCCCTTCATCTTCCCTGCAAGAGGAATTATGAGGAGAAATTTGACCCAGCTTTATTTGTTCTCCTAAGTGCCCTTATTATGTCTCTTGTGTTTTCTTCAAGATTTGGGCGAAGGTGTCCTGGTGCCTTTCACCCACCTGACTTTCTCCCTCTGGTTGGAAGCAAGACTGGCTCTGAGACAGATGGCAGCATTCACAGGGCCCTTTGAGGGGTTCCACCTGTCTCACAGTGTCTCCCATACTGCCCCAAATCTCTCACCATTAGACTCATTTGTCTCTGTTAGATGGGCAAAAGTAGAATATTATTTCCAGAAGGTAGAGGATACCTGCATGGAGCACTGAGGATGGTCCTCAGAACAGGACAGCTGGTTTTCAGCTTAGGGAGACAGAGAACTGGTGCTGAGGGGTACAGGGCAGTCCTGATTCCATAAACAAGCAAGTCCTGCCTGACAGCAGACTACCTGTTGACTATCAGGGCAGAGAGTTCTGGTTGACTGATTACTGGCAGAGGAAAAGGAGGAGTTTTTGTAGAAATAAGTACCCTTTAAGGGTAAACTCTGGCCGGGCACAGTGGCTCACACCTGTAATCCCAGCACTTTGGGAGGCTGAGGTGGGTGGATCACTTAAGGTCAGGAGTTCGAGACCAGCCTGGCCAAACATGGTGAAACTCTGCCTCTACTAAAAATATAGAAATTAGCTGGGTGTGGTGGTATGCACCTATAATCCCAGCTACTTGGGAGGCTTGAGGCAGGAGAATCACTTGAACCTGGGAGGCAGAGGTTACAGTGAGCCAAGATTGCGCCACTGCACTCCATCCTGGGCAACAGAGCGAGACTCTATCTCAATAAAAAAAAAAAGGGGGGGTAAACTTTACCCACTTCACCACTAAGAAAGTATTAGAAGTTGTTGCTTGTGAGGAACAGGTTTAGGGGTAGGCCAGACTAGGGCAGGGAAACATTCCTTTTTAACTATGTGCAAATATTACTTTGACAGAAATATTTTTTAAAAGAAGACTCTAGGAAGTGAACAGCTCTTGATCTCCAGAATCTTGCTAATGGTTAAAAAAGGAGCTTTAGTTGTGACAGATCAGGGTTTGAATCTGACTCCGCCCCTGGCTAGCCAACCCTGAGCCTCATTTAACCTCTCTGAGCCTCAGTTTCCAAATTTTAAAATGCGGATGATGATAATATCCCCTCAGAACTGTTCTGTCTCTAAAGAGTTAATGCATGTTAAGAGTTTTCAGCCGCTCCTGGTCCATAGCAAGAGCTCAATAAATGTTAGATATTATTATTACTATTCTTCCACTGCCCCCTAGACACTTCTGGAAAATACATTGCCTCTGTTGGTTCCTTGAGTCCCTGTAGAAGAGTGTGTCCTCCCTAGCCCAGAAAGCCAGCACTTCCCCCATAGCTACTTACTTTGTGACTCAATTTGATTTATTTTCTCCATTGCCTTTTATATACTCTCATTTCCATTCTATTTTACTGTAATATCTTTCTGTAGGAAAAAGAAGGAAAAGGATGGAGCATCAGGAAACTTACTGAGCCAGACCCCATAGACTCCCTGGTCAGTGAGAAGCTCCTCAGGAGGACCCCAATCTCCACATTGAGTCCTAGGACCCCTGCTCTCTGTCAACTGCCCCCTACCCCACACTTCTCAGCAGTTAAGGCCAGTGATATGCAAGGATCAAATATGACTCACTCAGACACCAGCCAGGAATGTATAGACACTTGATTCACACCCATTTCCCCTTTAACAAGAATTTTAATGGAATTAAAAACTTTTAGTGGAATCATATCTGAACATTTCAAAATCACAGAATTAATTTCATTTGCCTTTTATTAAATTAGCAATGATCCAACTCTGCTGAATACCACCTGATGGCGTCAGTTACCCAAAAGTTGGGCTTCCCTGGTCTCCTGACTTATGTGTCCTCTAGTCATTGAAGATCTCAGGGTGGCCACATTTGGCCTTCAGGCCCCATTTGGGACACTGGGCATTAGGGGAACCTGGAAGGTATCTCTTCCATGCTGACTCCTTCCCTTCTGGCACAGCCAGTTCTCCAAAATATGTTCTTTAGTGTCACCCATGAAGGTGGAGTTGACCACGTCATATGATTTGAGGGTCACCAGCAGGTGTCCTGCTGATACCTGACTTTATTTTCATTATTAGTTCTCCCTCTGAATCCCACAGTCCCACCCCCACCTCGTCTCCCATGGCATCTTCACGTTCTGAGTCATCAACATGAACATTTTTAGGCTGGGCGCAGTGGCTCATGCCGGTAATCCCAGCACTTTGGGAGGCTAAGGCGGTTGGATCACCTGAGGTCAGGAGTTTGAGACCAGCCTGACCAACATGGTGAAACCCCATCTCTACTAAAAATACAAAATTAGCTCAGCATGGTGGCACAAGCCTGTAATCCCAGCTACTCGGGGGCTGAGACAGGAGAATCGCTTGAACCCGGGAGACGGAGGTTGCAGTGAGCAGAGATCATGCCATTGCACTTCAGCCTGGGCAACAAGAGCGAAACTCCATCTCAAAAAAAAAAAAAAAGAAGATTTTTGTGCTTACCTTAAATCTACCTACCAGACCAAGTGTTAAAAGCCAGGACCATGACTTCTTTGTGTCACTATTTTCTGCCCTACACGTACTATGGCACTGCACACATAGTCAGAAAGGTGAACCTAATTGAATCTATGTGTTATGTATTATTGACTAAAGCTTTGATTTCTGTATGAATGCAGCTCCTGTGGAGGGGGCAGCACTTTAAGGTGCTATGAGTTATTTTCTCCTTAGTACAAATGACAACTCTGAGAGCAGGTTTATATTCATAGGAAAGAGAACAGAATAGGGCCCTGGGTTCCTTGTAGGGGAGCAAGAAATGTCACAAAAAGGGTGAGAACTATAGATGGAGCTTTCGCTGTCTGTGCCTGCCCCACAGTCTTGCCTGGGTCCCAGCCTGCCTTTGTTCTCCCCTTTTTTTACCCTTCATCTCCCATAAACACTCACTGGCATGGAGCCGCTGCTAGCCTGTAGAGATCCTTTGTGTAAATTTTTTGAAGGCCCATCCCTTCTAGTCAGATGCAGTCTTGCAGGTGCAAGGCTTGGCAAGCAGATGGTGCCTTTGGGCAAATTAGAGAAAAGAGCCCCTTCCTATGGGCACTACCCTGGCTGTGGCACATGACTTGACAAGCAGATCAGAGGTCACTTTCAGCTTCCCTGTGCACCCTCAGCTTTGAGCAGGGCAACACCAGACAATGGCTGTGGTAGCACTCACTATCAGAGGTTCTGTGGGCCCACTGTCCTCCAAGTGCCCAACAGCTCTTTCTGTAGGGATACTAACCCACCCACATGATCCTGTCCTATGCCTTGTCTCAGAAGAGTCTTATTTAATGGCTGACTTGCTGACTTCTGATAAACTAATTCTCAGCAAAGGAGAGGAAAATAACATTTATTAAGTATCTAGTAGGTATAAGGGGCTGCCCTGAGGGTTTTCTTATGTGATATCTTAGTAAATCCTCATAGCAGTCCTTAAGGTAGGTATTATTATCCTAATTTTACAGATGAGGAAATTGGTTGCAAACCTACTGCTCATTGACCTCTTGTTCCACTTCTCTGAGCCTCCGTCACCTCTTCACCCCCCAGGGTCTGCTCCTGCTGTATGGTGCCTACCTGGCTGGCCTGACTGGCCATGTCAGCTCCCCTCCTGTGAATCAGTCCTTAACCATCATGGTGGGGGTCAACCTCCTTGTACTGGCTGCTGGGCTGCTTTTTGTAGTCACCAGATACTTGCATTCCTGGCCCAACCTGGTCTTTGGACTCACATCTGGAGGGATCTTTGTTTGTACAACTACAATCAACTGCTTCATCTTCATTCCCCAGGTATGGATTTTGCAGGGCTGGTCCTCTTAGTCACTCTAGAGTTTTTCACTGACAAATTGCTCATTTTGTTTTCTACTGATACCTTTCCATGCCACTTATTGGAGAGTCAGAAAGCAGACAGGGGATCCTAGTGAGCTGGTTGCCTTTGTCCTTTCTCACTGTCCTGGTCAGCAAGGGGGACAAGGCAGAGTGGTCCAAGCAGTGGTGGCAGCCCCTGTTTGCACTCTTCCACACCTGTGGTGCCTGTCCCTTGGGGGGGCTGCCTCGCAGTCCTGCTTTTCCATCCACCCTCTGGTCTGCTGCACTCGTTCCCCATCCTCCCCTCATTTCCATCATGTTATTACTATTTCTTTCACTAGCCTGGGAGCAAGGAACCTTTATATTTTTCCAATTGGGGATTGCAGACTCACAGGAAAAAATCCATTTAGATGGAACTTTATGATTTAAAGTGCTTTCTCTTTCTTTTTATTGGAGGAAAATACAGAACATTTCTCTGCTTTTTACAATAAGGAGAGGTAGAAACTAAATAAAAATATGTTTCATATTATGGGGATTTTAAAAAATCAAATGAGGGAGGAAGACAGAAGCAGAAATAGCCAGATAGCAAAGAAGAAAGGTAGTCAGAGGGAACAGAGAAGGAATCCTAGGCTCAGAAAGCAAGGGGATGTGGGATTGTTCATGCTACACCCTGGGGACCATCAAGCCACATATATCTAGGTTAATGAACTTGGCACTAGGTACTTTCTTGTTTCCCTCCTAGTTCTCCTTTTCTTCCCTCTGAGACCTCCCTCATCCCACTCCTCCTTCAAGACCCTGTCCTGATTCCCATTGCAACTTCCAGTTGACTGTAAACTAATTCCTCATGATGGAGCTAACTGATAATGTAAGTGTTGGCTGATGGCACGTTACAGTGTATTTGTGAAAGGGAAGAGTGCACTTTGGGTCATGATGGTATGACATGGGCATAGCCCTGTTACGATTCTTCTCTATCACAAATCCTCATTACAGTACTCAACAGAATACATAAATATGGAAAAATCTGCAGCAGCAGCACTAGAAACGATGGATGGCTATTGCCTCTGTGCCAGAAACTGGAGGAATTTTTGCCAAATCTTAATGCCGTAAAAACTGGAATGAAGGAAGCCATTTAGAGCTGAGGCTTGTTTGTCTGGGATGAGGCAGAAATGGGCTCTGAGAAGCAAGGACTGTTTCTCCCTGGGAGACCGGGGGCGGGGGCGGGGTGGGTGGGCAGGGGTAAGGGTAGGCAGGTGCCTTTTGGGAAGCCCACCCCTTAGGCCCTGCAGCCAATATTGTTGGATTGGTAGCGATCAACAATGCAGAGAACTGGTGCTGAAGGGTACAAGGCAGTCCTGATTCCATAAACAAGCAAGCCCTGCCTGACAGCAGCCTACCTGTTGACTGTCAGGGCGGAGAGGCCTGGTTGACTGATTACTGGCAGAGGAAAAGGAGGAGTTTTTGTAGAAATAAGTACCCTTTAAGGGTAAACTCTGGCCAGGCACAGTGGCTCACACCTGTAATCCCAGCACTTGGTGAGGCTGAGGTAGGCGTATCACTTGAGGTTAGGAGTTCGAGACCAGCCTGGCCAACATGGTGAAACTCTGTCTCTACTAAAAATATGAAAATTAGCTGGGCATGGTGGTGCACGCCTATAATCCCAGCTACTCGGGAGGCTGAGGCAGGAAAATCACTTGAACCCGGGAGGCAGAGGTTGCAGTGAGCCGAGATTGCGCCACTGCCCTCCAGCCTGGGCAACAGAGCTGCTAACCCCTTTCTTCCTTGCTTGCCTGCACTATAGAGACAGCAACAGCTAGACTCTTCTTTTGCCAGCTTCCCATAGAGATAGGAGTGCCTATATGACACCATTTTGAACACTAGAGGTTTTCTGAGAAGCTTCTGAGAAAGCTTTTGCTTTCCTGAAAAAGGTTATAAGCATGGCTAACATCACCCTTTTTACCTTCTTCCTGCCTTGAATGTATGTGATTCCTAGAGCTATGGCAGCTCTCTTGTGAACATAAGGAAAAGACTAAGAGAATATAGTTATAATACTAGGAAGATACAGCTCTTTCCATGTAAGATTATAAATTCTGGAGGAAATGATCTATGAAGGGAATCTGCAGTTCACAAGAAGAGGACTACAAATGTCTAAAGATTTAGAGAAGCTGCCTTCCTCTGGAGTAGAAGTGTTTAGAAGATACCGGACTTGTCAATAGAATTCAAAGGATATTGTCTCTTCTCAACTAAAGCAAACTATCATGAAAAAAAGCTAATCTTAATAAAATATTGAATAAGGATTAAAAATATGGTATTAAATTTAAAATCCCAATAGAAGCATTGACTGGGCAATTAGACACTACAAAATATTGAATTAGTGAATTACTTTAAGGAAACAGAAAATAAGGAAACAAATGAGAGACTAGATAAGAAAATATGGAAAATGGCCAGATGCAGTACCTCATGCCTGTAATCCCAGCATTTTGGGAGGCCGATGTGAGCGGATCACCTGAGGTCAGGAGTTCGAAACCAGCCTGACCAACATGGTGAAACCCCATCTCTACTAAAAATACAAAAATTAGCTGGGCGTTGTGGCATCCATCTGTAATCCCAGCTACTAGGGAGACTGAGGCAGGAGAATCGCCTGAACCCAGGAGGCAGAGGTTGCAGTGAGCCAAGATCACGCCATTGCACTCCAGCCTGGGCAACAAGAGCGAAAATCTGTCTCAAAAAATAAAATAAAAAGAAAAAAATAAAATATGGAAAACATCTAGGAATACAATTGAGAGCTGATAGGAGTCTCTGAAAGAGAACAAAATAATTTGGGGCAGAAGTCATTATCAAAGAGCTATCAGAGGAAAATGTTTCTGAACAAACAAAGCCTTGGTCAGAAAACTGAATGAATTGGCAATCTCCATGATGGCGCCCTGCTTACTGCTCCTCTCTCCATCCTCACCTCTCACCACTGCCCCCTTGCATCGTAAGCCTCAGCCACATCACTTCCCCTTTGCCTGGTGTTTGAGTCCTCAGCAGCTAGGACAATTGTGACATCTGGGTACTCTACACACAAAAATGCAGAATGAAGTGCTGCTTGAAATCTGCCTTCCAGGTTTTCACTAAGCAACAAACACTTGATTTGTTGAATTGGGAATGGAAATGGAATGATTATGAGGTACAGGAATTGGGTGGATGGACTGCACTGGCCTTGCTTTCCTTCTATCTCACTCCCTCTTTCCCTCCTAGCTTTCTTAAGCTTCCTTTCTCTTACTCTGTCTTTCCTCTTCCATTTTCTCCCTTGTGTTTTTTTTTTTTCTCCTCTGGAACTAACTGACCATGATGTGAAACTAAAAAATATATTTTGTAGTCTGTTGTATTTTAGGTTTAGATGGTAAGTAGTTCTTTTTCAAAATATAAAAGAAACTGAGGTTTGTTAGGTTTCTGTGTGTTTCCCTCTGGCTCCGAGGTCTTTGGTAGAAGAACGATTCTCCCTGTGATACTTGCACTGTGTATTCCTAGAAGATAATTTGGGAAAGTAATTTGAGTAAATTTGGGAAAGTGGGTGAGGGGAACTATCTGGGTAAGGGTTGGGGGTTGCAGCAAAACGGGGTTCCTTCTTGCCAGTGAGCTTTCAGACATGACTGTGATGGGAGGAGTTTGTGAAAGCAAAGGCACAGATACCCCCAGGGCAGCGAGGCAGCGCCAGAGAGCGGGTGAAATGGATGACATTACTAAGGAGACAAGGGGCCCAAGAAGCCTTCTTTACACAGGCACTCAGGAAATGCCTGAGTGTTTATGCCAAGCACTGAGGTCATCACTAGAAGTCAGCCAGCCGCTGCTGTTCTGACCTGAATATGACCCATCCCCCAGCCCTCTGCTCCCTCAGAGAGGCAGGCAGGTCCTAAGGTAGGACATTGTTTTCTCTCTCCTCTAACCCCGAAAGCATTTCATCTGCTCCTCCCTGAAGATGTGCAGGCCTTTCTAATCTGCCTTATAATTATATGTATATGTCCCAGCACCCCTACTAGACCAGTGAGCATTTTAAAGAAAGCTTCCTTCATTTGTTCATGCATGCATCCATCCATCCACTTATTAACTGCTGGGTACATGCACTTAAACACAGAGTCCGCCTCTAGGTCTAGTGGGGAGCAAACATGAAAGGAATTATCATACATGTGTTAAGAGCTTTGAGAAAGGCCTTCCCCAGCCCATCTGAGAACTCAGTGGCACCTTCTCAGAAAATGAGGCTGGGCATGGTGGCTCATGCTTATAATCCCAGCACTTTTCAAGGCTGAGGCGGGTAGATCGCTTGAGCCCAAGAGTTCGAGAGCAACCTGGTCAACATGGTGAAACCTGGTCTCTGCAAAAAATGCAAAAATTGGCTAGACGTGGTGGCTCACGCCTGTAATTCCAGCAGTTTGGGAGGACAAGGCGGGCAGATCACGTGAAGTCAGGAGTTTGAGACCAGCCTGGCCAACATGGTAAAACCCCGTCTCTACTAAAAATACAAAAAATTAGCTGGGTGTGGTGGCGGGCGCCTGTAATCCAGCTACTTGGGAGGCTGAGGCAGGAGAGTTGCTTAAACCGGGAGACAAGGGTTGCAGTGAGCCGAGATTGTGCCATTGCACTCCAGCCAGAGACAGAGTGAGACTGTCTCAAAAAATATAAAGCAAAAATTAGCCAGGCATGGTGGTGCATGCCTCTGGTCCCAGCTACCCAGGAGGCTGAAGTAGGAGGATCACCTGAGCCCAGGAGGTTGAGGCTGCAGTGAGCTGTGATTGTGCCACTGCACTCCAGACAGAGTAAGACCCTGTCTCAAAAAAAAAAAAAAAGAAGGAAGGAAGGGAGAGAGGGAGGGAGGGAAGGAGGGAGGTAGGAAGGAAGGAAGGAAGGAAGATGAGGTGTTCGAGCTCAGTCTTGAAGGAAACATAAGAGTTCATTGAAGAGATGGGGGAAAGTAGGTGGCATTTCTGATGGAATAACATCATGACCAGAGGCAGGGAGGCTAGAAAGAGAGTAGCGTATGTTTGGAGCACCATGGTCTTTGTTATTTTTGAAGCACAAATGGAAACCAGGGGGAGAATGACAGGACTGGGGAGAGACACACCTGGGGAGCTTCTGAGGCCCTGCTGGACCCTGTTAAAGAGTTGACATTTAGTCCCACCATATTAGTTTCCCACTGCTGCTATAACAAATTCCCACAAGCTTAGTGGCTTAAAATAATACAAGTTTATTATCTTAAAATTTTGGAGGTCAGAAATCTGAAATAGGTCTTATTTGGCTAAACTTAAGGTGTCAGGAAGTCTGTATTCCCTCCAGAGATGCAAGGGGAGAATCTGTTTCCTTGTCTTTTTCAGCTTCTAGAGGCCGTCTGCATTCTTGTGCTTATTGTCCCCTCCTCCACCTTCTAAGCCAGCCAGGTTCAAATCTGCCAGAAGAGATTCAAATCTTTCTCTCTCTCGCCCCTGTTTCCATTGTCACATCTCCTTCTCCAACTCTGGCTCTCCTCCCTCCCTCCTATAAGGATTCTTGTGATTACATTGGGCCCACTTGGATAACCCAGAATAATCACCCCTCTTGAAATCCTTAATTACATTTGCAAAGTCCCTTTTGCCACATAAGGTCACATATTCACAGGCTCCAGGAATTAGGATGAGAGAGAACATCTTTGAGAAGCCACTGTTCAGTCTGCCACACCCCCATAGCCCAGAGGCTCAGAAAACCAGAATCTGCCTGTCCTTCTGGAGGAAGGCAGAGGAGAGGCCCTGAATTGTGAAATTCATAGCTGGATTCCAGAAACCCTGAAGGGTTGAGCCTTAAGGAGTATCTTCACAAATGAGGAATGAAGGGCTAGAGTAATCAAGGGGTATCTTGGCTCCACTTGGCCAATTTAGAGACAGGAAGACCAAAAGCCCTGGGAGGGCCCTTACGCCAGTGCTGAGCTGCTCCTCTGCCAGCCCTGCAGAGAGGCCTCAGTCTGGGAGTGCTGGGGGAGATGAAGGAAAAGCTGTACTGCAGCACTGCCAGGGTCAGTGTGAGGAGAATAACCCTAGGAGGTCTGATTCATCCACCCAAGGCCACAGATGACCTTGTGTTGTTGGCTCCAGTAGCTCCCAAGTAGGATGGTGAGCTGAGAGCATCCTTTCGTGGGGAGGGGGCCTTCAAGAAGGGCATCTGAGAGGGGAGGTACCAGGCCTGACCCAACACAGGTCACACAGACTCCTGGTGCGATGATGGACTCATGATGAGTCAGCAGAGGACCCAAGAGGACTTGGGTGATAATATCAATTTCAGTGGCATTGAAATTGATGGCAGGATTCAGAATCCTATCTGAGATTTACAAAATTTGGTTTACACTCCATGGTCGGAGCTTAACAAATGTTTGATGGATGAGTAAAGAAATCCCAGGATCCCTTTGAGGCTACCCATAGACACTGCAGCATCATTTCTAGAATCAAGGTCCCAGGGTCCCCAGTGTCCATCACTAGGACACTTAGTTATGGGGATTCCTGAGAGGAAAACAGAGGCCTTCCCCACTGTGGCTTCCTGCGTCACTCACATTACTGTCATTCGGTGGGTCAGCAGTACCCCACAGACTCAGGCAGAGGCTCCTGTTTCTATGTTCAGCTTCATTCCTGTTAAACTAAACCAGCCCATGCTTCTGCAGAGTGTTCCTCAAGACCAGTTTCTCCTGAAGAGCTTTCCCTGGACTGCCACCGTTAACAGTCTCTCTCTTCATCAACTGAGTGAGGACACAGACATGGCACAGTGTCCTGCTTACAGCTGTTGTTCTGCTGCTAAGTGGCTGTGTAAGCTTAGACACAACACTCCTGAGCCTTTCCTAGTTTGTCAAAGAAACTGGGTGATGAGCTAGAGCATCCTGATGTGACTAGGGGGCTTCCCTCAAAGGCTCTCTGAGCCTTGATTATTGACTTGGGTTAGAAGTTCACCCAAAGGAACTGAATTTTCAATAGCAGCAAGCACATTGTTACTGAACAAATGAAAAATAATTAAATAGCTGCATGCAACGAGAAAGTGTCATTTGAAACTTATAGTGTTCAGGTTGCTTAACCCCAGGATAGCTCCTAACTCTGGCTTTAGAATGTGGTGGTAGAAGATACTTCAGCTCTGGTTTTCTTTGACCAGTTTGGCAATGGGTAGGCAGATGGGCTAAGGCTGTTCTATTTTATCTACCTGTCCTATTCTTCCTTTGGAAATTTGTGTTTGTTTTTAGGGTGTTTTGGGTTTTTGTTTTTTTTTTTTAAGATTGGGTCTCACTCTGCCACCCAGGCTAGAGTACAGTATCACAACAATAGCTCACAGTAGCCTGAAACTCTTGAGCTCAAGTGATCCTCCCACTTCAGCCTCCTGAGTAGCTGGGATTATAGGAGTGAGCCATTGCACCCAGCCCTTTGGCATTTTAAAAATTATATAACCTTAACATTTTGTATAATTACAAAAGGTAAGGACCTTTTGTCATTACCATCTTTGAGCCCTCCAGAGCAAAGTACATTTTAAGGAGAGAATAGCTTGCGCATGTGTGTATCTATGATAGTGTCATTCCTTGGTGTTTATGAGAAAGAGTGAGAGAGTGTGTTTCTGGATGTGTAATTAAATAAATAACATGTGTTCTTTTATCTAACAGCTGAAGCAATGGAAGGCATTTGAAGAGGAAAACCAAACAATCAGACGCATGGCCAAATATTTCAGCACTCCCAACAAAAGCTTCCATACCCAGTATGGTGAGGAGGAGAACTGCCACCCGAGGGGAGAGAAAAGCTCCATGGAGAGGCTCCTCACAGAAGTAAGCTCTGCCCCTGCCTGGAAGATTCCCTGTAAAGGATCCAATCATGCATCGGTGGCCCCCAAGGCTCTTATTGCTGATGTTCTCTTTTCCTCTCATTCTCCCACTTCTCTTAACAGCAAGCAAAACCTCACCATTTCCACCGTGACACGCATCTACTTCATTCATTCAGTGGACAGATGTATAATGAGTCACTCCTATGTGCCAGGCATTGTGCCAGTGAACAATGAACAAAAGCATGGTTCCTACCCTCACAGAGCTCACAGTCTAGTGGAAGAAATAGAGATTCATTCATCAAGCAAACATGTAATTATACATTGTCATAAGAATTATGAAAGAAAAATCAGAGTGGTAAGACAGAATAATGTGTGGTAAGGGCAAGAAAACATAACTTAGACCAGTCAGAAAAGACTCATTGAGCTGAGGGCTGAAGGTTAAGTACAAATTAGCCAGGCAAAGAGTACAGGGAAAAGTATTCCAAGCTGCGGGAACAGCATTGTAAAGGCCCTGAAATGTGGTGGACACTAGCTTCCCTGTGATACATTTTCTCTCTTTTTTTTTTTTTTTTTTTTTTTTGAGATGAGGCCTCACTCTGTTTCCCAGGCTGGAGTGCACTGGTACCATCTTGGCTCACTGAAACCTCCACCTCCTAGGTTCAAGCAATTCTCCTGCCTCAGCCTCCCAAGTAGCTGGGACTACAGGCACCCACCACCATGCTCAGCTAACTTTTGTATTTTTAGTAGAGACGGGGTTTCACCATGTTACCCAGGTTAGTCTCAAACTCCTGACCTCAAGTGATCTACCTGCCCTGGCCTCCCAGGGTGCTGGGATCACAGGTGTGAGCCGCCGCGCCTGGCCTCATTTTCTCTTTTTACATAGAGTAGTGTCTTCATGTCCAAGATCTCCTGGGGTCCTTACTGTCTTTCCCAGGTACTGGCTACAGATCTCAATCAGCCCATCATCCCAGAAAGTCCAGGCATGTCTACAGATGGAGAAGGGGACTAAACAAGGGCTTCTGAATGTGATTGTAGCACCAAGGGAGAATGAGGCAGCTCCCCCGGGCTTCTTTCTTCTGTATTTGAGCCAGAGTTGGCCCCTCTCCCAGACTTGGGCAGTGTGATGCAGGCATGAAGAAAGCACGTGGAAAGGTTTGAAGGCTTCGTTGACTCAGGAAGAAGGCACAGGGCCCAGGGGAGTTAGTCAGTATTTTGACACTAACTGAATTACATTCCATATTTTTTCAGTTTAGAACCTATCTCAGGAGGTGTTATTTGGAAAACTGGGCTTTTTTTTTAGGACTGCTGCCTAGGTATTAATAGTCCCTGATGAGAGGATAGTGTGGTGGGGACCTAGAAAACACAACAGATGAAGGGACTCAGCACACCCAGGCACCCACCGTTCATGCCCCTCTATGGTTCTGGACCATTTTTGTCCATCAGAGTAACACCTCTCCATTTCTTTACTATTAAGTATTTCAAAGCCAGATTTCTTTCCACCTGGCAAGGGAGTAATATTGCCTTTGATACTCTGTGAAGTCTTCAAATAAGCATTTTTTTTTCCTGGCTACACAGAAGGCCAGAAACTTGGCTAGAACAGCCAGGATAGTTTTCATTCACAGTCAGCTGATGCTGGAACAGCCAAGTGGACTGACTCTTTAGCCTTATGGTAATTTGCAACGTGCTGTTTGTACTTCTGCCATGCTACCCTGTTTCCCACGCAGGGACTCAATCTGCTATATCCAAAAAGATGCTTTGAGTCTGCAGAGGAAGCCCTTCAATGGGCACAGGTGCACAAGTGGTAAGAAGCTGGCCTCCCCAGTGCACGCTACACCTGGAATCTCTTTCCCAGAACAGGCCAGAGAACAAGCGGCCAGTCCTAGGGCCCGGTGGCAGGTGTCAGGAGGTTCCAGCATCTGCATCCCCAGCTCCAGCATTGCCCGTTAGAGAAACATGAGTATCTCTCCTGGCTCAACATATGTACAGACCTTGACTCTGGCCCATGGTGTGCAGTGCCTTCCTGTGCAGGCCCCACTCCCCCACTCAGGCCTTCCTCTTACTTTCCCGTGATCTGGGCAGCCCCATCTTCTCACACTTTTCCCTCTTGCCTCTATAGCCAGGGGTCCCCCCAGAAGCTGTTTCGGACAGCATCTATCACATCTATCACTGACTTCCCTGTCTAAGAGAAGGCCAGCAGACAGAACCTTCCACAAGGCTGAAGTGCTTTCCTCATACACTCTGCAGCCAAGTAAACAAACCTATTACTTTTGTTACCTGAACCATAGAAACAAGAGGCTAATTCCATGTCTCCTTATGGCCTGCCCCCTGTGAAACATGCAGGTGGATGTTTTGCTTCCCTCAATATGCCAAAAATAATAATTAATAAGCTCATTGAAGTGCAGCTGCCGTGGTAGGTCAGATTTCAGTCTCATAATGGCAGTGCCTCACACCACACCTCTAATTAGTATGCAGCCATGGTAAAAACAGAGTCCCACTTCTTTTTCTGGAAGAAGGAAATTTTCTGTTTAGGTTGATGTTTCTAAATCTGTCACCAGCCAGCTTCTTCCCAACTCCATGTTTATAGTATCTTTCTATACTCAAAGGAGTTTATAGATAAGGCACAAAAAGACAGCACTCAGATTTCACCCACGGGAGTAGTTGCCATCTGCCGATGGGTCCTTCCTAACTCTGTGAGGCTATAGAGGCCTCCAGAAGCCCACATGAGAATGTGCACGATGGGCTTCAGGAGGAGAGGCTGGTGGAGGAGGGAGTTGAGGTCCCCCCATGAGATCCTCAGAGAGATGCCTGGCACAGCCCAGGATCACAAACACCTGAGTGTTTCCCTATTGCTCATCCATTCTGCCCCTGACAAGTCCTTGAGTCATCTGCACTCACCCAGCAACACCCAGACCTCACCACTCTGCGGGCAGAGGGAAGGGAGGGAGGACAGGCACACATGTGCTCAGCTGAAAGTCTCTTCTACCTTACTCACCAGTCCCTCACTGGCCCTGGACTCTCTTCTGATGGTAAAAGAAGTATACTCAACCAGGGTGAAACTAGCAATACCAACTATCAGAAAAATCACCTTCCCAATTCTACAAGGGGAGCAGTGCATCTGCTTGGAGAGTTGCTAGTCAGAATATTGGACTATTTTGCTTAAGCTACTGCTCCCTTAAAGGATCATTTCTAGGCAACTCTCCCATGTAAACCTGAGATGAAACCACAGGTTCACTCTATAACTAGTAGTCCTAGTTAGCTGTTATGGACGGTATAACTAGGCAATTTGTATTGGTTATCCTAACACAGGGAACATCCTTTTGTTTCTAGGGCATAATAAATGGAGGTCCAAATGCTCATGCCCAGCTCCTAAAGATGATAGTAACAAAGAGGTAGCATTTTGGTGTTCAGACAAGCACTTTCTAGAACATTTGCTTACATTATTGCCTTCCCAGAACCCTCGACCCCATGTCATCTGCCCCAAGTCCAGACGTTCCCTGTGAATATCTCCTCCCTGCTCTGCCTTTGAGGATCAGAAGTTTCCAGAGATGGACACACAGTCTGAACTAGAGAATCAGCTGCTGCACCACAGAAAGATGTCTGGGCTGCAGTCGTTCCCTGCAACCCACTGCCAACACTCCTACTCCTACTTCATGCCCCACAATCTCGCAGTTAGGACAGGCACACCTCTGCAGCTCTCACCTGCCAGCCCTCTCCGGCACAACTTGTTTACCAGCTAACATCCAGCGAGTAGGCAGGTCAGTAGCAGAACTGCCCCAGGCTCCTTCGTCTCCTGGGCTCCATTCTAGGGCTGCTGAATCAAGCTAGCAGGGGCTTAAGCCCAACAGTCCTTTCATTTCTTTGTGCTTCTTCAATAGTTCTGATGCTTGCACTCCTTTAGGTGAGTGGTTCCCAACATTTTTGGCACCAGGGACCACTTCCGTGGAAGACAGTTTTTCCACAGATAGTGGTGGGGGGATGGTTTCGGGATGAAACTGTTCCACCTCAGATCATCAGACATTAGCTTCTCATAAGGAGTGTGCAGCCTAGACCCCTCACATGTGCAGTTCACAATAGGGTTTGCGCTTCTGTGAGAATCTAATGTCTCAGCTGATCTGATGGAAGCTCAGGTGGTAATGCTTCCTCACCCACCGCTCACCTCCTGCTGTGCGGCCTGGTTCCTAACAGTCCATGGACTAGTACTGGTCCGTGGCCCAGGAGTTGGGGACCCCTGCTTTAGGTGAAATCAACAGCTGATATTGCCACATGGTAGCTTTGGCCACTCACTCCCAGAGGTCCAGCCTAGGGAGGTGATAACACCAACCTGAGATTCTCTTTGGCCCCTCTCAGCTCCAATCTTATTTGATTGTCACAGAAATCTCCACCCTTCTCCTTGTTCTTCCCATTTTCTAGGCTGTTTAGTAAGAGGCAAAATACTTGTTCTCCTACTTCTTCATCCCCTGGAGATATGCTTCACATTTATCTAAATTTTTGCAAAAGTGTGATAAACTCCAAGTGGGACCATTCCAAACATTATTCAGCTCATACCTGCGGAGTGGCCTGACCCTCTCAGTTCTGGGAAAGGTGAGAGGGCGCTGCAGTGGCCAGCAGGCACTCAGACTGGGCCTCCTTGCTCTTCATAAGCAATGCCGCACAGTGTGGGGATGTAAGGAGAAGACCAAGATAATGACAATAAATCATGGTTGGCCTTTATTGAGCACCGTTTATGTCAGTTATTGTGCTAGCACTTTACATGCATCAACTCATTTCACTGGAGGGAGGCACCTCCTTAGAACCTGAGGTCACCAGCCAATACACTGGAAGAACTGAGATTTCAGCCAAGGTTCTTTGAAAGCCACACCTTCTCCACCATGGTGGGCACTATGGAACCCTCGGCGGCATCTTTTGTTGATGGTTTTGCTTTTATTTTACAGAAAAATGCTGTGATTGAAAGCCTGCAGGAACAAGTAAACAACGCCAAAGAGAAGATTGTGAGGCTGATGTCAGCTGAGTGCACCTATGACCTCCCAGAGGGGGCTGCCCCACCTGCCTCTTCCCCGAACAAGGACGTCCAGGCGGTAGCCTCGGTCCACACCCTGGCAGCTGCTCAGGGGCCTTCGGGTCACCTCTCTGACTTTCAGAATGATCCTGGCATGGCTGCCCGGGATTCCCAGTGCACTTCAGGGCCCTCCTCATATGCACAAAGCCTTGAGGGGCCTGGGAAGGACTCCAGCTTCTCCCCAGGGAAGGAGGAGAAGATATCTGACTCAAAAGACTTTTCTGATCATTTAGACTCAGGTTGTAGCCAGAAGCCATGGACTGAGCAAAGCCTGGGTCCAGAAAGAGGAGACCAAGTCCCCATGAACCCCAGCCAGAGTCTCCTACCAGAAAGAGGCGGCTCAGATCCCCAGAGACAGAGGCATCTGGAGAACTCAGAGGAGCCCCCAGAGCGGCGGTCACGGGTTAGTTCAGTAATCAGGGAGAAACTTCAGGAGGTCTTACAAGATCTGGGCCTGGGCCCTGAGGCTTCCCTCTCCACCGCCCCCTCTTGTCATCAGCAAACCTGGAAGAACAGTGCTGCCTTCAGCCCCCAAAAGATGCCCCTCTCCAAGGAGCTCGGCTTTAGCCCTTACATGGTGAGGAGAAGGCGGGCAGCTCAGCGGGCCCGCTCACACTTTCCTGGCTCTGCACCCTCATCTGTGGGGCATCGGGCAAACAGGACTGTTCCTGGGGCACACAGCAGGCTACATGTGCAGAATGGGGACAGCCCCAGCCTGGCCCCACAAACTACTGATTCCAGAGTACGAAGACCTTCTTCCAGGAAGCCTTCACTACCTTCAGATCCTCAAGACAGACCAGGTACCCTGGAGGGCAGCAAACAAAGCCAGACAGAGCCCGAGGGGGCTAGAGGGAGCAAAGCAGCCTTTCTTCGCCAGCCTTCTGGTTCTGGCCGGGCCCCAAGTCCTGCTGCCCCATGCCTCTCCAAAGCCTCACCTGACTTGCCTGAACAGTGGCAGCTGTGGCCCCCAGTGCCCTCAGGCTGTGCCTCCCTGTCTTCTCAACACAGCTATTTTGATACTGAGTCCAGCAGCTCAGATGAGTTCTTCTGCCGCTGCCACCGGCCCTACTGTGAAATCTGCTTCCAGAGCTCTTCTGACTCTAGTGACAGTGGCACATCAGACACTGACCCTGAGCCTACTGGGGGGCTGGCTTCCTGGGAAAAGCTGTGGGCCCGCTCCAAGCCTATTGTGAACTTCAAAGATGACTTGAAACCCACGCTGGTGTGAAAAGCAACAGAGCTGGTCTAGACACAGAGGTCAGTCCAAGAGAAGCTGTACCAAGGCCCACAGGAGAAGAGCCAATTTCTGGTCTTTGGGGAACAGATTAGTGCCCTGCATTTGACCAGCCCATACCATGTTTCAGCTAGGCTCACTGTGTTACTTTGAGTACTTCTTGATCTATAAAAAGAGAGGCATTGCCTGTCCTGTTACTACCTCGCAGCCTTACTATAAAAGACTCCAGTTGAGTGACTATGAAAGACACTGACTCCTTGGATAAAAGGTGCTGAATGAACACATAGGATTTTCTGTCCAGGTCAGCCTACATTCTGTAAAACTCTTAATATATTCAGATGGATGGCTGAATGGACAGACAGATGGAGAGATGCATGGGAAATTTCTGTAGAACTTGAGGTGTGGACTGTGACCCATCAAACTGGCCTTTTGGTGGACAGACCTACCAGGAAGATAAGTCTCCTACATCCTTGGGCCTCCCACTCCTGGAAGGCAGTGGTTTTATTTCTGCTGAATGTTGTGAACAGCACCTCCCTAGATTCCAGCTTCTGGCCAGACCCAGCTCAGAGCCACCCCTACACCACTATTTCTTGATGGTGTCTTTCCACCATTATGGCACTTTACCCTCCTCTCTGAGACAGATCTCCATGCGCCCGCAGGCTTCCCAGATCTCTCCCCTGGGATCGGATGTACCTGAGGTCCTGACTGTCCCCACTGTCCCCTTGTCCTGTGGCTCATCCTCGATTCACCCACTGATGCAGTTTTGTACTGCGGGGAGGCACACACCAGCAATTTCTGTTGGGGTATGGGAGAACCTGTTGGTCAAGAGTGCTTTTGGTTCCATTGGGGTTACATGACTACCAACAGACACATAAACCTGGAAGCCAAATGGAGAAATAAAAAGGAAGACACGAGGGACACGAAAACAGGAAAGAAAACAGGATTTGAATATTTCACTTGAGTCCAGCATAGTACTTGGCAATATCATATTTTTGTGATTCCTTTTGATAACCCTGTGAAGTAGACACTTTCATTTTTACAGACAAGGATTATGAGGCTTAGAGAAATGAGGTAGTTTCCCGCAACATCACACTGCTGGACAGAGATGTACACACAGCTCCTGGGACTCAAGTAGGTGGGTTTTCCCAGGGACACATGGCTTCATGTGTTCTTCTGGGAATGGCAGGTGACGCTTGGCAGACGAGACAACAAAGCAAGGCTCATGTAAGAAAGCTGGGATGTGCTCCCCTATAGTCCAGAATAATAGACCTGGGTCCTCACCTCAGGAAACGGGCCTCCACTTCCTCACTGCCAAAGGCCACACTGGCACCTCCCAAGGGAGCTGGGGAGCTGGTGAAGGATGAGTGCGAGGAACTCAGCCACCACCAGAGCCACAGGGAGAGCACACCTGGGTCCACTGTGCTTATTGCTGAGCTGGCTGTCATGTCCAGGCTGTCCCCTGCCCCGAGTCCTGTGTATACATCTGTGGGTGTGCACATGTTTGCATGAAGGAATTCAGGCCTTATTAAATATTCTCAGAGGGGGGCATTTGGCTCTAAATGTATCATCAATTTATCATGGAATCTTGGGGGCTGCTGACACCCCTGGACTCTCCAGGCACTGAACCATGAGGCCCTCCTGGAAGCACAGCTTCTTCTATCATCTACTTTTAAACAGGAATTTCCTAATTTATTCTGTGCATGGGTTTGCAGTTTCTTGTGCTGTGTGTGTGCTGTCCAAGTGGTACCATAATAAAAGAGAAATGACTCCCGAGAGGAGTCTTTTCAGAAACTGTAATCTGGGGCTGGCCAGGAGGGGCCCGGAGAAGGCTGACCCACCCAAAGAAGGGGAACCAGAGAAGCCATCAGAGCTGCTGCCGGGCTACCCTGGGTCCCAGTGTACCTTCTACCAAAGTTCCATTTGAACAGATTCTTCTGTGTTCTCCCTAAGAAGCCTCTTATCCCAGAAACACTCCCTCAATGGACATAGGAAACCCTGGAGACCCTGGACTCTTCCTGCCCCTGGGGGTCCTGTGGCTGGGCTCCCCCTCCTGCAGCTCCCTTCCTCCCAGCATGCCACCACTAGCAGCCCACCATTCATTCATGTGGACTCTAAATCTGGCAATCCTTCTAGCCTTCTCACTCTGTCTGCTTCTAGAACCTTAGTCCCACCATCCCCGCCCTTCTACATCTCCATCCTTCTGTTTAGAATTTTTTTTCCCACTTTGTGCCCTTGTGAATTATTCATCCTTCAAGGCTCAGGTGGAGCATACATTCTTTCTTCAACCTTTCCCAGCCATCCCCAAAGAAAGCTGATTGATTCCCTAGTTAAATAAGGAAGGATGGGCTGGAAGCAGTGGCTCACGTCTGTAATCCCAGCACTTCGGGAGGCCGAGGCGGCCGGATGACGAGGTCAGGATTTCAAGACCAGCCTGGCCAACATGGTGAAACCCCGTCTCTACTAAAAATACAAAAATTAGCCGGGCGTGGGTGGCACATGCCTGTAATCCCAGCTACTCAGGAGCCTGAGGCAGGAAAATTGCTTGAACCGGGAGACAGAGGTTGTACTAAGCCTAGATGGTGCCACTGCACTCAAGCCTGGGTGACAGAGCAAGACTCCGTTTCGAGAAGAAAGAAAGAAGAAAGAGAAAAAAGAGAAGGAAGGCTGTCTTAGGGTCTGTATTTTGGACTCAACTATATAGAGGCTTCTGTTATCCATTTGACCTAGAATGACTTTGTAACGCTTGCCAGACCTGATTGAAATTTATCATTTTGTTCAAAAGCAATGTGCAAACACCATAACTGTGCTCAACAAAATGTTGCCACCAAATGTATCATTTACTCTGTGCATCACCCCTACCCTTCCCCACCTCCTTTCCTAAATTTTTACCTAAGATCAGCTAATCCAGTGATGAAATCCTTAAAGGGCTGAATGTGCCATGACTTTTGGCATGCTCTTGGTTGTTCTGCTCTTGAAGAAAGGGCAGTAAATTGTGCAAAGGAATCCTGGAGAAGTAAACATTGCCTCTGCTGCTGTCATCTGAGCTATACATGTCTCTGTTGGTCCTAAGGCATAGCATGGAGCCAGGCCTGATTCTAACCCCAGCATATGTCCTCTGCTGTTGAAAATCTTGGAATTTCAACATTTGGATTCCATCCTGATCCCAATGTCTTTCCCTGTCCTGGTCTGCCACAAACCCTCTTTCCTTAAAGGTTCAACTTGGCCTTCCTAGAGTTCATAGAGGAGAAAAAAAGCATCAGAGGCAGGAGGCCTGTTTTTAAAGAATGATATCACTTTGAAAGAGGAAAAGAGAAAAGTCAATGCAAGTTCTATAAAATCTCTTCTGTATCTGTGTTTATCGTATTATCTTTACATGTGTCTCCTCCACAGATTCCAAGCTCCTGAAAGCATTGAGCATGTCTTCTCCATCGTTTTTCTCCTCTAGAGTAGCCATTACAGATCTTTGCACAAAGTATACACCCAACAAATGCTAGATGGGTGGATTTCTGGGTAGATAAATGGGTGAAACAAAGGAAGGCAAAGTTTCTGTTTTGGGGCCAGAGCGGAGGAGCAGGAGGAAAAACACGCATCTGGTTCCACTGCCTTCCGGTGAGTTAACAGCATGAAACTACATCACCTGCAGACCCAGGAGTCACTGAATTCTGAAAATGACAGTACTTTAAGTTTGTTGGGGGGTTGGGGAACAGGGCAATGAAGTTTATGGAAGAGAAGCGCAAAGTTCTTGATAAAGTTCTTGTCTTAAAGACGTTTTCTTTGCAGGCTTGTTAATGAGTAACAAGCAGTATTAGCAGAAGAAAGACCTGTTTGTCTCTATCACCAACAGCTTCCTGAGTCCCCTTTCTCAGAACTCCAAACAAAACAGTTTCTCTATTCCCTCCGGCCACTGCACTTTTCCCAGTAACACAATCTGGGCTCTGTTAAGGAAGGGTTTGTTTGTTTATTTATTTATTTATTTATTTATTTTTATTTTTTGAGATGGAGTCTCATTCTGTTGCCTTGGCTGGAGTGCAGTGGCGTGGTCTCAGCTCACTGCAACCTGCACCTTCTGGGTTCAAGCAATTCTCCTGCCTCAGCCTCCCAAGTAGCTGGGATTACAGGCACCTGCCACTACACCTGGCTGATTTTTGTATTTTTAATAGAGACGCGGTTTCACCATGTTGGCCACACTGGTCTTGAACTCATGACATCGTGATCTGCCTGCCTCGGCCTCCCAAGAGGGAGGGTTTAATGCAGACAGTGGTGTTTAGGAGGCTGAAAGCAGGAGAGAGCTTATCACTTTGCCCTCAGAGTTTGCTTTCCCTATCCCTGGCACCCACTCTGATGTCTTGCTCCTTGAAACATTCTTGACCTTAGCATTCCCCAATCAAACCACATTTGAATAAGAGAACATCTTGAGATGTTTTGTTCACCACTTAAGTCACAAGAAGACAGGAAATGCCAATGTCACAAATCAAAACCTGTTGTGAACTTGAAAAGGTCTGTGTCAAGGTTTCCCAAGAAACATTAGGCTCAGAGAATAAGTGCCTGGGAGACACCCTGGAAAGGTCTGTGGGTGACTAAGAAGAAAGCAAAAGGCTAGGAGAAAAAAAGGGAAGATGGATAAGAAGTTCAGGCACGGTCCCATGGCTCACGCCTGTAATCCCAATGCCTTGGAAGGACAAGGCAGGAGGATTGCTTGAGCCCAGGAGTCCAAGACGAGCCTGGGTAACAGAGTGAGAACCTGTCTCTACAAAAAATAAAAAATCAGCTGTGTGTGGTGGCTCATGCCTGTGGTCCCAGCTACTCGGGAGGCTGAGGCAGGAGGATCTCTTGAGCCTGGGAGGTTGAGACTGCAGTGAGTTATGATTGTGACACCGCAATCCAGCCTGGGTGACCCAGTGAAACTTCAACTCAACAAGAAAGAGGAAGAGAAAGAGGAAGAGGAAGAAGAAGAGAAGAGGAAGAAGAAGAAGAGAAGAGAAGAGGAAGAAGAAGAAGTCCAAACAACAGAGAGATGAGAAGAGAGATGTGGTGAAGGAGCAAGCCAATCAAAGAACAAAAGGCATCCTATGTGGACAGTTTGTGGCAATTGCCTCTCACATAAATAAATGTACTGACGCCAGTTCTAAGTTGAGAGGTGAGGCTTGCTTCTGCGAAGAATGGCAGAGATATCCTTGCAGAGTCCTTTCTTTAGGGCATGTGTGACTGTTCATTTCTCCACTTTTCCCGTTAAGACTGTGAGCTCTTTGAGCTTAGAACTTGTTATAATTATCTTGGAATCCAGTACCTAGCACTGTGCCTGGCACATGGTCAATGCCCAGCAAATGCTTGTCAAAAGAAAAATCAATCAAGGAAGGAAGAATGACCTCACCAGAACTGTCTTAAGGGGCACCCCAGGGAAGCACAGCTCACAAAAGTTCAAGTGGGAAGCCAGGCTTAGGTATCTCTTCAACTTATGTGATGGATGGCAGTGTTGCTGCTTCACCTAAATTTAAATCCCCCGTGATAACATCTTGAACCCTTTGTGGAAAGAAGGCATTTTAGATGTGCTCTCTTCATTAATTTTTGTACAATAATTTTCTATCCCCACTGCGATGCCTGGGCTTCAAGTCACCTGCATGACCATGTTGCTTTCAGCAAGTTCAGAACCTCTTTATGGCTCAAAGGCTCCCAACTGCCACCTGGGGTAACAACACCTACCTCATGAGGTTATGAGGGCTAAATGAATTAATATTTGTAAAATGGTTTGAACTGTGCCTGGCACGCAGCAAGTTTCATATGTTTGTTGAATAAAAATAAGTAGATAAAAAGTCTTACAAAGGAAAACACAGATTTATATGCAGAAATCCTCTTTATGTTTTCTTGTGTTACACAAAAATTCCTCATCTTGGTCTTCAATTTGTTCCTGAGGGAAGAGATCTGGAAAAGCAAGGATAGCCTTTTGGCTCAGCCCACTTTTGGGGAAATAGAATTTTCTGCCTGAACCCATCTGAGACAGGTGCATTTACTATAGGGAGCATATCCATCTGCAGAACTCAAATATCAGGGTGAGGCCAGAAGGAAAGGTGTAGTTGGAAAGCCAGGAAATTCGATTTTTTTTTTAAGATGGAGCCAAGAGACACTAATTTCCTTAGTAGAAATATTATGCACTTTGGCTGGGTGCAGTGGCTCATGCCTGTTATCCCAGCAATGTGAGAGTCCGAAGAGGGTGCATCACCTCAGGTCAGGAGTTTGAGACCAGCCTGGCCAATATGGTGAAACCCCGTCTCTACTAAAAATACAAAAATTAGCCAGGCGTGGTGGCTTGTGCCTGTAATCCCAGCTACTCAGGAGGCTGAGGCAGAAGAATCACTTGAACCCAGGAGGTGGAGTTCGCAGAGAGCTGAGATCGCACCACTGCACTCCAGCCTAGGTGACAGAGCAAGACTCTGTCTCAAAAAAACAAAAACAGAAAAATATTATGCACTTTGTAATAGAAGAAAATATATGTAAGATAATCTGCTATGCACCACTTAATACTCA
The DNA here is from genome assembly GCF_000001405.40 of Homo sapiens. Classification (NCBI taxonomy): domain Eukaryota; kingdom Metazoa; phylum Chordata; class Mammalia; order Primates; family Hominidae; genus Homo; species Homo sapiens. The sequence goes on along the minus strand of NC_000003.12, from coordinate 120,160,503 downwards.
TCTTATTTAATATTTATAACCACCTAGCAAAGTAGTTATTGACTCTGTTTCACAGATGAGGAAACTTTAACTGGGAGAGGTTAGGTCACTTGCCAAAAATCACACAACTGGTTAGAGGCAGAGACTGAGTTTGCACTGAAATTTGACTTCATTCCAAAGCCTTTTGTGGACTCCCTAAAGCTGGTTACAGAGCATGTGCTACAGGCATGCTACCAGAAGACAGAAGGAATTTCAACCCGGCAGGGCAGGGACCCAGCCTGAGGTTTTCTTAGGACACCAAGGTTTCCTTAGGAAAAGCAAGCTGGTCTGGTTCTGTAAGCATATTGCAAAACTCTCCATTGCTCAGTCATTGCATCAGCATCCTGGAGGCTGGAAGGGAGCTCCCTAGAGCTACCTGGTCCTCCTCAGTTTCAGAAAGCTCAATGCAAAATACAGGTGATACTGACAGCAAGCAGTCTCCCTGTTTAAAAAGATCACGGTCAGTCCTGCAAACTGAAAAACTTTTCTCAAGGATTGTGCTTTGTAAGTGGCACAAAAAGATGATTCTGCGCAAGAGACCCAGAAGACCCTGTGGCAAATGGAAACAGTGCTACTCTCAGATCTTCTACTGAGCTGAGGGAAGAGCCACAATATCTCTTTTTTTTCTTTTTCTTTTTCTTTTTTATTTTTTATTTTGGAGATGGAGTCTCACTCTGTCACCTAGGCTGGAGTGCAGTGGTGCAATCTTGGCTCACTGCAACCTCCGCCTCTTAGGTTCAAGTGATTCTCCTGCCTCAGCCTCCTGAGTAGCTGGGATTACAGGTGCCCACCACCACGCCCGGCTAATTTTTGTATTTTTAGTAGAGATGGGGTTTCGCCATGTTGGCCAGACTGGTCTTGAACTCCTTAACTCAGGTGATCCACCCGCCTTGGCCTCCCAAAGTGCTGGGAATACAGGCGTGAGCCACTGAGCCCGGCCCACAATCCCTTTTCAATTCAAACCCACTTTGCTAGAAAAATCTTCATTCCTCCCTACTTCCTGCAGGATGAAATCTCACCTTGGTTTGGGGCTTGAAATCTCATTTTCCCCACTAGACTGTGAGCTCTTTGAGCCTAGAACTTGTTATAATTATCTTGGAATCCCCCACACCTAGCACTGTGCCTGGCACATGATCAGTGCCCAGCAAATGCTTGTCAAAGAAGAATTAATCAAGGGAGGAAGACTGGTCTCACCAGAACTGTCTTAAGGGGGACCCCAGTGAGGCACAGCTCACCCTCCCACTAAACTTACCTAAAACTCTCCTTGTTCCTGCCAGCTGGGTTTGCTGTCTGTATCTGGGGCATACCTAGGCCCAGATCAGGCTCAACACTTTTGTTCACACCAGCTGCTTTCTCCTTCATTCTAACTACCCCAACCTGAAGTAGCTTTTCCTCTTTCTGACCAGTTCCAGCTGTCCTCAGATTTATTAGGCAATAAATTGCATACTCCTGATATGCCCCCGACAGCAATTCTACTGTTGTCTTGGGCTGTTCTATAAATCCTTTATTGTTAAGGTTTCACATGCTCACATCTTACCTGTTCAAATAGATTATCAGATACTGGAGGGCAAGTGCCCTGTATAATCTATCACTGCATTTTCATGCTAGCCTCTGCAGTGCCTGACACCTAGGTGTCAACCAACATTTCTAGGTTTATTTTGAAGATGGGCCAACTCTCTATGCTCCCATCTTTCTGTTTTTACCAAGAGTGTCCTGAACAGACAAAAAGTAATTTGGTAGCAATTTTCTGTCAGAACATATTTGAAATTTAACATTTCTGAGAATCTCTGCTGTCTCATTGGAAATGAAGGAAACAAACATTTGCTGAGGGCCCACTATGTGCCAGGCACTGTGATAGGAGCTTACATATACAGCTAGAAGAAATTGAGCCACCAAGACCTGAGGAGGAAGGTTCCTGTCTCAGCCCATTTTCTGCTGCTATAACACAATACCACAGACTGGGAAATTTACAAAGAACAGAAATGTATTTCTCACAGTTCCAGAGGCTGGGAACTCCAAGATCAAGGCGCTGGCTGGTTCAGTTGCCTGGTGAGGGCTGCGTCCTCCAGAGAGGAGGAACATCGAGTCTTCACATGGTGGAAGGCAGAAGCGTCAATCAGACAAATGCTATATGAAGCCTCTTTTGTAAGGGTCTTAGTCCCATTCAGCTGGGAGAAGCCCTCATGACCTAATCACCTCTTAAAGGCCTAAATCACCTAAATTTAGGTGACCTAAATCACCTCTTAATACTATCACCTGAATTTTGGGGCGGTCACATTCAAACCATAACAATCCCTAAAACCCTGGACCCAATGTCTCCAATATCCTCAAAAAACAAAAATAACAAAACACCTTTCTGGATGGTTTCTATCCATGAACAGCTGCAGAAAGCTGATGGGGACCAAAAAAAGAGGGAAACCAGCTTAATTAATCCTGCTGCTGTTGCTGCTGCTCCCACCATAAAATATAGTAAAAATTGGAAGTGGGATACAGATCTGTCAACACATTCTTCTGATGTCACAAGTAGGCACTTTTACGCTCAGGACAAGGAGGCCATACCAATGGAATGCAGCCTGGTGCCTTATTTCCAGCAGTTACCCTCATCACTCCAGAACTGCGGGTGTCCCATGACTGGGCCAGGGTGGCCTGGGCCTTGCGGTCAGGAGCCACTGCTGTCAATCCACATCCTAAAAGGATTTCTTCTCTCTCAGGTCCTGCCTGCAGATCCCGGGATGTACCCGGTCAAGGTAGGGTTTTAACATTAGCCTTTTTTAAGTTCCCAAGATGATTTTAATGTGTGGCCAGAGTTTTTGCCTCTGAGCTTTGTTTCTGACCTCCTGGGATGCCAGAATGAAGATTCTGGGTTCTGTGCATCACCCTATCCCCAAGCCTTGATCAACCCTGGCCTGAGGCAACCCCACTCCTCCCTAAACATAGCCCCCAGGCATCAAGGAAGGCAATGGATTACTAACATTCTGCTCCACTATACTCCTTCCTGTTCCCCTCTTTTATCTGAAGTGCGGGCCCCTCCTCTCCGGGAGCCTTTTCCTGCACACCCTCAGTCCCCTGCACCTTCCCTCTTGGCAACAGTTATGATCCAGCACCTGGCCAGCACATACTCACCCACTACCTGGTGGTGGAATACAGCCACTCACATGGTCATGCTTTGTCTCCTCCCAGAAATCACAGACTCCTTGGGGACAAGAAACATTCCTTGTACCTCTTTATGCTTTAACAGTGACAAGCATGGAATGCTGTGCACACAATAGACATAAGAGGTGCTTAAATATTGACGGGAGGAAGAGAGGGAAGGAAACAAGGAAGGATAAATTCTTATTCAGCATCTCTCATGAAGCTTGTGGTGAAACAATGAACAAGTAAGTAGAAGATAAAATAGTTTCCAGAGAGTGGTATGTGTAATTTAAAAATTAATAAATCAGCATAAGGAGATGGGCAATGGATGAATAAATAAATGAATGTATGAACTTACCAAATTTCTGGTAAATGCAAACAACACAAATATTTAAGTTATGCCCACCCAGGATTTTTCCCACCAGATGTATAGAGCTAGAGGGAGCCACTAAATGTTTAAATTAGTTTGTGAGGGCTGTCATAACAAAATACCACAGACTGGGTGGTTTAAACAACAGAAATTTGCTGTCTTACAGTTCAGGAGGCTAGAATTCTGATATCAAACTGTCAGCAGTGTTGCTTCCTTCTAAGGATTGAGGGAAGTATTTGTTCCAGATCTCTCTTCTTGGCTTGTAGATGTCCATCTCTTCCCTGTCTTTTTTTTTTTTTTGAGATGGAGTCTCGCTCTGTCGCCCAGGCTGGAGTGCAGTGGTGCAATCTCAGCTCACTGCAAGCTCCACCTCCCGGGTTCATGCCATTCTCCTGCCTCAGCCTCCCAAGTAGCTGGGACTACAGGCACCCGCCACCACACCTGGCTAATTTTTTGTATTTTTAGTAGAGACGGGGTTTCACCATGTTAGCCAGGATGGTCTCGATCTCCTGACCTCGTGATCCACCTGCCTCAGCCTCCCAAAGTGCTGGGATTACAGGCATGAGCCACCGCGCCTGGCCTCTTCCCTGTCTTTTTACATTGTCTCCCCTCTATTTGTGTCTCTGTATTCAAATTTCCCCTTTTTTTTAAGGATACCAGTCATATTGGATTAGGGCTCTGATATGCCTTGGCTCTGTGTCCCCACTTAAATCTCATCCCCAATTGTAATCCCCATAATCCCCATGTGTTGAGAGAGGGACCTGGTGGGAGGTGATTGGATCATGGGGGTGGTTTCCCCCATGCTATTCTCATGATAGTGAGTGAGTTCTCATGAGATCGATGATTTTGTAAGTGTTTGACAGTTCCTCCTTCAGATTCGCTTTCTCTCTCACACACACACCTGCTGCCATGTAAGACATGCCTGCTTCCTCTTCCGCCATGACTGTAAGTTTCCTGAGGCCTCCCCAACCACGTAGAACTGTGAGTCAATTAAACCTCCTTTGTTTAAAAATTGCCTAGTCTCAGGTATTTCTTTATAGTAGTGTGAGACTGGACTAATACAGTAAATTGGTACCAGGAGTGGGGCACTGCTATAAAGATAACCTGAAAATGTAGAAGCAACTTTGGAACTGGGTAACAGGCAGAAGTTGGAACAGTTTGGAGGACTCAGAAGAAGGCAGAAAGATGTGGGGAAGTTTGGAACTTCCTAGAGATTTGTTGAATGACTTTGACCAAAATGCTGATAACGATGTGGACAATGAAGTCCAGGCTGAGGTGGTCTCAGATGGTTATGAGAAACTTCTTGGGAACTGGAGCAAATGTCACTCTTGCTATGCTTTAGCAAAGAGGCTGGCAGCATTTTGCCCCTGTGCTAGAGATCTGTGGAACTTTGAATTTAAGTGAGATGATCTGAAATTGGAACGTATGTTTAAAAGAGAACCAGAGCATGAAAGTTTGGAAATTTTGCAGCCTGATGATGAGATAGAAAAGAAAACCCATTTTCTGAGAAGTTCAAGCCAGCTGCAGAAATTTGCATATATAATGAGGAAGCAAATATTAATTACCAAGACAATGGGGAAAATGTCTCCAGGGCATGCCAGAGACCTCTGCACCAGCCCCTCTCATCACAGGCCCAGAGGCCTAGGAGGAAGAAATGGTTTTATGGGCCTGGCCCAGGGCCCTGCTGCTTTGTGGAGCCTTGGGACTTGGTGCCCTGCATCCCAGCCACTCCAGCTCCAGCTGTGGCTAAAAAAGGGCCAAGGTACAGCTCAGGCTGTGGCTTCAGAGGGTGCAAGCCTCAAGCCTTGGCTTCCACATAGTGTTGGGTCTGTGGGTGCACAGAAATCAAGAATTAAGGCTTGGGAACCTCTGCTTAGATTTCAGAGGATTTAGGGAAATGCCTGGATGTCCAGGCAGAAGTTTGCTGCAGGGGCAGAGCCCTCATGGAGAACCTCTGCTAGGGCAGTGCAAAAGAGAAATGTGGGGTTGGAGCTCCCACAGAGTCCCCACTGGGGCATTGCCTGGTGGAATGTGAGAAGAGGGACATGGTCCTCCAGATCCCAGAATGGGAGGTCTACCAACAGCTTGCATCATGTGCCTGGAAAAGCTACAGGCACTCAATACCAGCCATGAAAGCAGCCAGGCTGGGGGGCTGTACTCTGCAAAGCTAGCCCATGAAGGAGCTGCTCAAGACCATGGAAGCCCACTCCTTGCATTAGCAAATCCCAGATGTGAGACATGGTATTAAAGGGGATCATTTTGAAGCTTTAAGATTTAATGGCTGCCCCACTGGGTTTTGGACTTGCACGGGGCCTGTAGCCCCTTTGTTTTTAGCCCATTTCTCCCATTGGGGATGGGAGCATTTATTCAATGCCTGTACTCCCATTGTATCTAGGCAGTAACTAACTTGCTTTTGATTTTACAGGCTCATAGGCAGAAGGGACTTGCCTTGTCACAGATGAGACTTTGGACTTGGACTTTTGGGTTAATGCCAGAATGAGTTAAGACTTTGGGGGACTGTTGGGAAGACATGATTGGTTTTGAAATGTAAAAAGGACATGAGATTTGGGAGGGACCAGGGGCAGAATGATATGGTTTGGCTCTGTGTCCCCACCCAAACCTCATCTTGAGTTGTAATCCCCATAATCCCCATGTGTTGAGGTAGGGACCTGGTAGGAGGTGATTGGATCATGGGGCCTGTTTCCCCTGTGCCGTTCTTGTGATAGTGAGTGAGTTCTCAAGAGATCTGGTTGTTTTATAAGTGTTTGACAGTTTCTCCTTTAGATTCTCTCTCTCTCTCTCTCTGTCTCTCTCTCTTGCCTGCTGCCATGTAAGACATGCCTGTTTCCCCTTCTGCCATGAACTGCCTCAGCCCAAGTTTCCTGAGGGCTCCCCAGCCATGCAGAACTGTGAATCAATTAAACCTCCTTTGTTTATAAATTACCCAGTTTGGGGTATTGTTTATAGCAGTGTGAGAATGGACTAATACAGAACCACACTAATGACCTACCTTAACTTGATTATCTCTGTAAAGACCCTGTCTCCAAGTGAAGTCACGTTCTGAGGTACTGGGGATTAAGACATCAATATACTAATTTTTGGAGGGGCATAATTAAACCCATAACAGTATCCAAACAAAGTTTTCACCTTTCTATCACGATCCACAGATTATTCAGGGTTTGTCACTTAAAGATTCCTTTACTCAGTTCCTTGAGGGCAGGAACTCTGTTGTTGTTCACTCCCATGTTTTAAATAATAGTGACTGGCACATGGAAGATGCTTCATCCATGTCACATTGAATTCACTTTTGTCCAAGAAAACTCAGGGCAGAGGGTGAAGTCATTTAACCCAGGAAGCTAAGAAAGGTTCATAGCCTGCAGCAATTCCTGGAACTCTCTGAGTCAAAGGAAATTATGTTTCCATGACACAGAATCTGACTCTGGATTTCTTAATTAGGGGTATTTGCATGATGAGAGGAGACTTGTTTCTGAATAATCATTGCCCTCCTCCTCTCAAATTAATGGCCATTGCTTCTGACATCCGAATTATCTCTACAGCAACTACATGAGTCAGAGAGAGAAGGTTTGGCTCTCAGGAAGGAAATGAAAGGAAAGAGGGAAGCCTCTTAAGACGTACTGGAGAAAAGGTGACCTCACAGCTCAACCTCTCAGTTACCAAATGCAACAGAAACAACAAAATAGCTTTCAACTGAAGGTCTTCTCACCTCAGAATATGTTGCCAGTTCCCTTCTAGCAGCTCAGTAAAGGTACCCACAGTCCCACACCAGCTGGGCCCCCTGCCCTCAGTCCTTGGACCAACTGTGAGCAGCTCAGCACCCAACCACCTTGAGAGAAGCCTCCCTGGGTGTGAGAGCTATGGGCTGTCACCACCGTGCTGACATACATTATTTGAAACGCTGAGGTCCACCATGTGCTGTTATTGCCTCCTAAAGACTTCAGATACAATGTCTCAATCTAGCTATCCTGAATTCTCTAAAGGAGGTATTCAGAAACACCTGACCTGCTTCCCATGTCATCTTACATCACAAAAATGTTGAACAAAGATGTCAGCAAAGGCTTTATCAGAGTTGGCAGTATTCTTGAGATCTACCTGTTCAGTTAATTAGGAATGAGAAATTTGGCCAGGCACGGTGGCTCGTACCTGTAATTCCAGCACTTCGGAAGAGAGAGGCGGACGGATTGCTTGAGCTCAGAAATTCCAGAGCAGCCTGGGCAACATGGCAAAATCCTGTATCTACAAAAAATTAGCTGGGCATAGTGGTGCACGCCTGTAGTCCCAGCTACTCAGGAGGCTGAGGTGGGAGAATAACTTGAGCCCAGGAGGCGGAGGTTGCAGTGAGCAGAGATCGCACCACTGCACTCCAGCCTGGGTGACATAGTGAGACCCTGTCTCAAAAAACAAAAACAAACAAACAATGAGAAGTTAGCCAGGCATGCAGGCTCACATCTATAATCCCAGCTACTTGGAAGGCAGAGTTATGAGGATCACCTGAGGCCAGGAGTTTGAGACCATCCTGAGCAACATAACAAGACCTTGTCTCAAAAAAAAAAAACATGTTATATAGTTAAGCAGGAAAAGGTTCCCATGCTTTCTTTTCTACCAGCTGGCAGCTGGCATCAGGTGTCCATCAGATTGAGCACCGAGCAGCCTGTCCAGTCCTCCAGATTAGGCACCAACCGAAACCCTACTAATTATTTTTAAAAGATGACCCACAAATTGAGGCACATCAACCAGAATTCTAGATAATAAGAAAAATGAAGAGGACCTTTGTCTCACACTGCTGTAAAAAGGCTGCTGAAGAACCACAATGCAAATGAAAATGGTTAAGAGCAATTAAGGGCCTTTCATAGTGTCTCTGAGGGAAAGACAGAGAGATGGCCAAGACCAAATCCTTGAACTACAGCTTCCTAAGGGAGCGCCACAAGATGACTCTTGCAGCAAACGCACACTGCTTATGATGACAGGATTTGAGACCTTTGCTCCAGGAAGTTGGGCTGGACTATGTGAGAGCTGGGAGGATATTGTTTGCCCCCTTGTCCTAAGACTTAGATTCATGTTTCTCAAATGAGGAAAGTATTTTCCGGGATGTACAAGATTTTTCTGAGAAATTTGGGAAATTTGGATTTTATTTTAATGATAACAGAAAAATACGTCTTGGCTTGTTCTGAATCATCTGTATGACTGCCTTAGAACAAACTCCATGAAATTTCAGTGCCTGAGATTGTGTTTGAGAATGTTTTCCCAACAAATGAAACTCAAATGACGTCAAACCCTGCTGTATAAGTGACAATTTTGAAATGATTTTGAATGTAAGAAAGTGGTGGGAGAATTGATTCATCACATGGCAAGTGGTAAATGTGAAAGACTGTCTTTTTCAAAAATGAGCACAGCAGTATTCCTGGTCCTATATGCTCTTCCAGAATCTTGTCACTATCCCATCAAGAGATGACATCTATATTTCTTACCCTTCAACCTGGATGGGGCTTTGTGATTGCCTCAACAAATCACATGGTAGAAGTGATGCCTCATGACTCTTCAGGCTTGGTTTTTAAAAAGATAGGACAGCCGGGTGCTATGGCTTACGCCTGTAATCCCAGCACTTTGGGAGGCCAAGGTGGGCGGATCACAAGGTCAAGAGATCAAGACCACCTGGCCAACATGGTGAAACCCTGTCTCTGCTAAAACTATAAAAAGATTAGCCAGGCATGGTGGCGCACACCTGTAGTCCCAGCTACTCAGGAGGCTGAGGCAAGAGAATTGCTTGAACCCAGGAGGTGGAGGTTGCAGTGAGCCAAGATCGCGCCACTGCACTCCAGCCTGGTGACAGACTGAGACTCTGCCAAAAATAAAATAAAATAAAATAAAATAAAATAAAATAAAATAAAATAAAATAAAATAATAAAATAAAATAAAATAAAATAAAATAAAATAAAATAAAATAAAATAAAATATAGGGCTTCTGCCTGGCTCTCTCTAATAGAGAAGTGTTCTGGCTGGAAGACCCAGGTAAGGTCCCAGACAACAGCCAGTGTCAACTGCCAAGCATGTGAGAGAGCAAGCTTTTAGATCAGGGGTTGGCAGATTTTGAACTGAGGGCCAAATCTAGCCTGCTGCCTGTTTTTATAAGTAAAGTTTTATTGGACTACAGCTATGTCCATTTACTTGTCTATGGCTGCTCTTGCACTACAATGGCAGAATGTATTAACAACGGAGACTGCATGGCCCACAAAGCTGAAAATCATTTACTATATGGTCCTTTACAGAAAATGTTTATTGACCTCTGCATGAGGTGATTTCAGCTTCTAGTATTTGAGCCACCCCAGGTAAGGTCTAGTGGAGTAGAGATAAGCTATCCTTAGCAAGCTCTGCCTAAATCATAGACTTGAGAGACACATGTTCTTTTAAGCCATTCAGCTTTGGGGTGGCTTGTTTCATAGCAATCAAGATAGTTTTATAAGTACACTGAACTCAAGAGAACCTGGACATTGCTGGCAATTTCGTATTTAGATTCCATTACTTAAAGCTTATCTTTGTATATATCAACTTGCAACAGTTCATTAGCAGCAAGTATAGTAGGTAATCACAATAAAGGGTTTCTCTCTTCCCAATTCTAACAAGAATTAGAGTAGATGCCCCTTTAATTCATATTTCAACAATACCACAATATTACTTTTATCTCCAAGAAGAGATAATTTTACATTATTATCTAGTAATGCCTCATTAAAATTGGCCTCCAAGAATTGCTTACTGGCAATATTATGGCTAAGTATGTGGCCTGATTATCCTGCAGTATCAAACAAAGCTTTGATGTTACTAGTAACATTTTCTACAACATATGTGTGCAGTTAGTCTCTGCATTAAAATAATTGGAGCCAAAATGCAAACACAAATTAAATGTAGAAACCAGACCCAAAACTATTTCTATTATTAGATGCCTTTGGAAGTTTTGTTTTAGCAAAACATTATCTCTCACACTAAACTTAATAATACAAGATTTTGTGGATTTTTAGGTTTAGTTTGGTAATTTTATTTTATAATTGCCTAAGCTTAAGTGGAGCTATAAGCTTAGCATTTTATATCTACTTTTACACGTATGTGTACGTGTATGTAACATCAGAATACTCAGTACAGCATGTCTATAACATACAATTTTTTTCCTTTAAAAGAGGCCTGTATAAGACACAAAAGGACAAATATGATTCCATTTATTTAAGTTACCTAGAATTCAGAGAGATGGAAAGTAGAATAGCAGTTACCAGGGAGTCGGGGGAGAGTGGAATGGAGAGTTAGTGTTTAATGGGTATGGAATCTCAATATGGGATGATGGAAAAAGTTCTGGAAATGGATAGTGGTGATGACTGTACAACAATGTAAATCTACTTATTACCACTGAACTTTACACTTAAAAATGCTTCAAAAGGGCCAGGTGCAATGGCTCATGCCTGTAAGCCCAGCACTTTGAGAGGTAAAGTTGATAAGATCCTTGGGCCCAGGAATTTGAGACCATCCTGGGCAACATAGGGAAACCCTGTCTCTACAAAAATAAAAAATTAGCTGACTGTGGTCCCAGCTACTCAGGAGGCTGAGGCAGGAGGATCACCTGAGCCCAGGAGGTGGAGGCAGCAATGAGCTATGATTGTATCACTGCACTCCAACCTGTGTGACAGAGCGAGACCTTGTTTCAAAAAAAAAAAAAAAAAAGCTTAAAATGCTAAATTTTATGACATGTGTATTTTACCACAATTTTTTTAAAAAGAGGATTGTATATAATCCGAATATGAGAAATCCCAGAATAGGGCTAAGAGCAGCTGGCGGTTTTTCTAAAACTCTTTTCTTCGGGTCTAGCTTCTTAATCTGGACCTTTTGAGGTTTTAACACTCAGATGGTGAAAAGAGCCCCTTTGGAAAAGGGAACCAAATAATTAGTGCCTAGGGAAAAGCCATCCCTCATTTAGACTCAGAGCAGTGTCAGCCTGAGCCACCCACACCTAGACTTTTGGTAAGGGGTCCCTATACAGTCCCTTGCATGAGAGGGAGGAAGGGATTCCAAAGAGAAGCCAGGAGATTCTGAAAGGAGGGGTCCTCCACCTGGTAGCCCAAACACTGAACATCTCTTAGCAGCTCAGAAGCTTCAGCCTTCATATACCTTCATTGTGGTTTTGTTCCATCCCCCACGAGAACTCCTCCTTCTAGAAGAGGGGGATCTCTGAGCAACACTGGAGGATGGTACTGTGCCAACAGGAAGTGGGGAGGCACAGTGAAGGAAGTGGGGTACTCAGAAGGGAGATTTGGAGGTAGGCATTGGAAAAAAAACCACAGCACCTTTTTATTTCCATTTTACTGACAAAGAAACTGACCCCAGAGATCAGCTAACTTGCCTAAATTGTCACACAGAGCTAGGCATTGTGGCTCACACCTGTAATCCCAGTGCTTTGGGAAGCTGAAGCAGGAGGATCACTTGAGACCAGCAATTCAAGACTAGCCTGGGCAACATAGTGAAACTCTGTCTCTACAAAAAAAAAATTTTTTTTTTTAAATAGACAGGTGTGGTGGTGCACGCATGTGGTCCCAACTGCTCAAGAGCTGAGGCAGGAGGATCACTTGAGCCCAGGAGTTTGAGGCTTCTCTGAGCCGTGCACTCCAGCCTAAGTGACAAAGCCAGAGCCTGTCTCCTCTAAACTAAAAATTAAAATTAAATTGTCACACAGCTCATCAGAAGCCAAAATGAGAATGGTGTAGGTCTGATTGTAAAATCCTTGATTGCAGAAATCCCATTTTACCTGTGTTTTATTGATTGTGGCCTCCTTTGGATTCCGGCTCTCACCTGCTCTATAATGGCTCTGCTTTGCTACATGTCACCCTCCTTATCTGAAAACACCTTTTCACAGTCTATAAGGAGCCCTGGGGCTCTCTCTATGTAATGTAAGAATTAGGCAAATAATAAGGGGCCCTGGAGAATTGGAGCCCAGTATGAAAACTGAAACAGACTCTAACCAATGATCCCCTGTCAGGCACTGGCAGAAGACCATGCTCTGGCCCTCATGGTGCCAAAGGAGCTACCACACATCATCAAGGAAGCACTGATAGGGGATTCCTTTCTTCAAAATGTTTAATTCAACATGCTGGTGCATCTAGGAACAAAGCCACTCTGTGATAAAATTAGCCGTGCTAAACACTCTTGCTAGCAAAATAGCACCGCGGCCCTTTCTAGCCACACTATCTGAAAATAGCTCTGAAAATAATGTCACGAGCAACTTCTATTTGCTTCTTCCCAGGAGAAGGTAAACAAGTAAAATCAAAGGCAGCTGCTCCTGCAGGGCCTCTTCCTGTATTTGTTCCTTCTCTTAGGGACAGCCCATCCCCACCCTATTCCTGCTCTTCCTGTTCTCCTGGTCCTTCCACCAACACCTCTCCTCTCTCAAATTAGACATCAAGGCAACATCAGTCATTCACATTCATTTGAGTGACTCTTTACATTTTAATATGAATTAATCTCTTGCATAATACTGTCCATTTGACATTTTCCTAGTTGGACCAATCTTCTCCAGTAACCAAACTAAGGGCCTAGGAACTGGAAGAGGACAGAGGAGGTTGTATAGGCCATAACAATTTCTTACCTGAAGAGACTACAGACGCCAAGAATGGAGCTCACACTTGTGGGTTTGTGCCACTAGATGGCAATTATGCCCCTTTGCAGCTGGCGGTAGGCAACAGACCCACCCCTGCAGCACTGTGGTCTGACTTTGATCTCTTTCTGGTGCAAAGATCTTTGAGAAGCTCATAAACACCCCTTTCATTACAGCAATCATCTCTTTATCTACTTTTAACTTTACTAGAAATACTTATAAAATCACTCAAAGAAACATTAAAAAAGAGAAAAACTTCATACCACAGTAGACGCTCCATCTGCCCAATCATGTATCTAATATTCAGCAAGCGCCTTTGCTCCTCTTTCAGTCACCTTCCGTATGTCATATGTTCTGAGGAATCTTGGTCCAGGGGCTTCTATTTGGAGCTACTCTCTCTTCCTGGCCCTTTCCTGAGGAAAATGCTGGGTAGAAAACCCTTCCATGCCTCCTTCTACACCTGGAAAAGTCCTAGCTCCTGGCCTACTCTTCTGAGAAGAGTTTCCAGAACCCTTCCCAAACCTCATTCTCCACCATCTTGCTAGGTACATTCAATATAGATATTTGTCATAAGCCTGTTAGAGAGTTAGCACATCATTCCATTGTTATTTGCCCACGTGTGTCTTCCTCACTTGATAAGAAGACTCTGGAGAGCAGGAATAAGTTTTTATTTATTTTATATTTTTATTTTTACTTTTTCTTTCTTTCCCTTTTTTTTTTTTTTTTTTTTGAGTCAGGGTCTCACTCTATTGGCCAGGCTGGAGTGCAGTGGCGTGATCTTGGCTCACTGCAACCTCCACCTCCAGGGCTCAAGCTGTCCTCTCACCTCAGCCTCCTGAGTAGCTGGGACTACAGGCTCTCACCACCACACCCAGTTAGTTTTTTAATTATTTGTAGAGATGAGGGGGGGGGTCTCACTATGTTGCCTAGGCTGGTCTCGAACTCCTGGTCCCAAGCAATTCTCCCATCTTAGCCTCCCAAAGTGCTGGGAGTATAGTCATGAGCCACCTCGCCTGGCCTATTTATTTCTGACTATCACAGTGCCCTTCCCAGTGAGCTGCCAACTACTACCTGGACAGCCAGTAGAGACTGAAGAGAAAAGAACCCTGTTACCTTCTCTAAGAATCCCAGCTCTCCAGAACTAACCCTTGTTCAGTCACTGAGCAATTTCACACCCTCTCTTCTGCCCTATCTAGGGCCTAAAGGCTAAAACAGTCAGCATCACTGGGTGGGTGAGGGATGGGGTGATATGAGGTGAGCATTTGAGGTGTTATATGTGCCGCTGGGCAGAAATACCTACGTGTGTGGGTTCCTCTTGAGCACTAATCACTTCCCTTGTCTCTGCTTGCTTACAAGGGGATGTCAAAGGCCAAGTGGATAAAGACTATTACCATTTGTCTCAAAGCTACTTTCCGTTCCAGCTGCAGGAAAACTATATTCATTGAAGGGAATCTGAACTCTGGAGTGTTTTCCATCCACACTGCTGCCTTCACAGTATTGCCACTCAAAGTGTGATCCTCAGGCCAGCAGTATCAGCACCACCTGGGAACCTGTTAGAAATGCAGAATCTTAGGCCCCACCCAGATCTGCTGAATCAGAATTTACATTTTTTACAAAATCCCCAGATGACTCACAAGCACATTAAAGTGTCAGAAGACTGATCTAGAGCCTGCCCTGAAGCCATAGTATTTCATGCTGGGTGTGGTGTCTTTGGCAACTCTGGGATGTCCAGTCTGGTCCCAAAAGTCAGGATCTCAATGGGATTAGTGAAACTCTGCAGGCTTTAGGTGTTCAACAGAAAGCTTGTTATTTGGCAATGTTGGGGCATTAAACAGCCCTGATACTTCTTCAGGATATTGGGAGTTAACCATTAATTCTCAACTGATGAAAACCTGGAACCTAGACTAGAGTTTCTGTCAGGCTACCAGAAGTTTCCTTTATATTAACCAGGCCAGGAATCCCTGGAGCCACCTGGAATAGTGTATGGACCAAGTAAAGACAAAAGGAAGGATTTCTCATAGGCTCTGCAGAAGCACTTTACTCTGCGTGGGGTTTTCTTGTTTTTGTTTTTCTGAGACGGAGTGTCGCTCTGTCACCCAGGCTGGAGTGCAGTGACGCGATCTCTGCTCACTCAAGCTCCGCCTCCCAGGTTCACGCCATTCTCCTGCCTCAGCCTCCCGAATAGCTGGGACTATAGGTGCCTGCCACCACGCCCAGCTAATTTTTTGTATTTTTAGTAGAGACGGGGTTTCACCATGTTAGCCAGGATGGTCTCGATCTCCTGACCTTGTGATCCGCCCGCCTTGGCCTCCCAAAGTGCTGGGATTACAGGTGTGAGCCACCGCACCCAGCTGGGATTTTCTTAATGAATGCATCAGACAAATCTGAGACTCAGTAAGCCACTTGGGATGGGGGTGGGGGAGTCATGTGACCTGGGGGCCATCTACAACCTTGGCTTACCTAAATGCTATTCATGAAGTCTGAAGAGGCCCCAGAGGTTAAAGCATGGTAAACCCCAGAAATCCTTGACAGAGCAGTAGGCCCAGAAAGAATGGCCTGGGCCTGACCTTAGCCACAGTCTACTTTCTTTAGAGACAATGTCTCACTCTTTCACCCAGGCTGGAGTGCAGTGGCACAATCACGGCTCACTGCAGCCTTGAACTACTGGCCTCAAGTGATCCTCCCCATCTCAGCCTCCCAAGTAGCTGGGAGTACAGGCATGTGCCACCATACCCAGCTCATTTGCTTTCTTTACATGTTCTCAAGCCTTCCTGAGGTCAGATAAGTTACGGATCAGAGCAGAGCATGCTCTCAGGAATGATAGGAATGCAGTCCACCCGGGAAAGGAGCCCATGTCATTCATGAAACTGTACTGATTGCCCGGGTCTGCACCAAAGCTCTTCCCTGGTAGATGAACATCCACAGGGCAAGACGGCAGGTGGCAGCTGGGAGTTAGGCCACCACACAGCCAGCTTAATGTGAGGGAATCTTCTGAGGCCTAAAGGGCATTATGTGGTGTCCAGGATCCCCTAGTTGGTGCTTGAAAGTAAAGCCAGAACTGGGGTTCAAGAACTCAGAGTCAGAGGATGAGCGCTTGTGCTAATAGAGCCCCAAGAAACACAAAGTCAGGCAAAGAAATGAGGTGTGCTTTCATAGATTTTAATAAGGATTTGAAGGAGAAATGGAAGAAAATGAGATCCAAGGAGACGAGGGTGGAATTGAACTGGACTAAAGACCTATTCTGTCTACGAGCTGATCTTACCCTAAGCTGACCCTGATGTCTAGAGAGCTTGTATCATTTACTTTTCTCTTTTATCTTTCCTTGGTGCACAGGTAGTGACTACTTATCTCCCATCTCCCTGTTCATGTCCTGATGGAAACTTTTCTTCCTCTGTCTCCAAACACATTGGCTTTTCCTACCAGAAACTGAAGGGGGCCTCATGTGGAATCTGTCATTGACTCATGAAGTGTCCAGTCAGAAAGTGTATCCAAATGAATGTGAGGAATGTATGTTGGCCAGGTATGGTGGCTCATGCCTATACTCCCAGCCTTTTGGGAGGCTGAGACAGGAGGACTGCTTGAGGCCAGGAGTTTAAGACCAGCCTGACTGGCGCAGTGGCTCATGCCTGTAATCCCAACACCTTGGGAGGCCGAGGTGGGCAGATGACCTGAGGCCAGGAGCTCAAAACCAGCCTGGCCAACATGGTGAAACCCCATCTCTACTAAAAATACAAAAATTAGCTGGGCATGGTGGCAGGCGCCTGTAATCCCAGCTACTAGGGAGGCTGAGGCAGGGGAATTGCTTGAACCTGGGAGGCAGAGGTAGCAGTGAACTGAGATTGCACTATTGCACTCCAACCCGGTCAACAACAGCGAGACTTCCTCTCAAAAACAAACAAAAAGACCAGCCTGATCAACATAGCAAGACTCTGTCTCTACAAAAATAAAAATAAATAAAATTAGCCAGGTACAGTGGTGTGCACCTGTACACCAACTACTCAGGAGGCTGAGGCAGGAGGATTGCTTGAGTCCAGGAGTTTGAGGTTGTAGTGGGCTATGATCCACTGCACTCCAGGCTGGGTGACAGAGCAAGACCTTGTCTCAAAGAAAAGAAATTTTTTGGTTTCCCAATGCATATAAAAGTTTTATTTATACTATACCATAGTCTATTAAGTGTGCAATAACATTATGTCTAAAAAATTGGCCAGGCGTGGTGGCTCACACCTGTAATCCCAGCACTTTGGGAGGCCAAGGCGGGAGGATCACCTGAGGTCAGGAGTTTGAGACGAGCCTGACCAACATGGAGAAACCCCGTCTCTACTAAAAATACAAAATGAGCCAGGCGTGGTGGTGCATGCCTGTAATCCCAGCTACTCGGGAGGCTGAGGCAGAGAATCACTTGAACCTGGGAGGTAGAGGTTGCAGTGAGCCGAGATTGTGCCATTGCACTCTAGCCTGGGCAACAAGAGTGAAACTCCATCTCAAATATATATATATAATATTATATATTATATAATATATATAATATATAATATATATATAATATAAAATAATGTTTGTACCTTAATTTAAAAATATCTTATTGCTTAAAAAATCCTAATGCTCACCTGAGCCTTCAGCAGGTTGTAATTTTTTTTTGGCTGGTGAAGGATCTTGCCTCAGTGTTGATAGCTGCTGACTGATCAGGGTGGTGGTTGCTAAAGGTTGGGATGGCTGTGGCAATTTTTAAAAATAAGACAACCATGAAGTTTGATGCATCAGTTGACTCTGCCTTTCACAAAAGATCTCTCTGTAGCATGAGATGCTGTTTGATAACAGTTTACCCACAGAATATTTTTCAGAATTGGAGTCAATCCACTCAAAGCCTGCCACTGCTTTATGAACTGAGATTACGTAATAATTTCTTTGTTATCGTTTCAACTATGTTCACAGCATCTTCACCGGATTCCATTTCAAGCAACCACTTTCCTTGTCCATCCATAAGAAGCAATTCCTCACCCGTTCAAGTTTGGTCATGAGATGGTAACTTCTAATTCTAGTTCTAGTTCTCAGGCTCCAATTCTAATTCTAGTTCTCTTGCTATTTGCACTGCATCTGAAGTGACTTCCTTCACTGAAGTCTTGACCTCCTTTAACTCATTCATGAGGGTTGAAATCAGCTACTTCCGAACTCCTGTTCATGTTGATATTTTGACCTCCTCTCATGAGTCACAAATGTTCTTAATGGCATCTAGAATGGTGAATCCTTTCTATGAGGTTTTCAATTTACTTTTCCCAGATCCATCTGAGGAATCACTAGCTATGGCAGATATAGCCTTGTGAAATACATATTTTAAATAATAAGACCCCAAAATCAAAATTACTCTTTGAGCCATGGGCTGCAGAATAGATGCATGTTAGCAGCATGAAAACATTAATCTCCTTTTACATCTCCTCAGAGTTCTTGGGTGACCAGCTGCATTGTTGATGACCACTAATATATTCAAGGGAATGCTTTCGCTTGAGCATTTAATCCCACTGTCTCAACAGTGGAATTAAAATATTCAGTAAACCATTCTGTAAACTGATGTGCTGTCATCCAGGCTGTGTTGTTACATTTATAGAGCACAGGTACAGCAGATTTAGCATAATTCTTGAGGGTCCTAATGTGTCTGGAATTGGTGGGTTCTTGGTCTCACTGACTTCAAGAATGAAGCCACGGACCCTCGCGGGGAGTGTTACAGTTCTTAAAGATGGTGTGTCCGGAGTTTGTTCCTTCTGATGTTCAGACGTGTTCGGAGTTTCTTCCTTCTGGTGGGTTCGTGGTCTCGCTGGCTTCAGGAGTGAAGCTGCAGACCTTTGCAGTAAGTGTTACAGCTCTTAAGGTGGCTCCTCTGGAGTTGTTCATTCCTGCCGTGGGGAGTTGTTCATTCCGCCCAGTGGGTTCCTGGTCTCGCTGGCCTCAGGAGTGAAGCTGCAGACCTTCGCGGTGAGTGTTACAGCTCATAGAGGCAGTGCGGACCCAAAGAGTGAGCAGCAGCAAGATTTATTGCAAAGAGTGAAAGAACAAAGCTTCCACAGTGTGGAAAGGACCCGAGCGGGTTGCCACTGCCGGCTGGGGCAGCTTGCTTTTATTCCCTTATCTGGCCCCAGCCACATCCTGCTGATTGGTCCATTTTATAGAGAGCTGATTGGTCTGTTTTACAGAGAGCTGATTGGTCTGTTTTGACAGGTGAAGGATCTTGCCTCAATGTTGGTAGCTGCTGACCGATCAGGGTGGTGGTTGCTAAAGGTTGGGATGGCTGTGGCAATTTTTAAAAATGAGACAACCATGAAGTTTGATGCATCAATTGACTCTGCCTTTCACAAAAGATCTCTCTGTAGCATGAGATGCTGTTTGATAACAGTTTACCCACAGAACACGCATAAATGCGCATTTGCAATCCCTGAGTTAGACACAAAAGTTCTTCAAGTCCCCACTAGATTAGCTAGACACAGAGCACTGATTGGTGCATTTACAAAGCTTTAGCTAGACACAGGGTGCTGATTGGTGTGTTTACAAACCTTGAGCTAGACACAGAGTACTGATTGGTGTATTTACAATCCTTTAGCTAGACATAAAGGTTCTCCAAGTCCCCACTAGACTCAGGAGCCCAGCTGGCTTCACCTAGTAGATCCTGCACGGGGGCCGCAGGCGGAGCTGCCCGCCAGTCCCGCGCAGTGCGCCAGCACTCCTCAGCCCTTGGGCGGTCGATGGGACCGGGCGCCGCAGAGCAGGGGGCGGCGCTCGTAGGGGAGGCTTGGGCGGTGCAGGAGCACATGATGTAGGGGAAGGCTCGGGAATGGCGGGCTGCCGGTCCCGAGCCCTGCCCCGCGGGGAGGCAGCTGAGGCCTGGCGAGAATTCCAGCGCAGCGCCGGCGGGCCAGCACTGCTGGGGGACCCCGCGCACCCTCCGCAGCTGCTGGCCTGGGTGCTAAGCTCCTCACTGCCCGGGGCCTGCAGCGCCGGCCGGCGGCTCCAAGTGCGGGCCCGTGCAGCCCATGCCCACCCGGAACTCTCGCTGGCCTGAGAGCGCCCGCAGCCCGGGTTCCCGCCCGCGCCTCTACCTCCACACCTCCCCACAAGCAGAGGGAGCCGGCTGCGCCTCCACCAGTCCAGAGAGGGTCTCCCACAGTGCTGCGGCAGGCTGAAGGGCTCCCCAAGCGCAGCCAGAGTGGGCGCCAAGGCCGAGGAGGCACCCAGAGCGAGGGAGGGCTGTGAGGGCTCCAGAACGCTGTCACCTCTAAGATTTGGGGGATGGTAAGTAAGCATCGGCTTCCACTTAAAGTCACCAGCTGTATTAACCCATAACAAGAGAGTCAACCTGTCCTTTGAAGCTTTGAAGCCAGGTATTGACTTCTTTCTAGCTAAGAAGGTCCTAGATGGCATCTTCTTCCAATAGAAGGCTGTTTTGTCTATATTGAAAATCTGTTGTTTAGTGTAGCCATCTTTATCAATTATGTTAGCTAGATCTTCTGGATAACTTGTTGCAGCTTCTACATCAGCACATGTTGCTTCACTTCGTACTTTTATGTTACAGAGAGAGTTTCTCTCCTAAAACCTTATGCAACAGCCTCTGCCACCGTCAGACTTTTCTTCTGTAGCTTCCTCACTCTCTCAGCCTTCACAGAATTGAAGAGAGTTAGGGCCTTGTTCTGGATTAGGTTTTGGCTTAAGGGAATGTTATGGCTGGTTTGATCTTCTATCCAGACCATTCAAACTTTCACCATATCAGCAATAAGGCTGTTTCAATTTCTTATCATTAGTGTGTTGCTAGAGTTGGACTTTTAATTTCCTTCAAGAACTTTACCTTTGCATTCACAACTTGGATGTTTGGTGCAAGAGGCCTAGTTTCTGGCCTATCTCAGCTTTTGACATGTCTTCCTCACTAAACTTAATCATTTCTAGCTTTTGATTTAAAGTGAGAGATGCATGACTCTTTCTTTCACTTGAACACCTAGAGGCCATTGTAGGGTGATTAATTGACCCAATTTCTTTCTTTCTTTTTTTTTTTTCTTTATTTTTTTGACACAGAGCCTTGCTCTGTCACCCAGGCTGGAGTTCAGTGGCGTGATCTCGGCTGACTGCAACCTCCGCCTCTCCAGGTTTAAGCAAGTATCTGCCTCAGCCTCCGGAGTAGCTGGGATTACAGGGGCATGCCACCATGCTTGGCTAATTTTTTGTATTTTTAGTAGAGACGGGGTTTCACCATCTTGGCCAGGCTGGTCTTGAACTCCTGACCTCGTGATCCACCTGCCTCGGCCTCCCAAAGTGCTGGGATTACAGGCGTGAGCCACCGTGCCTGGCCAATTGACCCAATTTAAACATCATCATGTCTCAGAGAATAGAGAGGCCGGAGGAGAGGGAGAGAGATGGGGGACTGAGCAGTTGGTGGAACAGTCAGAGCACACACGACATTAACTAAGTTCACTATCTTGTATGAGTACAGTTCATGGTGCCCCAAAACAGTCACAATAGTAACATCAAAGGTCACTTATCATAGATCACCATGACAGATATAAAAATAAAGTTAGAAATATTATGAGAATTACCAAAATGTGACACAAGAAGGAAGTGAGTATATGCTATTGGAAAAAATGTGCCAATAGACTTGCTTGACCCAGGGTTGCTACAAACCTTCAATTTGTAAAAATGCAATATACATATGTGAAATGCAATAAAGTGAATCATGATAAAACAAGGTATGCCTTGTACATATGTGTGAATATGTATTGATATAAATATATACATATATACACTATATCTTTTTTTTTTTTGAGATGGAGTCTCACTCTGTCACCCAGGCTGGAGTGCAGTGCCACGATCTCAGCTCACTGCAACCTTCTCCTTCTGGGTTCAAACGATTCTCACGCCTCAGCCTCCCGAGTAGCTGGGATTACAGATGCACACCACCACGACTGGCTAATTTTTGTATTTTTAGTAGAGATGGGGTTTCATCATGTTAGCCAGGCTGGTCTCGAACTCCTGATCTCAAGTGATCTGCCCACCTTGGCCTCCCAAAGTGCTGGGATTACAGGCATGAGCCACAGTGCCTGGCCCATATTTTTTAAACATATAAAATTTTATGGTAGCAATTTGATAACATTTTTATATTTATAATATTTGTTAATTCTGTGGTAACTGGTTAATAATAACTATATATGTTATTAAACTGTTGCCACAAAAATTACCCATAATCCTGTAACCTAAACGCAACTATTTTTATCTCTCTGCTGTTTCTGTGTGCCTTAAGATGGCAAATAAACACATCTGAATATAACCCATGTTGTCCTAGGCCACACCTGTCTGAAATAAAATAGTCACAGTAATGGTAAAAATGTTATTTCTCTGACTCTGCTGTCGCCTTCAACTCTGGGAAATCTGACCACTCTCAAATACCACCCAACTATTTCTGGGAGTCTCTAAGCAGGGGTGGGGATGGGGTGGTCTCGTGTTTTCCCAAAGTTTTTTTCAGTTGCAAAGTGGTCTCTATCATCTCTCTACCACTGCCTGTCCTGGCAGCTTCTGTGTTGTCTCCACCATGTCACTACACCCAAACTATAACTCCTTTCCTAACATCTCCACCCACTGGTAACTGCTGAAGCTGCTAGGGACATTATAGATTTGGAGTCATCTCAAGGGTCCTCCCCTACCGTAAATCCCTGCACAGGAGTCTCAATATTTTAGAGGTGTCTGATACTCCAACATGAGCCCTGGGGGCTGATCTTAAAGGACAAGCTGAGTGGATGGCAAAGTGTTGCACTCAGAATCATTCAGCAAGACACACTCCTGGGCAGACACCAGGTGACATGCTGTCACCAGTGCTGTAGAGGTGGCCCCCCATACAGAAAGCCCAGCCAGACTCAGGTGGGGGAAAGTGGCATTCATGTGGGAAAGAATCTTTAAAATGCTTCAATTAATTAATGACTTTAAAATTCATAATCTTCTGCTTTAATTCTTCGTGGTAACAAATGGTGACACACCTTACAACCTAACAGCAACATTAAGAACTGGAACAAGAATGCTTTTTGGTATGGGAATTAGAAAGATTGACTTGACGAGTTAGGAGTCAAAGAAATCCTCACACAGCACAGAGGATATGAGCCTGATTTTTAGAGATAAGTAAAATTGATATGGATAGGAAGAGCTGGTGAAAGTTTTCTATGTAGAGAAGATGGTATGAACATAGGCATAGCACCAAGAAAGAACAAGACTTACTCAGAGACCCAACTGGCTGGAAATGCAAGTGCTCATAGGGAAACAGTGGGAGATGCAGCTGGAAAGGTAGGTTTGGGGCTGCCACATAGAAGAGAATTTTTTTTTTTCACAGAATGATAAACTTAGTTTTTTTTTTTCAATATTGCTATGGAAAGGAAAAAATTTCAGGATGTTTTTAATGCTTACTAGTCTCTTCTTTTTGAATTACTATTATTTTATTTTTGTGGATACACAGTAGGTGTATTTATTTATGGGGTACATGAGACGTTTTGTTACAGGGACACAATGTGAAATAAGCACATCATGGAGAATGGGGTATTCATCCCCTCAAGCATTTATCCTTTGAGTTACAAACAACTCAATTACACACTTTATTTTAAAATATATAATTATTTAAATAGTCACCCTATTGTGCTATCAATAGGTCTTATTCATTCTAACTATTTTTTGTACCCATTATCCATCTCTACCTCCCCCCGACTCCCCCCCCCAGCCTCTGGTAACCATCCTTCCACTTTCTATATCCATGAGCCCAATCATTTTGACTTTTATGTCCTACAAGTAAGTGAGAAAATGTGCTGCTTGTCTTCTGTGCCTGGCTTATTTTACTTAACTTAATGACCTCCAGTTCCATTCATGCTGTTGCAAATGACTGGATCTCTTTCTTTTTTATGGCGGAATAGTACTCCATTGTGTATATGTACCACATTTTCTTTATCCATTCCTCTGTTGGACACTTAGGTTGCTTCCAAATCTTAGCCATTGTAAGCAGTTCTGCAACAAACACAGGAGTGCAGATATCTCTTCAATACCCTGATTTCCTTTCTTTTGGGTATATACCTAGCAGTGGGATTGCTGGGTCATATGGTTGCTCAATTTTTAGTTTTTTGAGGAACCTCCAAACTGTTCTCCATAGTGGCTGTATTATTTTACATTCCTGCCAACAGTGTACAAGGATTCCCTTTTAGAAGAGAATTTTTTTTTTTTTTTGATGGAGTTTCGCTCTTGTTGCCCAGGCTGGAGTGCAATGGCGTGATCTCAGCTCACTGCAACCTCCATCTCCCGGGTTCCAGCAATTCTCCTGCCTCAGCCTCCCTAGTAGCTGGGATTATAGGCACCCACCACCACGTCCAGCTAATTTTTGTGTTTTTAGGGGAGACGAGGCTTCACCATGTTGGTCAGGCTGGTCTCAAACTACCAACCTCAGGTGATCTGCCCGTCTTGGCCTCCCAAAGTGCTGGGATTACAGGCGTGAGCCATCACACCCGGCCTAGAAGAGAAATCTTAGTAACCAGCTCAGAAGTCTGTACTTTTCCTAATGGCACTGAGAGATTTTGAAAAATTCTAAGCATGTGAATGATATGATGACATTGGTATTTTAAAGAAAACTGTTCTGGTGTTTGTATTTCAAAAATACAGGAAAGGCGGGGCATGGTGACTCACACCTGTAATTTCAGCACTTTGGGAAGCCAAGGAGGGAGAATTGCTTGAGGCCAGGAGTTTGAGACCAGCCTGGGCAATATAGTGAGACTCCCATCTCTACAGAAAAGTTTTAAAAGTTGCCAGGTATGGTGGCACATGCCTTATGCCCCTAGCTTCTTGGGTGCCTGAGGTAAGAGAATTGCTTGAACCTAGGAGGTCAAGGCTACAGTGATCTGAGATTGTGCCACTGCACTCCAGCCTGGGCAACAGAGCAAGACGCTGTCTCAAAAAGAAAAAAATATATAGGAAAGAAAATTTGTAGGAGATAAAAACAAATCTACTTAACTGTATCTAGGTCTTTGGATTTCTTTTGATCTTGTTCCAGGTTGCTTGTTTAAATATAGTTATTGTTAACTCTAGTAAATGAATCATTGAATACAAGTTACTCTTTTTTAAATTTATTTTTAGTTTTGAGACAGAGTCTCGCTCTGTCACCCAGGCTGGAGTGCCGTGGTGTGATCTTGGCTCACTGCAACCTCTACCTCCCAGGTTCGAGTGATTCTCGTGTCTCAGCCTCCTGAGTAACTGGGATACAGGCGCAAACCACCACACCCAGCTAATTTTTGTATTTTCGGTAGAGACGGGGTTTCGCCACGTTGGCCAGGCTGGTCTCAAACTCCTGATGTCAGTTGAGCTACCTGCCTTGGCCTCTCAAAGTGCTGGGATTACAGGTGTGAGCCACTGCACCTGGCCGGAGTACATGTCATTCTTGACCATTTAAAATAATTCTATTTTTGATGACAAAAAAATACGTAACTGAGTGGAGAGGCATTCTTTATTACTCAGTTAACCATGTTTTAAGAAGCTCAGCTCCTAATAACATCAGACTATGTCTAATTCATTATATCTGTTGGTACATTAAAAGAAATAGCTTCTGGTGACAGTAAATTCATCAGAGAGTTTGAAAAGATGGCAGGTATTCTGAATCAAACTTTTGGTTAGAAAACCAGGAAATGTGAGATAAATGTGTTTCAGATATGAAAGGTACGTAAATTCAGATGACTTAATGAAAACTGTTTTTTTTCTCAAATGTGCCTAATATGTGTGCAGCTATTTTTCCTATTTTTTTAAAAAAGTAGTGATTTTTTCCAGAAGTGCTTACATTGATGTTAGACTTTTGGTTTGACTTAGTTTGGTTTGGTTTAATTTGGTTTGGTGTGGATTGGGTTTTTTGTTTTGTTTTGTTTTATGATTTTTTTCAAGAATATTATATGAGTAAAGGAAATTTTTACTTTTTATTTTAACATCCGTATTCAGAGCATTCACTATCTTATGAGTCTTGGTGGGCACAGATTTTGCCTTCCACTAGAGAAGATGAAAGTTCAGATTTTCACTTTCTTAGCTCTTTGTCCTTGGACATGGGAAAGTGTCCTAAGCTCAGTCAAACAAGTGAACTCCCTGGATATTTGAATCAGCGGCTATTATCATAAAGAGCCAGGTATACATACTCGTGGCAGTTGAAGGCAGAATAGGTAGCAATATTGAGTTTTCAGGTCACCAGCAGTGGTATCCCAGAATTTAAGGCTAGGTAGCAATGTGAGTTGTAGCGGCCAAGGGTCAGTGGCAGCGATGGCTAAGGGTTATTGTCAGCAAAAGCAAAATCCTCATTGGACTTATTCTGGGCATATTGGGGCTCTCTAGTAACTGCTTTCCTTCCAAGCCTGATTTGCTGAACTGCCAGGTAGTTATGTGAGTTCCCAATACTCTTTCATCAAATTTCTCTTTCATTTAAATCAGGCTTAGTCAGTTCTATTGCTTGCAAGAACCTTGGCTGATAGAAGTTCATTGCAGGTGGGGTGCAGTGGCTCACGCCTGTAATCCCAGCACTTTGGGAGCCCGAGTTGAGTGGATCACCTGAGGTCAGGAATTCGAGACCAGCCTGGCCAACATGGTGAAATCCCGTCTCTACTAAAAATACGAAAATTAGCTGAGTATGGTGGCACGCACCTGTAGTCCAAGCTACTCGGGAAGCTGAGGCAGGAGAATTGCTTGAACCTGGGAGGCAGAGGTTGCAGTGAGTCGAGATCGCACCATTGCACTCCAGCCTGGGTGAAAGAGTGAGGTGCTGTCTCAAAAAACAAAAAAGTGTATTGTAAAAAAAAAAAAAAATTTAAATATACAGACAAGTTAAAAATAAAATCACTTGTAATCTCATTACTTGGATAACAACCTTTAACAGTTCTGTTTATACAAAATTTATTTTATGCATCTGTATATATTAAAATATAAGCCAGGCGTGGTGGCTCACACCTGTAATCCCAGCACTTTGGGAGGCTGAGGTGGGTGGATCACTTGAGGTCAGGAGTTCAAGACCAGCCTGGCCAACATGGTGAAACCCCATCTCTACTAAAAATACAAAAATTATCTGGATGTGGTGGTGCATGCCTGTAATCCCAGCTACTCAGGAGGCTGAGACATGAGAATCACTTGAACCAGGAGGTGGAGGCTGCAGTGAGCTGAGATTGCACCACTGCAATCCAGCCTGGGCGACAGAGTGAAACCCTGTCTCAAAAAACAAATAAATAAATAAAAATAGAATAAAATAAAACAAAACACACACACACATAATTAATACTTTCAGGTGCAAGTAACAGAAAACCCAACCCACGTTGTCTATAACACAGCTGCCGTTCTTGGCATCCTGAACTTTAACCTTACTGAGGCCTTGTATACCTCAGAGTACAGACTGACATCCTGGCCACTCTTAATGATCCTGGCTTGCCTGCCCCTACTTTAGTCTACCAATGTCATTTCATAGAGCCATGAGGTCCTGCACTCCACTGATCACACTGACTGTCTCCTGACTGAATGTGGCATCAGCAGCTGCCTGCAAAGCTCCAGGCTTTGAGGACTACCATAGGTCCATCCACAGGAGGACCCTGAGGAGCTCCAGAAGAGCTTCAAGATGGCAAATGTTTCCTGGGTCGCACCATCTGGATCTATGACACATCCACTCGGGTTCTCTTCCTTGGTCTCTCTGCACCCCATTCTGCCTAAATCTAGGAGTTTCTCTTGGATCTTGCTTCTCATGCTTGCCCTTTCTTGGGCCTGACATCTATGGTTGTCTTGAAAGCTGGTCTTGGACCACCTTTAGTTCCACTCTTAACTCATGGGCTTTCCTATCTGTAATTGTTCCATCTGTAATTGTTCCATTCCCTAACCTCAGCCAGCTCCTGACATGGTGTTTCAGGTCCCACTACTGGACTCATGTCAAGGTCCTTGGTCCCTAAGCCTGGTGCCAAGAATTGGGTCAAAATGCCATTTCTCCTTATACCAATGGGTATCCTATAATGCTGACTAGTCTAGAAAAAAACAGTAGCAGAAAAATAATCGAAATCTGGATATTATATTTATAGGGGCAATCTGGGAGAATATGAACCAATTTTTTGCTTTTCTCTTTGTAGTTTTCTATATTAAAACATATTTTTAGGCTGGGCATGGTAGCTCACGCCTGTAATCCCAGCACTTTGGGAGGCCGATGTGGGTGGATTACTTGAGGTCAGGAGCTTGAGACCAGCCTGGCCAACATGGTGAAACCCCATCTCTACCAAAACTACAAAAAATAAGCTGGGTGTGGTGGTGCACACCTGTAGTCCTAGCTGCTAGGAAGGCTGAGGCATGAGAATCGCTTGAACCCTGGGAGACGGAGGTTGCAGTGAGCTGAGATCACGCCACTGCACTCCAGCCTGGGTGACAGAGCGAGACTTCATCTCAAATATATAGATAGATAGATAGATAGAATTTTGATCACATGTAATCCATTGACAGCTAAGCAGGCTTATCTATATTAACAAATCCATATAGCATAATAATTTTTAAGTATAATTTAAACCCAACTGACCATGGTGGGTTTTTTTGTTGTTATTGTTGTTGAGACGGAGGCTCACTCTGTCGCCCAGGCTGGAGTGCAGTGGCGTGATCTTGGCTCACTGCAACTTCTGCCTCCCGGGTTCAAGCGTTTCTCCTGCCTCAGCCTCCCAAGTGGCTGGGACTACAGGCGCCTGCCACCACGCCCAGCTAATTTTTTGTATTTGTAGTAGAGACGGGGTTTCACTGTGTTAGCCAGGATGGTCTTCATCTGCTGACCTCGTGATCCACCCGCCTCGGCCTCCCAAAGGGCTAGGATTACAGCCATGAGCTATCACACCTGGCCGACCATGGTGTTTTTTTGTTTTTTTTTTTTTTACCCCTTTAAGGGAGTGGCATGAATTTTTCTCATTGGTACAAGAGAAAAAGAAAGATTGATAGGTCAAAATGCCTGTCACTTGTTGGGTGCTACTAATTGCAGAGACCCAAGGTGAGGGGCCCCTTTGTTTTAGCTGGGTCTTTAATGATTTTAACTACATAAGGATGCATCATCTCTCCTCCCCCTATGCAGCTAGGGACCTTGAATTTGGTTTGGGGAACCAAAGGCAGAGGAGGAAGGGAATCAGAATATGCAATATCTAATAGCTGTATAAACCTCCACTTCACCCCAAGTCTTTAGTGAACTCTACTGCATGCTCAAATGTGTCATGGGAGATTTGGGAAGGGTGGGGAAGGCAAGGAAGATATCATGAAAAAAAAAACCCACCCACACACACACAAAAAGAGATTTAGACTCCCTATAGGGTAGGACAGAGGAGCATAGGAAAGAAAGAGCTGCCAAAAATGAGATGCAAATGAAACATCAGCAATCAGAACTGGAGTGAAGTGCCCATGACAACAGAGGTGCCTGGTCCCTCCCTCTCAGAATGGCAGAGGGCTGGGCTGTCTCCTCAGAATGCAGGTGGATGAGAGGAAGCGGCCAGATGTTTCTTATTATCTTTTTTTTTTTTTCAGACACAGTCTCACTCTGTCACTCTGGCTGAGTGCAGTGGTGCACTCTTAACTCACTGCAGTCTCCGCCTCCTGAATTCAAGCGATTCTCCAGCCTCAGTCTCCCAAGTGATGGGAATACAGGTACCTGCTACCATGCCCAGCTAATTTTTTTGTATTTTTAGTAGAGATGGGATTTCACCATATTGTCCAGGCTGGTCTCGAACTCCTGGCCTTGAGTGATCCACCTGCCTCGGCCTCCCGAAATGCTGGAATTACAGGCATGAGCCACTGTGCCTGGCCTGTTTCTTAAATCTTGAAGGACAAATTCACTTCTCCTGACAGCTGGGTTTAGGTATTATTTCACGTTTTAGAATCTACTTAATTTTTGCAGGAGCCTGTCATTATCTCTATCTGCATTTTGCTGCAGCAGGGGTAATCACCTACCCAACAGAGAGAAACACAATTAAGGAACTAACCTATCATGCAGACCTGACTTCTTGAGCATTATTTAGTGGTCATCAGGGGCCCATTAACACTAAAGCCAAATGATGTCACCTAGGAAATCTGCATATTTAAGTAGTGCAAGTAGCTAAAACATGCCTGTCTACCTGTGACATCCAAAAAGAGAAAATAAGAGTGTGCACATCTAACTTCAGAGGTGAATGAAAGCAAGCATCTATTAGTAAATGCGTCATACATAAGGAATGAATTAATGAGTGAATTAATAATCCACCTTTAAGAAAATCCTTTCCAAGAAGAGAACATTTTTCTTTTAAGTGTTTCTTTCTTTTCCTAATAAAGAAAAATCTGCTTTTCTGACCTGATCTACTCTTCAAATTCTGATCATATCAAATTGCATTTTAAAGGCTTACCCAATATGATCTCATAGGTCCTGAGTCAGCTGCCAAGGAGAGGAGTTAGTCTCTCAGCTAGATTTAATGCAGAAGTCAAAGACTCTTCTTCATTGTTTCCTATGACTTCCTGCCTGCCCTGGCACTCTCAGCTGTAGGTATGGATGTCCCTAATCTACATGTTTAGGGTCATCCTGTTTCTGAGCTGATCTTGACCAAGGCAGATATTCTTGACCTACCAGTGGGTGGGGCCAACACATAATCTTAACATTTGTTATGAGTCTTAGGTGGGCCTAGGCAACAAGTGCCCACTATGCTACCGCATACCCCAACATACCACATTTGTCCATCTATATTGATCCCTTCTTGCTTACCCAGAGTTCTGCCCTGAATTCTGGTCCATTTGGTCAGAGCTCTAACTCTTGACCTGGATCCTAGCAGCCCTTTCCCGATTTTTCCTCTGCACCTCCAAACTCAGGCTAGGCAAGGATTTGAATGAACAGAACTTTGAAAGTTATGCTTCTATCTCTTCCTGACTTTAATGCTAGCCTTGCCCGGAAACAGTTCCCATCTAACAGAGTAACCTCCCTTAAGTATCAACATGGAAATGAGCCAACAGTCTTAAAATGATGCCCCTGTTTATCTAGGCATATGTGGTGTGCATGCAGCTAATATCAATCTGGTGGGCACACAGATTCAGAGTCAGGTGCTTGCCATCTGTAGCAATGGTTTAGTGTGAGACCATCTGTTCATTCTTGGCAGGTATGGTGGCCAGGTCTCTACTCTTGGGAAAAGATGGAAAAGAGCTAGACCTTACTTAATTGAGCTGCAGTTCAAGGGAGGTCTTCAGTTCTTAGAAGTTACTGGCTTGCCAGGCAGGAAAACTCAAATAGGTGCCTGCTTCTATAGACTGGTTCAACACAGGGTAGGGGAGAAAAGGAAAACGCTTTTTAAACTATGAGTTGCCATGAACCAGTGATTTTAAAATCAATTTAAAGGAACTTTACAAACATGTTTCAATAAGATGCAATGAATAGAATAGAATACAATGGAATGAATTAAAGTACATTGAATGTAGGAAGGTGAAGTATGTTCTATAAAACTTTTGCTTTGGTTACATATGCGTGTATATGCACCAGCTATCTCTGAGATGATATGTTAGGAACAAGGGCAGCTTAGGAACAGAGAGAGATTTATTTTCAGTTTGAAGTTCTTGTCATATACAAAAGATAAAAATGTAAGCAACAGAAAAATACTTCCAATAAATATAATGGAGAAAAGCCCAATATTCAAAATAAATTCTAAAAGAAAACTACAATTGCACAAAGATAGATATGTTATTTATTACAAAACTGTGATAGCACAAAATTGGAAATGATTCAAATGTCTATTAATGATAAATAAAATACAGTACATACCTACTTTGAACAATTATACAGCTGTTAAAAAGAATGAGGAAGATCTATATGTACCAACATGAAAAGATATTTAAGATGTGTCATTCAATGAGAAAGCAACACTTTGGGAGGCTGAGGCAGGCGGATCACTTGGGGTTAGGAGTTCGAGACCAGCCTGGCCAACATGGCGAAACTGCGTCTCTACTAAAAATACAAAAATTAGCCAGCATGGTGTGCCTGTAACCTCAGCTACTTGGGAAGCTTAGGCATGAGAATCGCTTGAACCCGGGAGGTGGAGTTTGCAGTGAGCCAAGATCACGCCACTGCACTCCAGCCTGGGCGTCAGAGTGAGACTCTGTCTCTATTTTTAAATAAATACATTTAAAAACATAGGCCAGTACAGTGGCTCACACCTATAATCTCAGAGCTTTGAGAAGTTAAGGTGAGAGGATGGCTTGAGAACAGGAGTTTGAGACCAGCCTGTGCAACATAGCAAGACTCCAATCTCTGCAAAAGAAAAAAGAAAAAAAAGAAGGTATACACATATTTAATAGATACTTAGAACCTTTGGGCAAGTGGACAATGGCTATGACTAAATAGTTCATATAAGAAATATAGGCTGGGCGCAGTGGCTATGCCTGTAATTCCAGCACTTTAGAGGCCAAGGCGGCCGGATCACCTGAGGTCAGGAGTTTGAGACCAGCCTGGCCAACATGGGGAAATCCAGTCTCTACTAAAAATACAAAAATTAGCTAGGCATGGTGGTACATGCTTATAATCCCAGCTACTCAGGAGACTGAGGCAGGAGAATTGCTTGAACTTGGGAGGCAGAGGTTGCAGTCAGCTGAGATGGTACCACTGCACTCCAGCCTGGGCAACAGAGTGAGACTCCGTCTCAAAAAAGAAAGAAAGAAAGAAAGATAGACTATAATCCAACATTTAGAACATTCATTGAGCATCTCTAATGCAAAAATTAAATATTCTAGCAGGGATTTTTCCTAACATGTTTTCTTGTTGTATACCTGCATTGTGCTACTGCAACCAGCTGTATTCCCAACTTGCCTATGGCCTTGTGAGTGGAGAAACCGTTCTGGTGCCTGTTGTGTTCACAGCTTTCTCTCTGGAGTCTAGCATTTCTTCTGGTTCTCGTAAGCATTCATAATGGCCTGTAATTATAGTGCTTCCTATATTCCAGGAACAGTTCTAGGCACTTAACTTATTTAATTTTTGCAACATGCCTACCATAGTGTTGCCATTTTAGACATAGTCTACTGAGACAGAAAGCAAGGAACTTGGCTGGGCATGGTGACTCACGCCTGTAATCCCAGCACTTTGGGAGGCTGAAGTGGGCGGATTACCTGCGGTCAAGAGTTTGAGACCAGCCTGGCCAGCATGGTGAAACCTCATCTCCACTGAAAATACAAAAAAAAATTAGCTGGGCGTGGTGGTGTGTGCCTGTAGTCTCAGCTACTAGGGGAGGCTGAGGCAGGAGAATCACTTGAACCCAGGAGGCAGAGGTTGCAGTGAGCCAAGATCATGCCACTGCACTCCAGCCTGGGCGACAGAAGGAGACTCCATCTCAAAAAATAAGCAAGCAAGGAACTTACTGAAAGTCATATGGCAGAGCAGGAATTTGGATGCAGGCTTTCTGGCACAGAAAGTCAAGTCAAGTAAGTCAAGTCAGACTCCTTGACTTAAATCCCTACAATGCCTTTTAACAAATATGCTCAATGAGTTCATCTGGTATGAAATATAACTTAATATTTTATCAGGTTAACTAAAATGAAATGAATAAAACATCTTGTTGGAGAGGCTATGAGAAAAGAACACTGGTCCTTTTCTCAGGGCCCAGTAACTTAGTAGAATCCTGTGGAGCAGTAAGTCTCTACAGGCAAAAGTCTTATTAGCATTGTTCATTCTTTTGATCTACAGCTTCTTCTTTTGGTAATGTATGAAAAAAATTCAAAATGAAAAAAGGTGTTTGATCAATGATATTTATAACTCCACCATTTTATAATGAAAAATGGTACAACCCAAATGTTCAGATTTGGAGACGAATTTTGCAAAATATGAGGTACAACACTGTAAGCATATAGCTGCTAAAAATAACTTTGTGTTCTGTATTTGTGTATTGAAATGTGCATAGGAAATAAAGCTAAGTGGAAAAAGAACCAAAGTCATATGTACAGAGGCATTAAAACTATATATTGTATTTTTGCAATGATAAATAAGGATCAAGAGATTTATATAAATGGTTAGCTGTGTTAACACAATAAAGTCTTTGTGCTTTTATCTATAAAGGATTTTTTAATGTGTAATAACAGAGACAGTGATGTGTGTCATCCCTTAATAGAGCTGAATTCATGAGGCAAATTCTACAAAGGCCATTTCTTCTAAGAACTAAGTCCTGAGTGTTGGTAGACTCCAACATGTGCACATCTGAGCCTGGGATTAAGATGGGTAGAGCAGCTCTTTCAACTCTGCCCCCAGATGTAGAGAACTGAAAGAGAGCTGAGTTAAAGCACTTTACACTAAAGAATGTTTTTTCATAAAATAAACCATTTGTATTTAATAAGTGTATAAATTGGTTAACTATTCTCTATCAATGATTGGTTCTCAACACTAGCTGTAAATCAGAATCCTGTGAAATATTTTCAAAATACATGATATTTCCTTGGAATATTTCCAGATAGATATATTAATATTTAGGTCCTAATTCAGTCCTTCTAAGTCAGAATCCCCAGGCATGTGACCTAAGCATCTGTATTTAGAGTAAAGACTAAGGAAATTCTGATAAACAGCTAGGTTTGACACATTCTCTCTCTCTCTCTCTCTCTCTCTCTCT
This sequence comes from Homo sapiens, assembly GCF_000001405.40. Taxonomy (NCBI): domain Eukaryota; kingdom Metazoa; phylum Chordata; class Mammalia; order Primates; family Hominidae; genus Homo; species Homo sapiens. The sequence goes on along the minus strand of NC_000003.12, from coordinate 120,125,726 downwards.
CTCTCTCTCTCTCTCTAGAACCAATCAGTTGGCCCATTTTTCCACAGCCCTTTTAGCAAAGAATTTAAACCTGTTATTTTAGCTAACTTAATAAGTATAAAGTGTTACTTCCTAGCTGATACATTTATTAAGCATAGTAATTAAAAAGCATTATTAAGATGCATACTTTTTTTAAAGGAGAAAAAAAATGCCAGGAAAGAAAACTAGAAATAATCTAAATATTCATCATTTTCAGACTGGTCAAATAAATAATCGTACTTCCTCACAAGAAAACTATGCTACTGTTAAAAAGAATAAACCAGAACTCTATATAAAAATCAGAAACATCTCAAAGATATATTGTTAAAAGATAGATGTGAGGTACAGTACAGTGTGTTCATTATGTTACATTATGTTACAGTTATGCCTCACCCTGCCGACCCCACCCCCTGCTCGTATATTCATAGACTATTTCTGGAAGGTGACACCAGAAATTGGTAATCTTAGTTGCTTCTGGGTATGGGACTTGATTGATTGAGGTTATAGTGATAGGTAAAAGTATAGATTGACTTTTCAATATACACCCTTGCATGTATTACTTCTTAAATAATAAAATTTAAGGCCATGGGTGGTGGGTCATGCCTGTAATCCCAGCACTTTGGGAGGCTGAGGCGGGTGGATCACTTGCGGTCAGGAATTCCAGACCAGCCTGGGCAACATGGTGAAACCCTGTCTCTACTAAAAATACAAAATTAGCCGGGTGTGGTGGTGCACACCTGTAATCCCAGTTATTCTGAAGGTGGAGGCAGGAGAATCACTTGAACCTAAGAGGTAGAGGTTACAGTGAGCCGAGTTCGTTCCACTACACTCAAGCCTGGGGGACAGAGTGAGACTCTGTCATAATAATAATAATAATAATAATAGTAATAAAATTTAAGAACAATTAGGTACAAATGGAATCCCAATCTATCTAAATTTCATCCATTATTAGCCTGGGGTGTGGTGGCTCACGCCTGCAATCTCAGTGCTTTGGGAGGCCAAGTTGGGGGTGGATTACTTGAGGTCAGGAGTTCAAGACCAGCCTGGCCAACATGGCAAAACTCCATCTCTATTAAAAATACAAAAATTAGCCCGTGTGGTGGTGTGCGTCTGCAGTCCCAGCTACTTGGGAGGTTGACACAGGAGAATCACTTGAGCCTGGGAGGCAGAGGTTGCAGTGAGCCAAGATTGTACCATTGTACTCCAGCCTGGGTGACGGAGCGAGATCTTGTTTCAAAAAAAATAGGGCCTGGCGTGGTGGCTCATGCTTGTAATCACGGCACTTTGGAAGGCCAAGGTGGGTGGATCACGAGGTCAGGAGTTTGAGACCAGCCTGGCCAACATGGTGAAACCCCGTCTCTACTAAAAATACAAAAATTAGCCAGGCATGGTGGCGGGTGCCTGTAATCCCAGCTAGTCGGGGAGGCTGAGGCAGGAGAATCGCTTGAAACCGGAAGGCAGAGGTTGCAGTGAGCCGGGATTGTGCCACTGCACTCCAGCCTGGGCAACGAGTGAACCTCTGTCTCAAAAAAATAAAAAAATAAAAATAAAAATACATGAATACAATAAAATAATAAATTTAATCCATTATAAATTATTGCTAAATTATCTGGGATATCAACCCACATCTAAGTTTGACACTCGTACAAATCTTTTGTAGGCCTCATTCACTTCACCGTTTGGTTTCCAGGGCTGTTATGTCAATCTTTCTTCTGGTGTTCTGCTCTTAATTAGTTGTTTGTCCTATTTTCTCTCTGAGAATGTATCTGTTCCTGTATCTTGAGGCATGCTCATTTTAGCTACCTGGGTCTTCCTGGTGGTAAAGTCAGGAAGAAAAGAGGTCTTTGTTCTCTTCCCACTGACCTAAAGAGATCAGAAAGACCCTCAAAGCAAATAATCAAACACTTACCCCAGAGTCCAGTACGCTCAGCACCATCTTTTCTTATGGTCTCATCCAATCAGAGGTTTCTTTTAACAACGAGAATTTCTTCTAGCAGACTTCTCCAACCCTAACAGGTACAAACATTTCCGTGCAATGGAATTTCTTTACTGACCACTAACATTTGGGGGATTTACAATGAATGTGTGCTATAGAGTCTTTGGAAAAAATTTCAAGAGGACATTTTAAACACAATTTGAACATAGTTATTTAATAAGTAGTGGCCTGTTGGTTTGCCTGTATGTAACACTGTACATAAAGCATTGAAATATATGGTTTGTTTATAATTTCCATTCTTGGAGACAACATCACATGGCCTGAGATTGTCATAGAATCATTACAGCCATACAGGAACTGAAGAGATTGACTAGTTTTTTCTCTCACTAAGAATGAAAATCACTGCCATGTTATTCATAGCATGTGGTCCTCTGAAACTTCTAGCAAAGGACTTTCTCCCAAGGCAACCATTTCCATTGCTTAATGGGGCTTACTGTTAAGAAAGTTTTTTGCTGGGCGCGGTGGCTCATGCCTGTAATCCCAGCACTTTGGGAGGCCAAGGCGCGGATCACCTTATGTCAGGAGTTCAAGACCAGCCTGGCCAACATGGTGAAACCCCGTCTCTACAAAAATTAGCCAGGCATGATGGCGGGTGCCTGTAATCCCAGCTACTCAGGAGGCTGAGGTGGGAGAATCGCTTGAACACAGGAGGCCAAGGTTGCAGTGAGCTGAGATTCCAACATTGTACTCCAGCCTGGGCGACTGAGTAAGCTCTGTCTCCAAAAAAAACAGAGTTTTTGTCTTCGTTTTTTAATGCCAAGCCATGTTCTGTCTTCTGTAATTTCTACCTTCTGATTCTGATTTGCCTTCTATTTAGGGAAAAAAATTGATATGATATTGATAGGAAACAGGTGGTGCATTCAGAATGGATGACTAAGCTGGGTGCACTGGCTCATGCCTCTAGTCCCAGCACTTTGGGAGGCCAAGGTGGGGCCAGGAATTCAAGACCAGCCTGGGCAACATGGTGAGACCCCATAGCTACAAAAATAAAATAAAAATTAACCAGGTGTGATAGTGCACATCTGTGGTCCCAGCTACTCAGGAGGCTCAGGTGGAGGGATGGCTTGAGCCCAGGAGGTCAAGGCTGCAGTGAGCTGTGATTGTACCACTATACTCCAGTTTGGGCCACAGACTGAGCAAGTCCCCATTAACAACGACAACAAAAAAATGGATGATAAAGAGAGTTTGATACAAGGACTATTTACAAAGATGTCTTTTCCTCTTAAGATCAGGAACAAGACAAGGATGTCCATTTTTATTCAACATTGTACTGTAGGTTCTAGCCAGTGAAATAAGGCAAGAAAAAGAAATAAAAGACATCTGGATGGGAAAGGCAGAAATAAAAATATTCTTATATAGCGAGTGTGCTGATGATAAATTTTTGAACTTTCAGCTTTTGTATGTCTGAAAAAATTCATTATCCTACCTTTATTTTTGAAAGATACTTTTCCTGATTGACAAGCTTTTCCCCCCTTGCAATACTTTATTTTATTTTTTATTTTTTTCAGAGGCAGGGTCTCACTATGTTGCCCAGGCTGAAGTACAGTGGCTATTCATAGGCATGATCACCACTGATCAGAGCAGAAGTTTTGACCGGATCTGTTTCTGACCTGATTCCAGTTCACTCCTCCTTAGGCAACCTGGTAGTCCCCCACTCCCAGGAGGTCACCATATTGATGCCAGATTTAGTGCAGACACTCAGTCGACATAGCGCACTACAGCCCAGAACTTTTGGACTCAAGGGATCCTCCTGCCTCAACCTCCCAAGTAGCTGGGACTACAGGCATGCACTGCCACTCCTGGCCCCTTGCAGTACTTTTAAGATGTTTCAGTGTCTTTTCACTTGTATTGTTTCTACCAAGAAATCTCCTGCATCTTTATCTTTGTTCCTCTATATGTAACATATCTGATTTCTCTTAAGCTTTCTCCATTATCACTGGTTTTGAACACTTTATTATGTGTCTTGTCACTGTTTTCTCCATATGTCTTATACTTGGGGTTTGCTGAGCTTCTTGGTTCTGTGGATTTACAGTTCTCATGAAACTTGGAAAAATTTTGGCCATTATTTCTTCAAATATTTTTCTGCCCACTCTTTTTTCTCTTTCAAAAATCTCAGTTACATGTATATTAGATTTCTTAATGTTCATTGACGTTCTTGTATTTTTAAAATTTTCTTTTCTCACTTTGTCTCATTTTTGATAGCTTTTATTGCCTTTATATGTCTTCAAGTTCACTAATCTTTTCTCCAGCAATTTCTAACCAGCCATTAATCACATCTATCGTGTTTTTCATCTCACACATTGTACTTTTAATCTGTAAAAGCTTGTTAAACTTTTTATATAACTTCCATGCCTCTACTTAAGTTTTTGAATCTATGGGATACCTGTTTAATATCTTTATTCAATAATTCTAAAATCTATGTCAGTTCTGGATTGATTTTCATTGATTTATCTTCTCGTAATGGGTTATAATACCCTACTTCTTTGCATGTCTGGTAACTTTTTATTAGATTCCAGACATTGATAATATTAATGATATGGAACACACTACATACATGCACAGACACACACACACACACAGCCTTATGCAATTGCTCTATACAATGAGAAACATTTCCTAGTTATTTGTTTTTATCAGTCCATTCTCTAAGATGCTAGAATATTCTTTGATCTAGGGTGGTTTTCTTGTGGCTTATGTATGTTGAGTTTCTAAATCATACAATATTATGTGTGGTTTCTTTTTTCTAATAATGCTGAAAGAACTGAGTTATGTTGATGGAATCCAATGCCTTTTTAAAATCAATAGAGTAGTAGATGAGATGAAATTCCAGATTCTCTTCTGTTCTCTGTTGATGGATGAATTACCTGAATGGGACCAGCTATTTATCCTTTAGGGAAATCTTCCTGTTCTCTTTAATTTTTAAAACATGCTTTCACATGATTTTCTTGAAGAATGTACTGTACTTGCTTGTATTATAACAGCAGTTAACAATCTGATGACTTTTTCATCCTTCTGTATGGCCGCCTGAAATTAGTGAACAGTGAACCAATTCGGAGGATAATTTCCAATGAACTTAGCTTTTCAGTTTAAGTTAAATTCAGGTTTTTTTTTTTTTTTTTTTTTTTTGAGATAGAGTCTTGCTCTGTCACCCAGGCTGGAGTGCAGTGGCACAATCTCGATTCATTGAAATCTCCGCCTCCCGAGTTCAAGCGATTCTCCTTCCTCAGTCTCCCAAGTAGCTGGGACTACAGGCACATGAGCCACTGTGCCTGGCTTTAAAATTCAGTTTTAAATTCAGTTTTCTTATGGGTAATGAGGAAAATAATAAACTTAGCTTGTAAGGATGACGTGAGGACTAAATGAGATAGCACACGGGAATTTGTCTAGAAAAATGTCTGGCATTTAGAAAGGCTGCAATGAATGTGAGTTCCTCTATTTGGCGAGGAGGTTGGAGGAGAAGGTGGCTACTGTGAAACTTTGAGACAGTGTTTTCCTAATTATGACCCTTTTGCTCTGATTTCTGCTTTAAATCAATCCAGTCCTGAAGAATTTTTAGATTGCATGAGAAATATCTTTGACAAAGCACTTATGCTCCTGGCTTCATACCTGATACTTCTTTTGATGTCACTTTTAGCCTCAGAAATGCAGGTACCTACCTTTAGCCACATGACCTCTGACAAGCACACGAAACATTAGCTTAGAGCAGTGGTTCTCAAAATGATGTCTCCAGACCAGCATCACCTGGGAATTTGTTAGAAATGCTTTTTTTTTTTTTGACAAGAGTATCTGTTGCCCAGGCTGGAGTGCGGTGCAGTGGTACAATCTCGGCTCACTGCAACCTCTGCCTCCTGGGTTCAAGGGATTCTTATGCTTCAGCCTCCTGCATAGCTGGGACTACAGGAGTGAGCCACCATGCCCAGCTAATTTTTGTATGTTTTGTAGAGATGGGGTTTCGCCATGTTGGCCAGGCTGGTCTTGAACTCCTGGCCTCAAGTGATCCACCTCCTTCGGCCTCCCAAAGTGCTGGGATTACAGGTGTAAGCCACAGCGCCCAGCCAGAAATGCAAATTTTCAAGCCCTACTCCAGACATACTGAATCAGAAACTCTGGGGGAAGGACTCAGTAATCTGTGCTTTAATAAGCCCTCCAGGCGATTCTGATGCCCTAAAGATAGAATTTCTGTTGGAGAAATAGATGAAGGAAGAAGCTGATTATCCTTTAATGGCCAAAGCAACTTCAGCAAGAGGTTAATAACTATGTTGCAGGAAAAGTGATAACTTCAGAAGGAAATGACAAGTGTGAGGGGCGAAGGGGGACAAAGGGGTACAAAGGGGTGGTGAGGGGGCTGAAAAGGGTCAAGTGTAAACATACAGGGCTTGGAGCGAAACAGATACCCCTAAAAGGCAAAGGAAGAAAATGTTAGCTCAAGCAAAAAGGCAAAGGAAGAAAATGTTGGCTCAAGCACGTGGAGTCAGAGGAAGAGGATACAAAGCTCTGGAGATATGTTGTATGCATGGTACACACACATGCGTCTACTTGTGAGAACCAAGGGGGAAGATCTCCCTCAATGCAGGGCCAAAATAACAGTAAGACTGTGAGGCAGCTGTGGACCTTTCCAGGGTTGTGTCAGCAGTACCTTTTTTTCAAATAATTTTGAAAAATTTTGTTCTTTTTAATGCATTTATTAAGTTGACATTTAAATTTTTTTCATCATAAGTTTAAAGCATTGGAAAGGATATAATTTCCAGGATATTATAAATAAATCTATTTCATCACTCTTTTAGGTTTTTCCAGTGCTCTCTAAAATCAGAGTATCTTGATATCCACCTCATCCATTTTAAAACTTTATAGCAAGCTCAGCTTTCACAGTTGAAATTTTTATAAGGTATTTTTTTCTTCTTGAACTTGTATTTCCATCCCACTTCCTCCATAGACTTTAACCTAATACAGTATATTTCTATGCTTGAGGTCTTTCATTGATCTCCCTATCATTCTTTAACAGTGAAAATATATAAACAGGTGTAAACTGAAAGTTAAAAAAATTCCTGTGACCATAAAACTCTAAAGGTTGAAAAGATTTTTTTTTTTTTTTTTTTTTTTTTTTTTTTTTAAGATGGAGTCTCACTCTGTCACCCAGGCTGGAGTGCAGTGGTGCTATCTTGGTTCACTGCCACCTCTGCCTCCTGGGTCAAGTGATTCTTGTGCCTCACTCTCTCAAGTAACTGAGACTACAGATGTGTGCCACCACGCCTGGCTAAATTTTATATTTTCAGTAGAGACGGGGTTTTACTATGTTGGCCAGGCTGGTCTCGAACTCCTGACCTCAGGTGATCCGCCCATCTCAACCACCCAAAGTGCTGGGATTACAGGCATGAGCCACCATGCCTGGCCAAAAAGGGATTTTTGTTGTTGTTCTTTGGGTTTTCTTTTTTCATTGAGCCACTAAAACAATTATTAGGAGTTCACAAGAGAGCAAAATAGTCTACTTTATCACAAATTTTAATAATCTTATTAAACCTATAAAGTAAAATATAATTGGAACTGAATCTCTTAATGAAATGGATTGAAAGTCAGCTTATATATCTTGATTAAAGCAATTGTCACAATGTTCCTTTATTGCTTGGAGGTTTAACACTTCCAGGTGATGTGCAAATTTAAATCTTACAGTTGCACATCTGTAAGACTTTAAATGTTTTCCTCTGTAAAGTAGAAGAACCATTGTGAAATATGAGGAGGAAAATGAAACTCCCAACTGCAGCTGCATACTCTAATCAATTTTAAGAAAGAGTTCATATGGAACTTCAGGATCTGGAAATCCATTTTCTTAAAACTATCCATGCCCCCGTACCCGTTGGCAAGTCTTCAGATACTTCTAGGGGTACCTCAATATGAAGATCCCTGTGTATGAACAGGTTTCCGGCCTGAAAGTCAGAGGCCTACGTTTGCTTTGAGTTTTGCTTGTGTCACATTGGCTATGAAATCTTCTGCAAAGAAGGAGGGAATAAACTTGTTGAGTTTCTACCATGTGAAAGGAGCTGACTAGGTGCTTTCACATTTTATTCATTCAATACACATAGCAACTACATAAGGCAGGTGTGATGATCATTAGCCCCATTTTTAAATGGGAAAACTGAGGTTCAGGAGGTGAAGAGCCTAATTTAATGCTATACAATTAGGTAATAATGGATCCAGGGTTCAATCCCAGCTCTGACTCCTAAAGCTCATGCTGCTGTCACTTGGCAACAATGCTCCCCGAACAAGTCATTTTCTCATGGTGGGCCTCATTTCATTTACCTATGAAATTAAGGGAGATGAGCTAGAAGAACCCTAAAGTCACTTCCAGATTTGGCATCCTATGAATCTGTGGGTATTGGGGGAACCTGCCCCCAATATTTCAATGTAGGTTCTTTCTGTTTTCCCTAAGTGTCAGCTGGTCTGAGAAATAAAGAGAAAGAGTACAAAGAGAGGAATTTTACAGCTGGGCCTCCGGGGGTGACATCACATATCGGTAGGTCTGTGATGCCCCTAAGCCACAAAACCAGCAAGTTTTAATTAGGGATTTCAAAAGGGGAGGGGGTGTACAAACAGGGAGTAGGTCACAAAGGTTACATGCTTCAAAGGGCAAAAAAGGAGAACAAAGTTCACATGCTTCTGAGGCCAATAAAGATCACAAGGCAAAGGGCAAAGCAAGATCACAAGGCAAGGGCAAAATTAGAATTAATGATGAGGGTCTAGGTTCGGCTGTGCACGTATTGTCTTGATAAACATCTTAAACAACAGAAAACAGGGTTCGAGAGCAGAGAACCGGTCTGACCTCAAATTCACCAGGGCGGGATTTTTTCCCCACCATAATAAGCCTGAGGGTACTGCAGGGCGTATTTCAGTCCTTATCTCAACCACATAAGACAGATGCTCCCAGAGCAGCCGTTTATAGACCTTCCCCCAGGAATGCAATTCTTTTCCTAGGGTCTTAATATTTAATATTCCTTGCTGGGAGAATAATTTAGCGATATCTCTTCTACTTGCATGTCCGTGTATAGGCTCTCCGCAAGAAGAAAAATATGGCTCTATTTTGCCCAACCCCGCAGGCAGTCAGACCTTTGGTTGTCTTCCCTTGTTCCCCAAAATTGCTGTTATTCTGTTCGTTTTCAAGGTGCACTGATTTCATATTGTTCAAACATCCATGTTTTACAATCAGATTTCATATTGTTCAAACACACATGCTCTACAATCAATTTGTACAATAGTGGTCCTGAGGTGACATACATTCTCAGCTTACGAAGATAACAGGATTAAGAGATTAAAGTAAAGACAGCCATAAGAAATTATAAAAGTATTAATTTTGGGAACTGATAAATGTCCATGAAATCTTCACAATTTATGTTCCTCTGCCTCGGCTCTAGCCGGTCCCTCTGTTAGGGGTCCCTGACTTCCCACAACATGTGGGAGGTAGAGGCCAGGGCTGAAGGTGAAAGGGCTTCTCAGAGATTCATACCCCAAGGGATTAGGAGGCAATACAGAATAGATCCAGAAATTCACCAGACCTAGTGGTGCTTCTGACAGAATCTATGTTGGGTTAAAGTTTAAAAAGCTTGACCTGCCATCCAATCCAGGCAGACTTAAATGAAAACTGATCTCGAAGAAAATAAGGATTTGATTGGCCATTTCATAATTAGACACCTAAATGGGAACCAGGAAAAAAACAACAACAACAACAAGAAAATACATGTAGCCCTATTTAGGTTCAATGAAATCTATGTATTTCAATTTTTCTCTTATTTTCTTTTTTTAGAGACTGGGTCTTACTGTGTTGCCAAGGCTAGAGTGCAGTGGGTATTCATAGGCACAATAATGGCACATTACAGCCTCAAACTCCTGGGCTCAAGCGATCCTCCTGCCTCAGCCTCCTAAGTGGCTGGTACTTCATTATTCTCTTTTATATAGTGAGATCTTTTGAACACCTAGTGCAATCATAAGGTCTATAAAATGATTAATTCTAGAGTCATACATTACAATGAAATAGTAATTAACCCCATGTTATATTTTAGAATATGTAGATCATATAAATATCATATAGATTTGTTGCTTTTCTAGTTTACATGTATTGCATAACAACTTTTCAAAATAGCAGTCTACATTTACCGCTTTGACTTCATTGCTACCATTTACTCCTTATTTATCAACTGCTTGTGACCTGGCTCTAAAACTGGAATTATTTTGTTTAAGGTTATTAGATCACCTCCTCATTGATAAACTCAGTAGCATCATGAGAAGTTTTGTTCTCTAGGAGATTTCTGCTGTGTTTGATGTAACTGATTTCTCTTCCTTCTGCAATAATGTCCAGCTTTGCCCCTGACAATAAACTCATCAAGTTTTCCCCATACCGCCTGAGCCTTCCTTCCCCTCTCTCTCTTTCTGGGGGATTCCTCCTTCAAATACCCATTTTATGTGGTCATTGTTAAACGTTTTTTTCTCAGTCTTGTCTTTTTTTCAGTTTAAATGATAATCAAAATTCTCATTCTCTGGGGAAAGCTTCAAGCATCTCTGTTGATGACTCACAGATATACATTTCAGTTTGCACTCCAGAGCCAAAGAAGTAAACACTTTTCAAACTGTTTGCTAGATGTCCTCAGGTCATCAAATTCAACACATCCCAAACCAGGTGCTTCATTATCACCTTAATATCTGGTCCTTCTCCTGGATTTCCTACCTTAGTCATGGAACTACCATCTTTTCAGTCATCCTGGCTAGAAATCTTGCTGCCTTTGAACTTTCCTAATATATTTTTATAGACAGTAACTTGGGAAAAAAATGTATAGAAGACTTCAAAAGAGTCGCATGCTTGCTTCAAAGACAGTGAGGTAGGGAGAAACTGGGAATTGACTCCAAATTCATACGTGGTCTGGAGAGAGAGGCATCCATTGAGAAAGCGTGCTAGTGGTCACTAAATCAGTAGATTGCAAGTCCCATTGACAATGCCTCAGATATGTTTTTCTTTTTGTCTCTTCCTTGCTGGCTACACTGCTCTAGTTCAATACCTTGTATCTTTTGTTCTGGATTACTGTAAGAGCCTCCTAAATATAAGGCCGTGGACTTGGTTTTCAAAATCTACCTACACAAGTCAGGACAAGAGACAGGTGAGCAAGCAGTAGAACACAGCAACTGGTGAAGGGAGTGGAAAGGAGGTTAGCTGACAATCAGAGAAACATAGGCAACAGGGTGAAGTGGACCTCAGCAAAGTTAGTGCCATCTTGGGTCACACTGTAACACCTCGAATAAGAGAGCTTATAGGACCTCTCTAATTTGAGGGGGTCACAGAGTTGGAATATTGCCTTCTGTTCTTGCAGCAACACACTAAAAGAAATAGAGACAAAATGGAGCTTATTTGAGAGTGTGATCAGGATAGTGAAAAGGCCCAAAGTTATTTTTTCATGTGGAATTGTTGACTAACTGTTGATATTTAACTTGAAAAAGATAAAAGAGGGCTAGTTGTCTTCATATATGTAAAGTACTATCTTGTGGAAATTACTGAAGAACTTTATAGATGTCAGAGCTGTCCTGAGCTGGAATGCATTCAACAAATATTGATTGTATGCCTGCAGTGCTAGGCACTGGGGATACATGACAGGTAAGTCAGTCTCTGCCATCATGGAACTTGAGTTCTAGTATGACAGACAATCAGCAAATACACATAAATAAATGGGCAATATAACTTCAGACAGTGATGGGATGGGCTGCCATAGGAGACAATAATGCATGTGATGTTAGAACTATTTGAGCCTAGTTTTGATGATGACTTGGCAGAGCTCTAGGCATTGGACGTGTTACTAAATTAGATGACCTTTGGGGATCTTCAATTCCGAGATTTTATGACTTTGCCTTTCTACTATCGCCTACCAAATTAGGACTCCCTCTCATACACCCTAAGGCTTAGAAACGCCAAACTCCTTGCTAATCCAGGAACAAACCCTGCACTGAGGTTAGTGAGTCAATAGCGACTCAGTGTGAGTATTTGCCCATGTGGTTCCCTTGCCTGGAATGTCTTTCTCTCACTTCTCCGCCTCTCAAAATCCTACTTGTCCATAAAGGCTCAACTCCAAAATAAACTTTTTAATCAAGCCTCCTGTGTAACACCAACACATACTGCTTCACCCTCTGGGCCAGGTGGCACTTAGCTTGTAGCACTATTAAAGCATGTACTGTGTTTTACTTGTATTGGAATTCATTATTTCTTATTCTATTTCCCTACTAGCTTCTGATTTTCTTCGGGGCAGGGACCACATCTTTCTCTTTTTATAATCTCCCCTAGTGCAAGTCTTCTAGCACAGGGCTTTGCACCAAGAAGATATTCAACAAATAAATTAATGTCACACCAGGCAATAAGTTACTTATTATTTGGACTGAATTAGACATGACCACTGCTGAAGTGAGAAAGATAATAACCTATTGGTATAATTAAGAACTTTCTCTCCAAACTTCTGCTGTATCCCTCTCTACTTAACTAGGTGTGTGTGACCCCGGGGCAAGTTGCCTAACATCTTCATGCCTCAGTTCCTTCATTTGTACAATAGCAATCATATTGACTTCATAGTGCCTACTTATGAAGCACCTTTCTCATAAGGCTGTTTCAAGGATTAAGTGTAATAATCCATGTCAAGTGCCTAGGACAGTACCTACCACATAATTAGTCTTCACTAAATATTATTATTAATCTTAGGCTTTGCTGCCCTCCCATAGCTTTATGGTTTGAAAGTATGGCTTAAGGGTAAGAAAAATAAAACATTTTGAACAGAAATAACAAGAGAAGGCAAATGATTGACCTTATATTAGGTATATTTTCTTTCTTTCTTTCTTTCTTTTTTTTTTTGAGATGGAGTCTCACTGTCACCCAGGCTGGAGTGCAGTGGTGCGATCTCCGCTCACTGCAACCTCTGCCTTCTGGGTTCAAGCGATTCTCCTGCCTCAGCCTCCCGAGTAGCTGGGACCACAGGTGCTCGCCACCACGCCCAGCTAATTTTTTGTATTTTTAATAGAGATGGAGTTTCACCGTGTTAGCCAGGATGGTCTCAATCTCCTGACCTTGTGATCCGCCCACCTCCGCTTCCCGAAGTGCTGGGATTACAGGCGTGAGCCACCGCGCCTGGCAACATTAGGTACATTTTCTGTCATCCTATCAGGCAAAGATAATTTGAGACATAAAATTAAGAGGGAACCCTCTACTCGTATTGAATTTGAAAACAGTGTAACAGAAAGACTGAATATAGATAACACCAAGAGACCCTGCAGGGGATGGGAATTAGAGATGACCTTCCCTTGACAGATGAGAAAACAGGTGGTTCAGTGACTTGTCAAGGGTGAGAATGGGAAGCCTAACCTTAACCTGGCAGGCTCCTTAGCCACTACTCTCCCCACTGCATTCTGCTGTTTCCCAGTTGCATGGCTGAGGCCAGCACAGATTGAAGATGCTGTTACTCCAAAGCCTTATAGGCCCCAGACTTTTTTTATTGCTAGCACACTATAGGCAGCAAGCCTAACTTCAGACAGCTGGGGCTGAAGCTGATACTCTTCTGGCTTTAGGGAGAATTGACTCACAGGCTCAGGCAGGCTGGGGCCTGCAGGTAGAGGTTATTTGGGCTTTATCTGTGAAAGGCTCGGGACATAACAAAGGCAGATAACCTGAGGCCTGTCTGATGTGCATGTAACTCAGGAGAAGTAAGAGGACAGTGTACACTTCTGCATTTATGTGTCAGGAAGACAAATCCTGGAATGAATCCAGATGTGCCCCAAAATGCCAAAGCCAAGCAAAAAGGATTTTCAAGCTATGTTTGGGAGTAAGAAGCAGAAATTAGAAAGGGATAACCCTCACCCTCTTGCTTTTTGAGAAGTGTGTAATGTTTTTTGAGACAGTCTTGCTCTTGTCACCCAGGCTAGAGTGCAGTGGCACATCTCAGCTCACTGCAACCTCCACCTTCCCAGTTCAAGTGATTCTCCTGCCTCAGCCACCCGAGGAGCTGGGATTACAGGCGCCCACCATCATGGCCAGCTAATTTTTGTATTTTTAGTAGAGACGAGGTTTCACCATGTTGGCCAGGCTGGTCTTAAACTCCTGACCTCAGGTGATCCACCCGCCTCTGCCTCCAAAAGTGCTGGGATTACAGGCGTGAGCCACCGCGCCCGGCCGAGAAGTGTGTAATGTTAATAAAGAATTGAAACAATGCAGTTACTTTGATCTCTAGCAAGGGAATAGTGTTTAACTGGGGAGGTTAGAATAAATAGAAGAAATTGAAGCCCACCTGAGGGAGGAGATAGTAAAAGCACACATTGCTGCTTTTTCTGAGTTTTGGGCTTGAAAGAATTACATATCAAGGGATTGCCTAATCAGTATTTACGTTTAATACATTATGTTTATGTAGGGCTTTTCCTGTTACAAAAAGTTTGTCATTTCAATAATCAACTATTGCAATTCAATAAACATTCATTGAGCTTTGCTCATATACAAAGCACAGCCACTTTTCCCCACTCCAATTGGATGATATGACCTCTAAACCTGTCTTTTCTAAACATAAATCAAGCACACCCTGCTTCTCCTCCTGCGTTATGAAGGGCTCTTGATGCACCTATACCATGTGCCAGGAGAGTGAAGCTGTGGATGACGTGAAGCATCTCCCTGAGGAGTCAGTTACTGGAGAATTTAGGTGTGTACATTTATGGGAGGGGGAGAGGTGTGCACTTTTATATTAAAACCAACAGCTATTTTGTGGCATAGAGGACAAAGTCTGTTCCATCAGGCTGCTTTTAGGCTTCATTATGGGCAGATCCTGGTGCAATAGGATGGTTTTTTAGTGATAAAGTTTAAAAAGCACTAAATCTTAACCTGGACACTCAGACTAATGCAATAATTTGTAGGCAAATTAAAATGTCATTATCCTGGCAGGGTGGTGCACCTGTAATTCTGGCTACTAGGAAGGTTGAGGTGGGAGGATCGCTTGAGTCCAGGAATTCTGGGCTGTAGTGTGCTATGCTGATCCAGTGGCTGCACTAAATTCTGTATCAATATGGTAACCTCACGGAAGTGGGTGACCAGCAGGTTGCCTAAGTAGAGGCGAACCGACCCAGGTCAGAAAAGAAAGAGATCAAAACTCCCAAGCTCATCAGTAGTGAGATCACACCTGTGAATAGCCACTGCATGCCAGCCTGGGCAATATCACTGTCTCTAAAAACAAAACAAAACAAAAACAAAAACAAAAAGCTTTGCTAATTCATGCTCCACTTATTTGGAATTTGTAATAATCTGAATAAGTCCTATAGTCTGGTTACAGTCATAATGCAAAAATAATGATTAAATGCTTTATTTTTTCAGTTCTATGGTGATTTAAATACTAAAGAAAACATTTTAAAAACCTCAAACACATTATAAGCAGTAATTTATGTTCAAATATTTAATGCACAAATTTTAAGTATCCTTGTCTATTCACCAAAGCAGATGTGGAAAGTTGATTCGTCTCATTTGAATTACATTACATATTTGAATATTTATAAAACTTCCTTTGATTTATTTAACAATATTCTTGTAATCAGGGCTTTTCCTTCACTGCTTTCCTCTTCTTGCCATTCATGATAATCAGTGAGGTTTCGATCACCAATGACCCCCCATTTCCTACCACATAAACCTTCCAAAGGAGGCGTGGTTTCCTAGCTTCAAATTGGGCAAGTTGTAACAGCGTCATTGCATCGAGGTTCCCCAGCATGATTACCCTTGAAATGACCTCGTTAGCTTCAATCGTGAGGGGAAAACTTGGCAAACAATAATAATTCGATGGGCCATTTCCCATCAAAACCCTGACACATCTGGTAATCATTTCTTGTCCTGAATCATTTATTCAATTTAGGTTGAAAAAGATTGTCACAAATTTCGCTTCTGTGGTAAACAAAACAAAGCAAACAAACATTTGCACATTCATTCCCAGCTTTAGTGAATTCCCTACTATGAGGGTGGCAAATTCTATATAAAGTTCACTTGCTGAGAACGCTATGTGTTGTAAGCACATTGGAGTTTTTAATTCTCAACATTGCTTTATCTACCATTTATCCCATGCCATACTGTTTTCTGGGTACCAGTTCTACTCACCTCGCCCCATGGCTTAGGACCAGAGGAGCAAGTTGTGTGTGGAATGGAAAGCATGTCGTCTTAGCCACAGTGGAAGGACTGTGTGTGGCCTTGGGAATATTCACCTCACTTCTCTGGGCTTCAGTTTCCCCATCTTTGACATGTGAGAGTTGGATATGCACCATCTTTTTGATGACTGTCAGCTCCAAGAGTACCTGCTTCTACAGTGTGAAGCAAGGAGAGGTCAGATTGGAAAGATGATGGAGGCTGGGGCAGGTAGTTGCAGGAGAACTTTGAATGCAAGACTGAAGAGTTTAGATTTTCCATGATAGGCAGAGGTATCAATTTAGGTTCCTGAGGGGCAGGCGGAAGTGATGACAATGGTGTGAGAGTTAGATAAATCTGACAAGTGTGTAAGATGCACTAGAGTGGATTTAGGGATGTCACACATATACTGTAATAGCAAAGTCAAGGCAAACATCCCCTCATTAGTTTTACCACCCAGAAGGGAAAAGATTCCACTCCAGTCTTCTTGAAGAGATACTTAAATAAGAAATTGTAATCTAAGAGGAAAATACAGGGTAGAGAGCTTAACTTTTTTTGTCTACCAGTAGTCATCTCACCCACATCCTCTACACAAGTACGGGCCTTTAGAGTTTTCAAACAATTTTCACAGGTGCTGCCTCATTTCATCCCCCTCAAGAATCAAATATTTTCCAACAACAGAAACAGTCCTAATCCAGGGCCAAGAAGCAGCAGACCACAGACTCTTTTAGGCCACCTGGTCACATTAGCATTTCTTTATGGAATGGTTTACTGATGGCTACTTAGAGCAGGTACTCTTGGGGAGTGGCCATGAGTAATGAAGCATGGAAGTCCACTGCCTCTGGAGCCACATGAATGGCAAGTGGATCTCTGGCCTCCTAGACATCCCCATGAGTGTACATTGACTCAGTTATATACAACCTCTTGGGAAGTGAGAGTGCCTCCCACAGCCAAGTGCTTTACAGGGCAGCTATCTTCTCATTTGAAGGTAGACTAGGCATATGTCACATGAGAGCTCTCATAGGCAAAGAAATAGGTTGAAAATGACCTGACAATTCCACTTTATAGGTGTGGCTACCTTAAGTGCTTTGCCTTAACACTTAAGACTTAAACTGGCCGAGCGTGGTGGCTCACGCCTGTAATCCCAGCACTTTGAGAGGCCGAGGCGGGTGGATCATGAGGTCAGGAGTTCAAGATCAGCCCGACCAGTATGGTGAAACCCCGTCTCTACTAAAAATACAAAAATTAGCTGGGTGCGGTGGCACGTGCCTGTAGTCGCAGCTCCTCGGGAGGCTGAGGCAGGAGAATCACTTGAACCCAGGAAGCAGAGGTTGCGGTGAGCCGAGATTGCGCCACTGCACTCCAGCCTGTGCGACAGAGCGAGACTCTGTCTCAAAAAAAAAAAAAAAGACTTAAACTTCCTCCCCAAGGATTTGCCTAGACCAAGGTGGTTTCCAATTTTCCAGATCATTAAATAGCAAAATGCCCATTTCCTATTATTTTATTTTCAGGTAGCCTTCAGCAAGTTCCTCGTCAACAGTCTGTAAGGCCATGTCTAATATAGGCTACCTTCCCTCTTCTGGGTGATAGGAGGCTCTTTTGCCATCACAATGGAATTTGATTTTTTTTTTTTTTTTTGAGATGAAATTTCATTCTTGTTGCCCAGACTGGAGTGCAATGGCATGATCTCGGCTCACTGTAAGTTCTGTCTCCCAGGTTCAAGCGATTCTCCTGCCTCAGCCTCCTGAGTAGCTGTGGTTACAGGCATGAGCCACCACACTAGGCTAATTTTTGTATTTTTAGTAGAGACAGGGTTTCACCATGTAGACCAGGCTAGTCTCAAACCCCTGATCCACCCACCTCAGCCTCCCAAACTGCTGGGATTACAGGCATGAGCCACCGCGTCCAGCCTTGATTTTTATTTTTTTTGGCAAATCATCATTTGGCTGTCACATAGTATGTATCCTCTTCCTAAAGCAACACAATCCTAGTTTTGGCAGGGAATAAGTTGTTTTTTAAGGGAGCATGATGAAGCTTCTTTCATAAGTAATCATTTGGATGCCAATAGACTATAGCCTCAACACTAAAGTTCAAGGTAAGGGTCCAGTCTCTCTTTTAAATGGGAACCTGGCAGAAGCACTGAGGTTTGTCCCCAGATTCACTGGGTCTTTGGGCACTTTCCAGAGGGGAAAAAATGTATTAGATTGCTTGTAAGGCTTTAGCCAGTCTCTAAAATTTGCAACTTTTGACTCATTCCCTTTGGAGATAAGTTTTGCTGTATCTTTGACAAAATCCTATAGATTACCATTAACCCTGCAGATGTACAAAATATCAGCATGGATTATTTCAATTTGGTTTGTCTTGCTCTGTGGCCCAGGGTGGAGTACAGTGGCATGATCTTGGCTCACTGCAACCTCCGCCTCCGGGGTTCAAGCAATTCTCCTGCCTCCTGAGTAGCTGAGACTACAGGCATGTACCACTGCACCTGGCTAATTTTTCTATTTTTTAGTAAAGGCAGGGTTTTACTATGTTGGCCAGGCTGGTCTCGAACTCCTGACCTCAAGTGATCTGCTGGCCTTGGCCTCCCAAAGTGCTAGGATTACAGGCATGAGCCACCACTGGCTTGTACTTTCTCTGTGAGGAAGATTCCAAACTACTGCTTAATGTTCCATTCTATTAGCAAGTAATGCAAATCTTAATTTAGATAGAAGACAGCCACTTCTTGGCTTCCAGAGTGATTGTCATACTGGCCTCAAGTTACTCCTTCAAGACATTATGGGGAAGGGGGTCAGGACAATTTCTGTTTTGTGTTCAAGAGAAATATTTAGTATCCCCATACCTTCTGAGTGTACTGTTACCTACCTCTAATTCCTGATTTCCTTAGCTTAAGTATTCTATCTATTCAAAGTTGCCCTGCAATGTGACTTTACCTTCATAATTCTGACTCTATATAGTTGTAGAGGCCTCTAAAGTCTTAATAATGAATCTAATATTCTTTGCAGTCTTTTAAAAAATTGATATAATGGTCTACTGTCTCCCTTCTTTGACCTTTCTACTATTTCCACAACTTCACAGTCCTTAAAAGTGAGAGAGTCAAAGTCTACATTCTGTTATCTAATTCCACTTTGTTTCTCATCTGCCTTGTCCATCCTTATAAAGTTAGTGATCAATCCCATGTGAGATTGTTCTCTTGATACATAGCTCCAGATTTCCTTCTTGGCACTGGTCTGCACCCTCTCCTGCTTTGGGGATGGAACATAAATATCCTACTGGAATCTGTTAACAAAGTAGGCCTATAGTGGCCTGGGGTAGCAGTAGTTTTCATTTGTCCAGTGTGCTGTTGCAGCCCTTCATCTTAAAAAATTTTTTTTGTAATGGAACTTCTCTTTCTTGTGGGGACAGTTTCTTCAAGGGTGGGTATATGGGATGGATCTGGCCAGTAGAGTATTCCATTCCTCACTTCAGCTATGCCCTGAACTCTTATGTATGTACACATGCCCTCATTTTCTTGGTATTCATCATATGTTGCCTTGGGCCAGTAATAATTCATCCATCCATTCACTCAACAAATATTTGTTGAGGACCTTCAAAATACCTAGCCTATATCTTTTTTCTTCCAAAACAGATTCAAAATTCTTCAGGACACTGATAATGTCTTGTTTCTTTTTAAAAAATTCACTCTCGGGCCTGGCGTGGTGGCTCACGCCTGTAATCCCAGCACTTTGGGAGGCTCAGGTGGGTGGATCACCAGAGATTGGGAGTTTGAGACCAGTCCGACCAACATGGAGAAGCCCCGTCTCTACTAAAAATACAAAATTAGCCGGGCATGGTGGCACACACCTGTAATCCCAGCTACTCAGGAGGCTGAGGCAGGAGAATCACTTGAACCCGGGAGGCGGAGGTTGCGGTGAGCCAAGATCATGCCATTGCACTCCAGCCTGGGCAACAAGAGCAAAACTCCATCTCAATAAATAAATACATAAATACATAAATACATAAATTCACTCTCATTGAGTACAATACTTTGCACATAATAGGTATTTAGTAAGTGCTCACTAATTAAATTCCAACTGCAATCATACTTCTAATCTGGTAGGACCCTATATATACATCTTTCCTTTTAAAAAATCTTGTATCCATATATTAAATGCTATGAACATTGTTCTGTATTCCAAGAGTATCAGTGTCCAAGGCATCTATTTATTTTAATGCAATTATTAAACAACAATTGCTATAACATATAAAGGAGTAAACAGTTAAATGAGAAAAAGAAGGACCATGGGAAAAAATCACATTATAAATTACTCTCATTTTATGTGACTTCTCTTGCCTGCTCAGAGCATACCTTCATGCCTTTTCTTTAATATTATCCCAAGAACATAGTGGAATGTCATGTACCTGTGGCTGCTCAATACTTTTTCATCAATGTGGTAAAGTTGAGCTAGAAAAGGTATAGTTTTCTGTGCTTCCATTTTTTTTATTTTTTTATTTTTTAGAGAGGTCTCTCTGTGTCACCCAGGCTGGAGTGCAGTGGCCCAATCACAGCTCACTGCAGCCTTGACCTCCTAGGCTCAAGTGATCCTCCTGCCTCAGTCTCTGAAGTAGTTGGGGTTACAGGTGTCCATCATCACACTTGGCTATTTTTTTTGAGAGAGAGGGTCTCACTATGTTGCCCAGGCTGGTCTCGAACTCTTTTTCTCAAGTGATCTGCCTACCTTGGCCTCCTAAAGTGCTGGAATTACAGGAGTGAGCCACTGTACCCAGCTGTTGCCTCCATTTTTTAACCTGTAAAATGGGAGAAGTATTACCTGTTTTGCCCACCTTATAGGTTTTGATGCACAACTACTACTATAATGTTCATTATAAACTATTAAGCTCTGTATAAAAAGTAGAACCCGAGTTTCCGCTTAGGCAAATGTATTAGTCCATTTTAACGCTGCTGATAAAGACATACCTTAGACTGGGAAGAAAAAGAGATTTAATTGGACTTACAGTTCTACATGGCTGGGGAGGCCTCAGAATCATGGCAGGAGGTGAAAGGCACTTCTTACATGGTGGCAGCAAGAGAAAATGAGGAAGAAGCAAATGTGGAAACCCCAGATAAACCCATCAGATCTTGTGAGACTTACTCACTACCAGAATAGCAAGGGAAAGACTGGCCCCCCATGATTCAATTACATCCCACCGAGTCCCTCCCATGACAGATGGGAATTATGGGAGCTACAATTCAAGATGAGATTTGGGTGGGACACAGCCAAACCTCACTTGATGCAAGTTTGGCTGTGTCCCCATCCAAATCACTTGCTGATATGGTTTGGCCGTGTCCCCACCCACATCTCAACTCGAATTGTAGCTCCCAGAATTCCCACATGTAGTGGGAGGGACCTGGGGGGAGGTAATTGAATCATGGGGGCAGGTTTTTCCCATGCTGTTCTTGTGATAGTGAATAAGTCTCATGAGATGTGATGGTTTTATAAAGAGGAGTTCCCTTGCACATGCCCTCTTGCCTGCAGCCATGTAAGATGTCCTCTTCCTTTGCCCTCCACAGTGATTGTGAGGCCTCCCCAGCCATGTGGAACTGTGAGTCCATTAAACCTTTTTCCTTTACAAATTACCCAGTCTCGAGTATATCGTTATTAGCAGCATGAAAAGGAACTACTACAGCAAGGTTCAGGTTCTTAAAATAGCATTTTAAGTGGAAATTACATACTTTCAAAATTACCCTTTACAAGACCTTAAATATCAATAAATTTAGTCAGGCCAGTTTTTCCTCCAGTATTGGAATGTATCACTCTTTCTTTGGTTGAGCACCAGATGAAGAATTGTATTTGACTTGCATATATGGGTTGTGTTGTTAAAAAAAAAAAAGCCCTGAACTGTTTTTAAAAACTACCAATACTTTCATTTTCGTGAAATGGTAACACAAATAAGAACCTTGCGGAAATGGGGACCACCAAGTGAGGAAACAGCAGATGGACCTCCCATTCTCATATTCTATATGAGCTATTGATTACATTAACTCTATATGAGCTATCTGATTACATTAATAATGAACTAATTAGGAATAGTTTCGCAATCCGTATTTCATTGGCTCCTGTCTTTGCTTGCTGATGCCGAACTTCAGCTCCTTGCAAAATCCTCTGCCCATAATTTCTAAGAGCCCCTACACAGTGTTTTACATGGGCTCAAGAATAAGGCATATCTGCGGCCACGTGGATATCTGCTGCTGAGTTTTCTTGAACACTTCTAGTACTCATCAGTGAGCCAGCCCCATTAAGCCAGGTCATTACCATGTGCTGCTGGACATCTTCATGACCTCCGTTGTGGCCCTCAAAGAATCAAAATGCTTGTTTCCTGGAATCTCCAATACTGCAAAATCGTGCCATCATTTTCTGCACAAGTGGCAACAAGCTGTAACCCCTCATCTTTTGATTATGTTGTGTGATGTAGTAATGATTTTAGTGCACTCCTATTTCTGCTCTTGGTACTTTCCTAGTGGACTCCACGAGGCTGTATTGGAATATGAATCTTCAAGATAGGTAAGGTGTCATTCCCTCAATCCAAGGATTAACAGCTGGCATGGCATGGGCACTGACCAACTGGAACACTGGCTGGTGCACTGTAGCTGTGCAAATTGACTGAAAAGCAGTCTGGCCAACCCCCACCTCTCTGTCATCCACACTTCTTGGCAGTCTTTCCACCAAAACCCTTATGTAAATCACCTCTTGGCAGCCTGAAACTACCAATTTGCCAGATATGCCATGACATGTTTGAAGCCTGGTGGTGAACGGAGACTTGCCCCAAGCTGTGATTCTATTTGAATGCATCTAATTAAGAAATTTTGATACTCAAATTATATTGTAGAACCGATAATAGGAAAAAAATTAATGTAAGAAAAAATTCAGAAAACTAAAAAATTAATAAAACAACTTTTTTGGGGGGAGTATTTTCTCAGAGTGCTTGTCCATATGCAGATATTTTATAAAGTTGTAATTTTGATGGTTATAATTGTTTCGCTTTTTCAATTACAATCACACTACTCATTTTGCCAACATTTACTGAGTTCCCACGATGTGCACAGCATTGACTGAGATCAAGAGAAATGCCTTACACCTCCATGTAATTCTATTTATACTGGAAGAAAGTTAGATAATGAAGGCAAAGCATGTGCGTGTCCTCATTTGGCAACTCCCTGTTGATGAATTCTTTTTTTCCCACTAGATGGTTTCTCTGGTGCTTAGAAGTACTTCACTTTAACTCCTCTCATGCCAGATTAAAAGCTTAACCTCCATAGGATAGTTTGCTTCCTCAGAGTTCCAGCTGATATGGCTGTGTAAGATATTTGTTTTTAATTCTAAAAGGGTCCAAGAGCCTTTGGCCTTGGAAATATTTTTAAAATGCAGTTGAATAAACCAGTTAGGTTTTAAAGCATATACAGCAGTTTTCTCAATTTGTTGCAAGCAAATGTTTCCCACCATATGTGGCACAGACCTGGGCACACAGTAGACAACAAGCACTTCCTGGTGGAATTAGGATATTCGTGTCTTTTCATGTGTTGTCCAACACAGGCCAGCAAAATTTATGAAATTCTATATAATCATATTTAAAGTCCTTAAGGATAAAAAGTACAATTGGAACACTTTTGATAAGAAGACTAAAAATGAAAACTGTATTCAAATTGTCAAGAAGTGGTTAGAGAAAGTAGAAGTGTACTCAACTGTCTCGGACATGTTGAGTCCTCAAAAAAAAAAAAAAAAAAAAAAAAAAGAAAAAAAACCAGACTGGGTATAGTGGCTCACACCTGTAATCCCAGCACTCTGGGGGCCAAGGTGGGAGGATTGCTTGAGGCCAGGAGTTCAAGACCAGTCTGGACAACGTAGGAAGACCTCTGCCTTTACAAAAATAAAAAAATTAGCTAGGTCAGTTGTGTGCCTGTAAGTCCCAGCTACTTGGGAGGCTAAGGCGGGAGGATTGCTTTATCCCTGGAGGTAGGCTGCAGTGAGCCATGATCACACATCTGCACTCCAGCCTGGGTGACAGAGCAACAAATTATCTAAACAATAACAACAACAATAAAAACAAACAAACAGAAAAGAAAAAACAATCAGAGTTGATATTTTCCTAAGACTCCTAACTGGTCCTAAGAGTAGCAAGATTTAGTTAGGGGAATAATGGTTATTTTTCCTAAATTACTACTTTTATCTTCAAGTACTGAACACTACTAGTGCATACACAATATACATTGTAAAAATAAAGAACAACAGCACCAGCCTGGACAACATGGCAAGACCCTGTCTCTACAAAGTAATTAAAATAGCTGGGTGTGGTGGCATGCACTTGTAGCCCCAGCTACTGCGGGGGAAGGGGGCAGTGGCAGGGCATGGCTGAGGCAGGAGGGTTGACCTGAGCCCAGGAGTTTGAGGTTGCAGTGAGCTATGATCACACCACTGCACTCCAGCCTGGGCAGCAGAGCGAGACCCCATCTCTAAAAATAAAAATAAAAAAATAAGACAGCAGAGATAGTAAAACATCTTAAAACTGAGCTATAAACTCTCATAAGGATCCTTTCTGGTTTCATATCTGGCACTTCATACTACTGTCTGATCTAGATGTTACAGAGAAACACATTCCTTGAGGCTTTGTACATTCCTTCCCATTTTCTTTCAAGATTCCATCCTACAGGGCACAGGAATGAAGCATCCTGATACAATTCAAATAAAGTTTTGGCCTGATTAAGGGAGACCAGTCCTCTCTGCATTCTGAAATTCCTTTTTGGATGATCCATAGGAGGTCTTACTTTTTTTTCACTTCCCTGCACCCCTGGCCAAGGATATTCAATATCCAAGAAACCAAATACCAATTTTCTTGTAGCTTTCACATTTCCCATCAACATGACATAGATTAAAGACCAAAAGACTTCTGTTCCATTCTGAGAGATGTGAGTCCCATTTCCATGTGAAGGAAATCTGACCGTTCCCGATTTACAGCTACTGAGGGCCTAAAATATTTGTTCTGAGAATTTCTCAGGCCTATATTTATTACATTTTAATGCACATAAAACAAAGCTGAATTCCTAGAATTTGCTGTAAAGAAGTATACTTCAAGTATTCAATCAACACATACTGTTTTCAATTCATTTATTCAATGTGAAAATATTTACACTCTTGTATAAAAAAGCTCTTTTCAAAAAATGTGAATGGAAATGAGGTAAAATAAATAAAATTGAAGTAGTTCAAAATAATCTAATCGGTAATAATATAGTAAACCACATGATTATACCCTTAGAAGTAAACATGTGACAAGCATGAAAAACTAAAAGGATTTGTTAGAGGCATGTGAACCAGAGCAACTCCATCTTAAACAGGAGCCGGGCAAAATGAGGGTGAAATCTATTGGGCTGCATTCCCAGATGGTCAGTTAAGGCATTCTAAGTCACAGGATGAGATAGGAGGTCAGCACAAAATACAGGTCTTAAAGACCTTGCTGATAAAACAGGTTGCAGTAAAGGAGCTGGCCAAAACCCACCAAAACCAAAATGGCGACGAGAGTGACCTCTGGTCGTCCTCACTGCTACACTCCCACCAGTGCCATGACAGTTTACAAATGTGCCATGACAGTTTAGACCCTATGTGGTCCAAAAAGGGGAGGCATGATTAATCCACTCCTTGGTTAGCATATCATCAAGAAACGACCATAAAGAATGGGCAACCAGGCCAGGTGCGGTGGCTTATGCCTGTAATCCCAGTACTTTGGGAGGCCAAGGCGGGCAGATCAACTGAGGTCGGAAGTTCAAGACCAACCTGACCAACATGGAGAAACCCTCACTCTACTAAAAACACAAAATTAGCCGGGCGTGGTGGCGCATGCCTGTAATCTCAGCTACTCGGGAGGCTGAGGCAGAATTGCTTGAACCTGGGAGGTGGAGGTTGTGGTGAGCCGAGATCACGCCATTGCACTCCAGCCTGGGCAACAAGAACGAAAACTCCATCTCAAAGGAAAAAAAAAAAAGGGCAACCAGCAGCCCTCAGGGCTGCTCTATGTAGTAGCCATTCTGTTATTCCTTCATTTTCTTAATACTTGCTTTGACTTTTGCACTGTGGGGTCACCCTGAATTCTTTCTTGTGTGAGATCCAAGAACCCTCTCCTGGGGTCTGGATCATGACCCGTTTCCTGTAACAGATTCAAGTGTTTTTCTTTTATTTTCTATAGTATACTCCTTTAAGATGTCAAAATCAGAGTATTTATATAATTTGCCAAAGGCTTGATATGCAACTTTTCATACAACCAGTCTATTTCACAGTGACAGTGTTTCAAACACTCTCCCTCTTCTTTTTGGGTAGTCATTCATTAATTTCCCATTTGGGCACACCTCACTGGTTATAAGACACATAACCAACTATGCCACATCTTGTTACTCTGGGCATATTTTCAGCAACAGGAAAAACCACAGTGTATGTTACTTCAGAGGCTTTCCTATAATGGTAATGTCTTACATCTGCTAAAGTACCTCTCCACTGTCTACAGGACAAAGCCCAGTTTTTTTTTTTTTTTTTTCCTGTAACAAAGCTCCCTCAAACCTACCTTTTCAACCTTATCTTCCATTAGTCTTCTCTATCAGCTTTTTGTTCCAGCCAAACTGGTTTTCCCAAAGTCAGAAGAACAGAGTCACACTGTCCTTAATTGCTGTTACAGCTCCACCCACATGCAGGTTTACTAAAGAGAGGTTTTATCTGATGGGTTGAAATTGAAGTGATGGAAAGTAATTTACCTCCCCTCTTCTTTCTTCATCTTCAAATCCTACTACTCCTCCTTTAAGATCACTTTAGATTGAAGTGTCCTCCACTCACCTATTATAAATAGGAATGCATGGGCAATTTATTTTAAACTTTGTAGTAACAACCATATTAACAAATTATAGGCCAGGCATGGTGACTCACGCCAGTAATCCTAGCGTTTTGAGAAGCCATGGCACGCAGATTTTGAGCCCAGGAGTTTGAGACCAGTCTGGGCAACATGGCGAAACCCCATTTATACAAAAAATACAAAAATTAGCTGGGTGTGGTGGTGCACCCTTGTAGTCCTAGCTACTTGGGGGGCTGAGGCAGCAGGATCCCTTGAACCTGGGAGGTTGAGGCCGCAGCACTCCAGCCTGGAGGACAAAGTGAGACCCTGTCTCAAAAAAATAAATAAAAACCAAATTATGTTCTGTCTCATAACTTTTATCAATTCAAAATGTGATTTTTATAATTTATTTAACTTTTCATGTAGTTGCTTCCCTAGAGGGTAAACTCCCAAAGGACACTGATCCTCTCATCCACCTTATATCAGATGCCTAGCAGGTGTCTCAAATATAATACTTACTCACTATTGTCTAGTTTTACTATTTTAACTTATATGACAAAGGATTATCATAAAAATTTTCGTTGGAAAGCTTTGCTGAGAAATGTGAATTTTTTTTAAGAATTCCATTGTAATTAGAGGCTTCTGAGGGACATGTGAATCATAGTGAAGAAATAATATAAATGTTATTTTTTGGGCCAATTCCCCTTAAAATCAAACACAGAGGTGGGGTACAGTGGCTTACACCTGTAATCCCAGCTACTTAGGAGGCTGAGGTGGGAGGACTGCTTGAGCCCAGAAGTTCAAGGCCATAGTGAGCTATGACTGTGCTACTGCACTCCATCCTGGATAACAGTGAGATTAAAAGATAAATAAAAGTAAAAAAATAGAAATTTATTATAAAAATACTAAGCAAAGACATTTAAATATTTTCATTTATATTTAAATATGTTATTGACGAGTTATTCTAATTTGTCTTCCTTTCCAATCTTGATCCAAATGTACTTATATTTTACAGATTGGAAATATGGTAGATATACAACCTGAAGTTCTATATTTTTCAATTAGTATTGTTTCCTAAACATATTTCTGAGTTACTTTTGGTGGTTGTATTTATTTTTACTGGCTGCCTAATATGGAGTTAATACAGCATAGTTTACTTTACTCCTCTATTATCCTGTGATATTTTCCTTTATTTTCTCTTGGCCCACATCTTAGACATTACATAATTTCAAACTATCTCAAGGTCTCCAAATACCTTGTTAAACATTTCAGCCATTGCATAACCTTTTCTCTTTGCCTGGAATGTTCTTTCCTTCCTTATCCATCTGTACAACTGTACAACTATTCTTTGTCTAAACTAGTGGTTCATAAACTTTTTTTTTTTTTTTTTTTTTGAGACGGAGTTTTGCTCTTGTTGCCTTGGCTGGAGTGCAATGGTGCGATCTCAGCTCACTGCAACCTCCACCTCCTGGGTTCAAGCAATTATCCTGCCTCAGCCTCCCAAGTAACTGGTATTATAGACGCCCGCCACCACGCCCAGCTAAGTTTTAAAGTTTTAGTAGAGACGGGGTTTCACCATGATGACCAGGCTAGTCTTGAACTCCTAACCTCAGGCGATCCACCTGCCTCGGCCTCCCAAATTGCTGGGATTACAGTCATAAGCCACCACTCCTGGCTTGTCCATAAACTCTTGATCTTGAGCTAACATGATATGCACATTATAAGATACACACAGAAATAAAAAAAGGATTAAAGGTGCACTATTTTAAAGATAAATTTCAACCGGCCCGGTGTGGTGGCTTACGCCTGTAATCCTGACACTCTGTGAGGCTGAGGCAGGCAGATCACCTGAGGTCGGGAGTTCGAGACCAGCCTGACCAACATGAAGAAACCCCGTCTCTACTAAAAATACAAAAGTAGCTGGCATGGTGGCACATGCCTGTGATCCCAACTACTTGGGAGGCTGAGGCAGGAGAATCACTTGAATCGGGGAGGCGGAGGTTGCGGTGAGCCGAGATCGCGCCACTGCACTCCAGCCTGGGCAACAAGAGTGAAACTCCGTCTCAAAAATAAATAAATAAATAAAGATACATTTCAATTATTTAAGGTCCCAAACCATTTTGTTTTCACCCTCCTACTGCTATCGGGCCCCTAACAATTATTAACACTTTTTCCAATGCCTCATTGGCCAAGGGATGTTTTTAGGTTGGCCTGCAGGGTTTGAAAATTTGGTTACCAACATTTAAAAATGCAGAGATTTCACACAAAAATCCAATTTTGGGGTTTCTTTTGGGAGGAAAAAAATTGAACATCTGAGAACACTGGACCCACATTCCTGAGGGCAACAATCTGCTAGAGTTGAGCAGCTGTTCCTTTTAGTTATGGCATGGATATTCCAATTTGCCATTTTCCCTATCATTCCCCATTGTCTTACACAAGGCCAGTCTCACTCATTTGCTTTACTTGTCTGGCCTCTGTAGCCATTTGAATCTGCAAACACTATCTAGACCTTTCCTGTCTTCCATCAAAGCTTACTTTGTTCTGTCCCAAGTCCTTCATCAGTGTTTCAAAGCAAGAGCCAGGTAATCTGATCAAATATAGGTCCTTTAACATGTGCTTTCTGGAGACAGCATCTTAACAGAAAGAGATGACTCTGCAGGTAGAAATTACAGGCACCACTGGATTACAATCAGGATGGCAACTGTCTGTTCTACTTTCTCTGTTATCTTGACGTAGCCATACCTCACTGTTCTAAAGCAGACCAAAGGAACTGGTTCTATGGTAGAACAATGGACGCTGGTCTTATGTATGAAATCTTCTCAAGCTGCACTTTTATAGATCACCCTAGTTCCAAAAGATCCAAAGCTACCACGGGCTCCTCTGACCCCCCCATTTCCTCGGAGGCTTCAGGATATCCGGCCTGACGGCATTTCCCCTCACCTGCTTTCGGGGCCCGTTTTGCGCTGGGCAGTTGCGCCCAAGGAGCGCGCGCATCCAGCATGAGCTCATTTCTCATGGGCGTTTCCAGAGGCCCGGCCGGGCCGCGCACACCAAGCGCAGCAAGCCTCTGTATCAATGGCCCCCGCGGCTGGGCGGGGCGCGGCCGCCCAAAGGCGCTGCCTTTCTGGAAGCTTTGTTCCCATTTTAGCGTCTGAGAGCTTGCAGCCGGCTGGGAAGGCCCCCTTGGTCCGTCTGGCCCTTTCGGGGAAGAGGCCAACACTCGGCACACGCGATCCACGGCAGAGGGGAGCCTTGGGCGCGCAGAATTGGCTGCGCCCCGCCGAGAGCCTCCTGTGGGTGGGGAGAGCCCCTCCACCCCTCTGCTCGCTTGAGCGCTCAGAGCCCAGGGCCGCCGACCGCAGCACTTTCCGATTTGCTGCACCGAGGGCCCGCGGTCCCTGTGTGCGGTTTCCACCGTTGTTGGAGGCGGCCGCAGGCGAACCGTCGGGTCGTCAGCCACGACCCGAGTCAGGCATCTCCCCGCTCCTGGGACCGGGGCCGAAGGCCAATCACACTGCAGCTAGGTCTTGCGATTGGACGGCAGTGAGAGCCGATTGGCCGCCGCCGCGAGTTTCGGGCTCCCTCCCTCTCCCTTTTGCCCCAACTCCAGCGCCTAAGCTTCAGGCCAATGAGACAGCGCTTTATAGACGCCCTCCCTTCGCTTTCTTCTCCCCACCTTGGAGAGGGAGGGGAAGTCCTGACTGGCCAGACTGTCCTCGGAAGCCCCCTTCTCTTCACCAATCACCGAAGGAGGTACGCTCCCAGCGGAGTTTTCCAGCCAATCACAAAGCGGCGGCGGCGCCCAGCCGTGCAGTTTCACCAGCGTCTCTGGGTTTCACCGTCCTCAACTCTTCAAGCCTCTTCGTAAGGGCCGGCGACTCTGATTGGCCACTGTTGCCATTGTCGAATGTCTCCTCCAGCCAGCCACCGAACAAGGCGAATTCACCCTTTCCGTTCGGCTACCTTCGGCATTTTCCGCTCTTTGGGCGTGGCTTCCC
Source organism: Homo sapiens (assembly GCF_000001405.40). Taxonomy (NCBI): domain Eukaryota; kingdom Metazoa; phylum Chordata; class Mammalia; order Primates; family Hominidae; genus Homo; species Homo sapiens. The sequence goes on along the minus strand of NC_000003.12, from coordinate 120,094,720 downwards.
AGCGTCACTTTCTAATTGGTTTCTCAGGCTGATCGGCTTTTTCCGGGAGGAGCCGCAAACAAACGACGTCCGTGATTGGCTCCGTTCGGGCTTCGGCTCCCAGCCGAAGCGGGCGAGCGTGGGGCTCGGCCGGCGATTCCCAGACGCCTGTTACGCGGGCGGCGGGGCGCTGGGCGGTGTAAGGCTGGGTGGGGGAGGAAGGAGGTGGAGGACGAGTAGGAGGGGGGAGGAGGAGTGGGGAAGTGCAAGGCGGCTGCGCAGACAGCGCTCCTCACACAGAGCAGCTCCTGACCCGGGCGAATGCGGGCTTGTGCCGCCGCCGCCGCCGCCGCCGCCCGGGCCAAGTGACAAAGGAAGGAAGGAAGCGAGGAGGAGCCGGCCCCGCAGCCGCTGACAGGGCTCTGGGCTGGGGCAAAGCGCGGACACTTCCTGAGCGGGCACCGAGCAGAGCCGAGGGGCGGGAGGGCGGCCGAGCTGTTGCCGCGGACGGGGGAGGGGGCCCCGAGGGACGGAAGCGGTTGCCGGGTTCCCATGTCCCCGGCGAATGGGGAACAGTCGAGGAGCCGCTGCCTGGGGTCTGAAGGGAGCTGCCTCCGCCACCGCCATGGCCGCTGGATCCAGCCGCCGCCTGCAGCTGCTCCTGGCGCAATGAGGAGAGGAGCCGCCGCCACCGCCACCGCCCGCCTCTGACTGACTCGCGACTCCGCCGCCCTCTAGTTCGCCGGGCCCCTGCCGTCAGCCCGCCGGATCCCGCGGCTTGCCGGAGCTGCAGCGTTTCCCGTCGCATCTCCGAGCCACCCCCTCCCTCCCTCTCCCTCCCTCCTACCCATCCCCCTTTCTCTTCAAGCGTGAGACTCGTGATCCTTCCGCCGCTTCCCTTCTTCATTGACTCGGAAAAAAAATCCCCGAGGAAAATATAATATTCGAAGTACTCATTTTCAATCAAGTATTTGCCCCCGTTTCACGTGATACATATTTTTTTAGGATTTGCCCTCTCTTTTCTCTCCTCCCAGGAAAGGGAGGGGAAAGAATTGTATTTTTTCCCAAGTCCTAAATCATCTATATGTTAAATATCCGTGCCGATCTGTCTTGAAGGAGAAATATATCGCTTGTTTTGTTTTTTATAGTATACAAAAGGAGTGAAAAGCCAAGAGGACGAAGTCTTTTTCTTTTTCTTCTGTGGGAGAACTTAATGCTGCATTTATCGTTAACCTAACACCCCAACATAAAGACAAAAGGAAGAAAAGGAGGAAGGAAGGAAAAGGTGATTCGCGAAGAGAGTGATCATGTCAGGGCGGCCCAGAACCACCTCCTTTGCGGAGAGCTGCAAGCCGGTGCAGCAGCCTTCAGCTTTTGGCAGCATGAAAGTTAGCAGTGAGTATTGGTTTTATTTTACACCCCTTTTCCACCTCGCCCTTAAAATAAGAAACCTCGAAATACCAGGATCTGAAATTATTAGACCTCCTGATAAACAGGCAATGGAAAAGGGCAAAACCTATCTTCAGTCAAGGATGAAGCAGCTCCCTTTTTACTCCTCCCATACCCCCTCCCCCGGTCTCATTAACCTTGAATTGAGATAATATGATATTTATTTGGATGATTCGATTTCAAACTGCTTTCTTGTACTTTTCTTGCTGTTGGTAGTCAGTTTCATCAAGTGCTCGAGTGTTTCCACGTTAAAGTAGTGATGACAGTGTTTACTTGCCCATCCTTTAGAATAAAGAGAAGGACAAGATTTGATTACTAAACCATTATGCACATTTGCAGAATTTTTGGAATTTGGAATGAGAGAATATTTTAGGTCTCAGGGGTTATCATAGTTTGATATACTTAATAGAGACGTTAAATGTCCCACCCTCCCAACATTTTTTTCTTGTTTGTATGACTACACATAATATTTGTTCTTAATCTGTGGATGAACTTCCTCAGTAACCATTCACATTTGGAGGCTGCCATTGATTTCTCTCTTTAGAAGGGACTAGTGGGAGCCAATAAATACCTAGCAGCAGTAACATCTCTGTATGCATTTGTGTTCAATTGGATAAGTGGTTTGATGTGTTATCTCTTAACCTTCCTGTTTTGACATTACCAACCTGCCACCGTATAATTTATGTTTAATCAAAAGTTAACTTGGAAGTATTAATAGGTCCAAGTTTTGATTGAGATTTGTTTTGTCATAGTGCCAAATACTAAGTTAAATGTTGTCACTGGCTCATTACATTTAAGTTCAATTTTGGAGTGCTACTGCATTCATTACCTGTTAAATGTTCTGGCGGGTTCCTTAAAAAGGACGATTTAAAACACTCTAGCGTTAGTTTCCATCATATTTAGATAACTGTGGATTTAGTTAGAAGAATGTGGATTTAGTCCTTTCCATTTTGGCTTTTGCAGATGGCTATGGTCCTAGAAATAATAGGGATATTTGGGCTGTGTTCAGGGTTGTGGATAGACTACTCTTGTCCTGGGTTTGTGCTGAAAAGTATGCTCTTGAAGTGTTTAATATATACTAAGTATCTAATGTTCCAGTGTATCTCTATTTATGGAGAAGTTCATGTGGTATTTAATGATAGCTTGTTTAAACATACTTGCAGAATTTAACAAAAATATCTATATTGTTTCCTTATTGTGGGAAAGAGGGGCATCATGAGGGCAAAGACAAATTAATTTGTTGCCTAGAAGAACTGAGAGAACTAAAGAACTGAGATTTTAAGAACCCACACACACGCAAAACATGATGTTATGTGAAATTGATTATATTCTTAGGCAACATAAAATGATCACTTTTAGTTGAACTCAAGATTTCAATTCATGTTGGCTTTGGGAACTAGCCTGAAACAGGGTAGTCTAGGTAATAGCTGAATGGGAGATAATTTTTGAAAGTTAATTTTTTTTTTTTCTTGTGGCTTGCAAGTAGAGAATGCCCGGGTAGGTAAAGAGGAAAGCTGATTATGCATCTTTCAGGGAAGGGTCGTGCTTTCTAAGCACTTCATGGAGTGATTTGAAAAATATTTTAAAATTCCGGGGTAATTTTCAGCTATGATGATACAAATCTTATAATAGCTACTTAAGAGCCTCTTGTGGTACTGGAGTGTTTGTATGTTTTACATCTTGGTAATATAGTTTGAAAATCAGTCAGTCTATTTCAGCTAATTGATTTATTAGCTTTATTTCAGAGATCTGTAATGCTAGATTATAATGCTACATTTTGGGACTTTTCATTTTCTTTTCAGGATTTTCTTTGAAAATGACTCTTGAATTCTTGGTAATACAGATACTAACTAAGGATGGAGTAACTCTTGTAAAATATATAGATGAAAATGTTTAATTCCGATTACCATATAGGTCAATTTAGAATTTTAAAAGTTGGAGTTTAGTGTTAATTATGTGTTTTTGACAGCTTTGACTTTAAAAGCATTTAAAAGAAAGGGGAGTCTTTAAGCATTTGTTAGGATGCTAGCATTCTAAGGAACCCCTGTTGAAAACAGACATAAGAAATTGTAGTCCTTGCTCTCAAAAGCTTATCCTTTAGTTGTAGAGGGAGGCTATGGGGAAAAAAAAATTAAAACAATAGCGTGATGACTGCAAGATTGTAAAATACAAATTGAATCATTTGTTCAGAGTGGCAAAGAGTAAAGGGGTGAGACTGATGGTTGGGAGAGGAAAGACTTCCTGCGGACAAGGTGTATTAGGACTGATGTTAAAGGAGGTGGTAACTTGAACTGGTAGAAAAGCATGAAAGGTCTAGGTGGAAGGAGTGTACCAAGGAACAATGATGGTGAGTTTTGCATGAGAGACAATAATCAAGTTGACAAATCTGAATTAAAGGGGCCTAAATAAGAACATAAGAACAGATGGAATTTGAGAAATAAGAGAAAGTTAGCTGATGGAGGGCAGAGGGGTTCTGTACAAGTTTGATTGAGATTCAGAAGAGATCTGGATTTATTGTTGGTTGCTGAATAAGACGTAAGATGATTTTTGCAGTTGAATTAGTGAATTATAGTAGAGAGATGCTAGAGCCTTTTTAGGGAGCTAGTAGGGTATGTTGTGAATCATGAGGGAATAAAGTAAAATGTGAAAGTGGGGTGAAAGGAACAGGTTTGAGAGACAGTGTGAATGAAGAACTGGCAGAACTTCATACTGGACTGAAGTGGAATATTTGTGAAGGAGTCAAGAGTTAAAAATAAATTCTGATGTTACTGGCCTGGAAGACTTGACTGCTAAGTTATATTGTTAATTGTAATGGGAAAATTGAGAAAGTGCTGAGGTGAGAGGGTAGGTGAGTTCACTTTCTTAAAATTTAATATACAATAAGTTCCCTTGAAATTCAGACAGCAGTTAGTTACTGGCAATGATATTTGACTTCCTAGTCTATTAATTGCACAGTTTCTAATTTTTCTACACCTAAAGATGTTGGATTTATATTCGGGAGCAGTAAACTAAGGGCTTTTATTTAAATGCTTCTCATCAAAGTCCTAATTTTTTTTTTTTTTATATACAGCTTCAAAAGCCTCACACTTGAAACCTGGTTATAATAGTTTCATGATGGCTTATTTCAGATCAATGAAAATACTTTTGGGACTAAACTGTGACTGTAACATTTTAGATATGTAGCCATTAATCTTTGATATATGCTTAAAACTTGTTTTTTATAAATAATGATTATTACTATTATTTTAAATGCAAAATTTATCTAAGAATAAAGTATTGAGAGCCTTCACTTTGTGAAGACTCCAGAAGAAATTAAAAGTTGATTTTATAACAAGTATTTTTTGCCCTTTTTGTTGAGTTTAGGCATTAATCCCAAATTTAAATCAGTATATTTGAAATACTACTTTTTACTTGCTATAGTGAAACCAATGTTTCATTTTTGTTCACTTCCAAGTTTACATGTAATTAAATAAATGTTTATAAAGTTTTTCTTTAGAATCACATGATATTTTACTCCATAGGGAAAGTAAGGGACTGTTTGTGGCACTTTTGGTTAAAATATTAGTAATCCTTTTGGTATATACAATTGGAGAAAATTTAGCTAGTTGTTTAGGTTTAATACTTAAATATAAGATTTAGAAATATGAAAATAAGTCTGTATCACTTAAGTTGTTTCCTCATATAAAACTTTTTTAGATCAAAATTTCTATTAGCAAAGAGAGAATAATAGTAGCTGCATATTATTCTGCAGTATTACGTCGTATGGTGATTAAAGCCAAAGAGTAGGTAGCAACTTAGAGTTTCCGTATTCCCCTGGGAAGTTTAATCTCTTTATGACATCTAAAAATTAGGTTATTAGAGTTTAGTCCATTTCTTGATAATCCTGTGTTAATGTGGAAAAGAGTTCATGTGTGAGACTGAAAACCAGAACTTTATTTTCAGTCATTTCCCAACCCGACTTCCCCAGAGTTGTTAAAACGTTTAAGATATTTAAGAATTGCATGCTTTCTTGTTGCATGCACCTGTAGAATGCTAATTGTGAAGTGACAGTAAGTCACAGGCAAAAGGAAAAACTTCAAGGGAACCCAGTGATTCACAAATCACCTTATGGCTGATTGGGAACTGCATTTAGAAAATGAGGTGACATCTTCTCATTTCACTGGCAAAGTTCAGCTGAAAATCAGTACTTGCACGCTTTACTGTGTAGCCCTTATATTAGAATTGAGTTGCAGGTGTGAGATAATATTTTGGAGAAACAGCAAGGCTGGGAAAGTCAGAGATTTTATTCCAGCAGCAGAGTCTAAAGAGTGGGAGAGCTCTATTTGTGTGTGCACTTTATGCATAGAGAAGGCTGTGAAACATGCATATGTTGACCCTATTGTCACAGTTCCATACTTTTAAATAAGACCCATGAAGTTGAGACAGGGTTGGAGATGACAGACAGGATGTGAGATTGTGGTGCTTCTTGTGATGCTCCACCCTATAATGGAGAATGGAGGGGCAGAACGCTTGTGTGGGTGAGACAAGAGTGTGTGTTGGTACTAACAGGACCAACCGGGTTCCCCGGATATTGTTCTTCTAAGAACATAATCACCATAAGTAAATTAATTTGTTGGAATGTTTATCATTTTCTAGCTGATTTTTTGTGTGTGTGTGTGGGGTGGTGGTGGTGGAAGGGGAGTTTTCCCCGATTTCAAGAATAAAAGCATTTTCATTGTTCAGAAGAAGAGCATTTTCATTAAAGCGGAGGTTGCACTCTTGGCATTTTATCTTGAGTTATACAAATCATCCTTGGTTATACAAATCAAATTGCTTTTGAAATTTGTTGAGTGTAATGTATAAATGTATATTTATATAAAAACCTATGTGAATAGAACAGCAAGGAAAAACTGAGTAGAGTTAAAGAAGTTTGTTTTCCCTGAGATTTTCTGCCTTTAAATTTATATAAAAAAGGAATATTCCATTTTACGTTATTGAGTTTTCTATTTTTTTAAATGAGCTAATACTCAGTACATAATGGACATTTTTAGTAAATTATTCCAATATACTTGTGTCTGTAATGCATTTGATGTGGTATAAGATTTAGAAACACAATTTAGTTCGGCTGGCACGGTGGCTCACGCCTGTAATCCCAGCACTTTGGGAGGCCGAGGCGGGTGGATCACGAGGTCAGGAGATCAAGACCATCCTGGCCAACGTGGGGAAACCCCGTCTCTACTAAAAATACAAAAATTAGCGGGGGCGTGGTGGTGTGCGTCTGTAGTCCCAGCTACTCAGGAGGCTGAGGCAGGAGAATCGTTTGAACCCATGAGGCGGAGATTGCAGTGAGCTGAGATCGTGCCACTGCACTCCAGCCTGGGCGACAGAGAGAGACTCTGTCTCAAAAAAAAAACAAAACAAAAGACAATTTAGTCGATTTGGGTTCTTAGTTTATAATCCCCCTTACCATTTTTGCTTATATTTTGGGAAGAGAGGTCAACTTCCAAACAATGTGCAGGTTCCAATTTTATAAGTGATTAAATCTTATATTTTTTGTATTGAATAGTTTTCTTAGCATGTTTGGTTTGATCACTTGAAGTAATGATGTATTTGTCTTGAAACTAGTTTTGTCAAACCAACTTTTTATTTCCAGAGTACCATGGTTAACAACAGCACAAAGCCAAGTCCTTAACGTGTTCCCTTAATAACATGGTCTAAGGTTAATTTCTTGATTCTTATTTCAAATCAATTCAGTAATAAAAAGTACACTTTTTTTTTTTTTGAGATGGAGTCTCGCACTGTTTCCTGGGCTGGAGTGCCATGGCGTGATCTGGGCTTACTGCAACCTCTGCCACCCAGGTTCAAGCGATTTTCCTGCCTCAGCCTCCCAAGTAGTTGGGATTACAGGTGCCTGCCACCACACCTGGCTAATTTTTTGTATTTTTAGTAGAGACGGAGTTTCACTGTGTTGGCCAGGCTGGTCTCAAAATCCTGACCTTGTGATCTTCCCACCTCGGCCTCCCAAAGTGCTGGGATTACAGGCGTGAACCACCACATGTGGCCGAACTAAATTGTGTTTCTAATTTAGTTTTCCTGAAGAATAACAGCTATGCATCAATGTGGAATTGTGTTATTTGGAATCTCACCTTATTGGAATTGGCTGGTAATTGACAGTAAACCAGAAGTGCTCCTGAGCAGCTAATATCTGCAGACAAATGGAGTGTAAACTTTGCTCATAGGTTAGTTTTCAGGCTTTTATTAACGGTTCCTTGTTATTATTTAACATATAGTTGTAATTCATTGAGTTGTCTGGGTTTTTTTGAAATCACAGATCAGGGGAATGGATAGGTACTGATTAAGCATTATGCTACTGAAAAGAATGGATGATTAGGGGAAACAAGCATATTGGGATTACTTAGTGTATGTAGGGTATGTAGGTTCATATAGTTCCAGGGTAAATCATTCTGATAATTGTTGAAAATGTTCACCCAGAGAAATTTTTTTTTTTTTTTGGAGACAGGGTCTCGCTGTGTTGCCTATGCCTAGCCTGGAGTGCAGTGGCACAGTCTTGGCTCACTGCAGCCTCTGCCTCCTGGGCTCGGGTGATCTTTTAACCTCAACCTCTGGAGTAACTGGGACTATAGGCATGCGCCAACATGCCTGGCTAGTTTTTGTAGTTTTTATAGAGAGGGGGTTTCGCCATCTTGCCCAGGCTGGTCTTGAACTCCTGGAATCAAGCAATCCTGCCTCAGCCTCCCACAGTGCTGGGATTACAGTCATGAGCCACTGCACCCATCTGAGAATATTAATTCTCTTTTAAAGAGGCAGGAGGCAGAAAAATCTCTTGTGGAAACCTGGGCTTCTGCATAAACTACATAAAATATCTGTAATTTGTTGATCACTGAAGTGATGAAGAGAACTGGGTCACCTCTGTCTGATTCACCATCTTCTAGTTGGATTTCAGCAGTATGGATAAAGGTACTAAAGTCTTTAGTGTGCTAGCCCAGGGTATTGTTTCCAACTCTTTCTTCCATTGTCCATCTACATTTATTAACTCAGCAGCAGAGTTTTATCTGATTTAAGATTTGTTGTCTTACTATTTCTGTTTTTTTTTTTTTCCTCCTTAGTATATATGGAATTGCTGCTTGGATTTTGGCTGGCTTGTACCTTTTGTTTGTGGACTGCTTAGAAGGCACTGCATGGAGTCATTTAAGCTTTCTTATGAATTATGAATAGCTATGTAGAGAGGAACTTTTCTAGATACATTTATGGCCTATGAGAATTGAAAAGCTGGGTATCTTAATTGTTAGGCTGAAGAAAAAGGGTGATAGTGGCAAAGTAGTTTTTCTTTTGGAGGTCTGAGAAATTCTTAGGGGCTTAATTGGCTAATATAACTAGAAAGGTTGGGTGATTTAGGTTTTTTTCCAAGGAAAGGTATCTTATTTAAATGCAACACTGTCTGCTTCCTGTTATTTTATAAAATTAGTTAATACTTTTTTTTTTTTCTCAAGACGGAATGTCACTGTGTCGCCCAGGCTGGGGTGCAGTGGCACAATCTTGGCTCACTGCAACCGCCACCTCGAGGCCTGGTTCAAGGAATTCCCCTGCCTCAGCCTCCTGAGTAGCTGGGATTACAGGCATATGCCACCATTCCCCGCTAATTTTTTTGTATTTGTAGTAGAGATGGGGTTTCACCATGTTGGCCAGACTAGTCCTGAACTCCTGACCTCAGGCAATCTGCTGGCCTCAGCCTCGCAAAGTACAGCAAAATCAGTTAATATTTTTAATTGATTAACACTTTCTTCATGACCTGTGTTGAAGTTATTGAGTTGAGTCAATTGAATTTCTAATGCTAGATTTTGAGTATGTGGTGTGAGCACCTGAAGAGTTGGAGGTACTGGAATTATGTCTGACATCAGACTGATAGTATTTGCAGGGACATTTGCCCTAGTGGAATTCAGGGTTTTCACATTCTATACATTACTTAAATTATGAAGGAAAGGGGGAAGCTTTGAGTTGGTAGACTTTTAATAATAAGATATAATTACATGTATATAGAAGAGCAACGTACTGTATATCATATTCTCATAATATATGGTAATAACGGCAGTAATTATTGAGTGCGGTGTGCCAGATAATTGCATGTTTTATTTACCTATTTTGCTTTAAATTTTAAAAAATGTAATTTACTCACATGGTTCAAAATTTTAAAGATATTCAGTGAAGTCTTCTCTCCTGCTCTGCAACAACCAGTTCTCTTTCCTGGAGACCACTGGCATTACAATTTCTTATGTGTCCTTTCATAGGTATTCTGAATCTTTACGGATTAATGATTTCTATAGTAGACTTGCATTTTGTGTATACATACATAAATTAACAATAGCTTTAGCAGAAGTGTTAGAATTAAAACAAATTTAAATCAGTAACTCTAGAAAATTGCTATTTTTTAACCTATTAAATTAGTAAATACTTATTTCTCTAAATATAAGTTAGTTGGAGAATAAGTGCAAAGATGACAGAGCTCCTCTCGTGGCAATTAGAGGTAAAATGTTAATAGTCTTAACCAATGAACAATTAATAGCACATTTAAAATAGATGTTTATTTCATAATAAAAAGACAGGATAATTTTTTAACTTTCTATTTTTCTAACATCTTAGATGAGAAAACCTGTTCTCTTGAGAGATCAGAGGCGCAGAGTGCGTCAGTGTCAATGAAGCCTGTGCCTTTTACTTCTTTAAGAGCGTACGGTTTCATTCTGCTCCTAAATCAAGCACCCCTTAGTTGTTGAATAAAAATTACTTTTATAAAGGAATATATGATTTAAAGAAATCAAATAGTGCAGAAGGGCTTATGATGGAAAGTAATCTTCTGTCCTCCAGTCCTACTTCTTAGAAGCAACATTGGCTATGACAGCTGTTTCCTCTAGTAGTTTTTGTCATATTTTTAATTATATGCTTTTTATCTATTTCTTAAAATTAATTTTTTTGTCTTATTGTGGTAGACATCATTTATTGTCATGCCCATCTCCCTTTTGCTTTCATACTGATATAATTATGCCACTATTTAAAAACTATTATTTATTTAAATTATTATTCAAATTATTCTCAGTATGTAGACATGGAACAGTATTCTATGTAGAAACAAGTAGTATACAGTGATCACATTTCCTTATGAGAATAGCTTTATTGAGATATAATTCACATACCGTAACATTCATTTTTTCATTACTCAGGTGTTCATAGACTTGTGTAACCATCCCAACCATCTAATTTTAGAGCACTTTTATCATTTCAGAGATAAAGCTTATACCCATTAGCAGCCATTCCCTATGTTCCCCTTCCCCACAGCTCTAGGCAACCACTAATTTACTCTCTGTCTTTATAGATTTGCCTGTTCTGGACATTTCATATAAATGGATTTATGTAATACATGGCCATTTATGACTGTTTTCTTTCTCCCATGTTATAGCATGTATTAGTACTTCATTCCTTTTTATTGCTGAATAACATTTCATTGTATGGAAATCCTGCGATTTGTTTATTAGTTGATGGACATTTGGGTTGTTTCTGCTTTTTGACTAGTATGAATATGCTGCTGTGAACATTTGTGTGCAAGTTTTTGTGTGGACATATGTTTTCAGATCTTTTGGGGTATATACCTAAGTAGTGGAATGGCTGGGTGATATGGTAACTCTCTGTTTAAAGTGTTAAGGAGCTATTAAGCTGTTTCAAAGTGACAGTCACATTTTTTCCTTTGCTTTTAATCTTTTTAGACTTTATTGTTGCCATTTTCTTTCTTTTTTTTTAAATACTGTTTGTAATAATTATAATCTCAATTCTTCCCCCCAAATGTACCAATTTATCAGACATTCTCTGGATTTCTACCTGCCTCCTGCCCCTTTCTTTTCCTGGAGTGTCCTTTTTCCTGGAGCCCTCGTCCAACTGCTGGGATCTGATCTAGTTGTTCTCCAGGCCCCGTTGTACAGCTGTCATCCTCTGACTTCTTTCGCTGCTCTTCAGGGTTGGCTCTCCAGTTTCCTGGATCCCATATCTCTAAATAACATTTCATTGTATGGAAATCCCATGATTTGTTTGTTAGTTGAATAGTTCTTATCTGATAACTGTTTGATAAATATACCTGGAAAAGTTGTTCATTGTTTTTTTCCATATTTGTTCCAAAAGGGCAGTTAAGAAGCTATATACTTTTTGGGCAGATACCCTCACCCTTGCAGTATCTAGATACTGAGAAATAGATGTTGGAAGGTTACTTTGTATCATTTTATTAAGTGATTACCATGCAAACATAAGGCAAGTACAAAAATCTGAAAAATATTAATATTAAGTAATTGTTTAGACTAGAGCTATTCAGAAGAAATATTATATAAGCCAAAAAGGTGAATTATATATGTAATTTTAATTTTCTATGAACCACTTTGAAAAATAGACACAAGTGAAATTAATTCTAGTAATATATTTTATTTAACCTAGTGTATCTAAACTAATAATATATCAAGATGTAATCAATATAAAAATTATTGAGATATTTTACATTCTTTTTTTGGGTAGTAAATCTTTATAACCTAGTGAGTGTTTTACACTTAAAGAACATACTAATTTGGGGGCCGGGCGCGGTGGCTCATGCCTGTAATCCCAGCACATTGGGAGACCGAGGCGGGTGGATCACGAGGTCAGGAGTTCAAGACCAACCTGGCCAAGATGGTGAAACCCCGTCTCTACTAAAAATACGAAAATTAGCTGGGCGTGGTGGCAGACGCCTATAATCCCAGCTACTTGGGAGGCTGAGGCAGAGAATTGCTTGAACCTGGGAGGCAGAGGTTGCAGTGAGCCGAGATTGTGCCACTGCACTCCAGCCTGGGTGACACAGCAAGACTCTTTCTCAAAAAAAAAAAAAAAAAAAAAAAAAAAAAGAACATACTAATTTGGGCTAGCCACATTTCAAGGGTTCATTAGCTACATGTTGCTAGTGGTTATTGTATTGGACAGTGCAGGCTTAGAATTTTGTCCAGGAATTATATTATTTTTGTTATTTTTAAGTAATAGAAAAGGTGTGTGTGGTTTAAAAACACTTCATTGATTTATGCCTTTGTTTTTAATCATGTTTTCAGCTTATTTTGAGATTTAAAAGAGGTTGAAAATTGTTACGTTTTTCAGAAGGGGGCTTGCTGTAGGGTGGGTAGTGATTCTTTCCACCCTTATTTTAGTAAAACTGTTAAAATAGGTATTTAAATTTTTGCTGTTAAGATAATTAGGTGTTGTCCTTACCATGATTGCCTTGGCCTCCGTGGAATTTTTTCGATGCAAATATTCTTTGTCATATATTATTTCCCCTTGCTGTTTCAAAGACCTTAGCTGGCTTTCAGTCTCAAATGCCACCTCTTTAGTCATTCATGCTTATCTCAAGGCATGAAATTCACTTTCATATAACTCCTTCAGCACTCTCTGTGACCCTTCTAATGTTCTTCCTTGTATTCTTGTTAATGTGTCTTGTTTCTCCGTAGGAGATCATAAGTTCCAACATGACATAAAAATATTTTATGCATCTTTGTATTTTCTGCAGTGTGGAGCACAGTCCTTTTTGTATTGGGTCACTTAGTACATATTCTAGTTGAAGGCAGTTTGTCATGTGATATGGTGTCTAGTGGTATGATAGTTTACAGGTCACCAAGCTATTGCTGATGTTTCTAGGAACATTTAAGTTTTGATGTAAGAAATTAAGTTAAATTTGTGTTTTGTTTGTTTGTTTTTTTGAGATGGAGTCTCGCTCTGTTGCCAGGCTGGAGTGCAGTGGCGCGATCTTGGCTCACTGCAACCTCCACCTCCTGGGTTCAAGCGATTCTCCTGCCTCAGCCTCCCCAGTAGCTGGGACTACAGGCATGCACCACCACGCCCAGCTAGTTTTTGTATTTTTAGTAGAGACAGGGTTTCACCATGTTGACCAGGATGGTCTCTATCTCCTGATCTTGTGATCCGCCCGCCTCCCAAAGTGTTGGGATTACAGGTGTGAGCCACCGTGCCCGACCCTGTTTTTTTTTTTTTTCTTAAATGTGAAGGAATGATAGTAGGGAAAGGAAAGAGACATAGAGTATACAGACACTTCTGTTGCACTGTGTGCTTAGCACTGAGTGGCTCTGAAATCTTTGGATGGATGACTGAAAGAAAGGACTTGGGTGCTAGGTTGCACTGGTTGGTAAGCACAGTACCTTTGAAACATTGAGCATATGACGCTACTACGGTATCCCCTTACATTATTTTATTTGGAGTGGGTAAGGACTGAAGAGAGATTTATAACAGTGAAACCTGACAGTTCAATTTCTTTCCTTTCACCAAGTAGCTTACTCTGCAAAAGAATAAAGTAAACAGACAGTATTTAAATATGAGAAGTCTTTTCATCATGGATGTACTTAGGTATGTAATTGTATTGTGGGGGAGTTGTGAAACTGTAATTTTTTTTCTTTTTTTTTTTGAGACTGAGTCTTGCTGTATTGCCCAGGATGGAGTGCAGTGGCGTGATTTGGCTCACTGCAATCTCTGCCTCCCAGGTTCAAGCAATTCTCATGCTTCAGCCTCCCGAGTAGCTGGGATTATAGGTATCCACCACCACGCCTGGCTAATTTTTGTATTTTTAGTAGAAGCAGGGTTTCATAATGCTGGCCAGGCTGGTCTCAAACTCCTGTCCTCAAATGATCTGGATGCTTTGGCCTCCCAAGGTGCTGGGATTACAGGCATGAGCCACTGCACCTGGCCGAAACTAATTTTTACAAGACCTCTTTTTGGGTCTTTAAGATGATGTTTGTTTGTTTGATATGTTAGTATGTCAGTTCTAGAGCTTTCCCAGAGAGGGTGAGAAATATTAATAAACAATAGGGTTTCTATTGCTAAATAATACAACTTCTTTTTTTTTTAATTAGAGGAAAGAGTGTCGTCGTCTTCTCCTTCTTCCTTCTACCTTCTTCCTTCTTCCTTCGTCTTCCTTCTTCCCTCCCCCTCCTCCCACCTTTTTTGGAGACAGAATCTTGCTCTGTTTATCAGATTGTAGTACAGTGGTGTGATCTTGGCTCACTGCAGCCTCAACCTCCTGGGCTCAAGCAATCCTCCCACCTCAGCATCCACATTAGTTGGGTCCACAGGAGTGCGCTACCATGCCTGGCTCATTTTTGTATTTTTTGTAGAGACGAGATTTTGCTATATTACCCAGGCTGGTCTCGAATTCCTGAGCTCAGTCCAGCCACCTTGGTCTCTCAAAGTGCTGGGATTGCAGGTGTGTGCCACCTCACCTGGCCATAATACAAATTCTTAAATAGTGGTCGAATATGACTTTCTGTATTTGGTTTTGAAAAATAAATTGCTTTCCACATATCAGCATGGTATTTCCTTCTGTGATTAAATGTGTGCATTGTGAGATGTTTGGCTGGTATAGGGTACAATTCTTAGACATGGAAGAAATTTACTTTCTCTGTAAGTAGCAAATACTTGTTATGCCCTTCTTGAACCAAGAGGATTTACTAAAGAACAAGGTATAATTCTATTTAAATTCAGTTGAACATCAGGAATAACTTTTACTGAGAGACTCTGAGGCCTTTAAAAAATATGTTTATATAGGCCGGGTGCGGTGGCTCACTCCTGTAATCCCAGTACTTTGGAAGGTTGAGATGGGTGGATCACTTGAGGTCAGGAGTTGGAGACCAGCCTGAGCAGCATGGTGAAACCTCATATCTACTAAAAATACAAAAATTAGCCGGGTACGGTGGCAGGTGCCTGTAATTCTAGCTACTAGGGAGGCTAAGGCAGGAGAATCGTTTGGACCTGGGAAGTGGAGGTTGCAATGAGCCGATACTGCACTACTGCGCTCCAGCCTGGGCAAGAGAGCAAGACTGTCTCAAAAAGAAAAAAATGTTTAATATGTATCTACTTGTGGCAGTAGTCTACTTATTAAAAAAAAAAATGTGTGTGTGTGTGTGTGTGTGTGTGTGTGTGTGTGTGTGTGTGTAATTTCCTGTCAAGGTTGTAGAAAATTAAAGGAGAGTTGTGCTTTTTCAAAGGATAGAGGAGACAGGCCAGGTGCAGTGGCTCATGTCTGTAATCCCTCCCAGAGGGAGACTGAGGAGGGGCGGATCGCTGAGGTCAGGAGTTCGAGACCACCCTGGCCAACATGGTGAAACCCTGTCTCTACCAAAAATACAAAAATTAGCTGGGCATGGTGGTGCATGCTTGTAATCCCAGCTACACGGGAGGCTGAGGCAGGAGAATCGTTTGAACCTGGCAAAGCAGAGGTTGCAGTGAGCTGATACCGTGCCACTGTACTCCAGCCTGGGCGAGACAGCGAGACTGTCTCAAAAAGAAAAAAAAGTGTGTGTGTGTGTGTGTGTGTGTGTGTGTGTAATTTCCTGTCAAATTGTAGAAAATTAAAGAAGAGCTGTGCTTTTTGAAAGGATAGAGGAGACAGGCCAGGTGCGGTGGCTCACGTCTGTAATCCCTCCCAGAGGGAGGCTGAGGCTGGCAGATCCCTGAGGTCAGGAGTTTGAGACCACCCTGGCTAACATGGAGAAACCCTGTCTCTACTAAAAATACAAAAATTAGCTGGGCATGGTGGTGCACGCTTGTAATCCCAGCTACACGGGAGGCTGAGGCAGAAGAATCGCTTGAACCCCAGAGGCAGAGGTTGTAGTGAGCCGAGATCGTGCCACTTGCTCTCCAGCCTGGGAAACAGCAAGACTCCATCTCAGAAAAAAAAGAAAAAAAAAAAAAAAGAGGAGAAGTTCTAGTATGATATTTCTGATATTTCTGCTCTACATTGGAGAAGGAGAACTTAGTTAGAAACAAAGGGTGTGTTTGTCGTATTTGTCATGACTTCCAAAATGGGAGCAGGTGGGCCAATTCCTGGGTCGTTAGAAAAGAAGACCCAGAGACAGGAGATTGTCTTCCGGCACTGTGTGGGCTATGGTATCAATATAAGTTGTATAGCTTGTTGGCTTTCAGTATTTATTTAGGAGTAGGAAATTGTTCTAAAATGCATTTCACATTATATCTAATTAAAAACACATCTTTTTTTGTGTTAATTTCTTACATATAGCTGAGAAAGCCTAGACTTTCTAAAGTCTAGGAAAGAGGTGAGAAATGCTGCTGTGGACCATAGGAGTTGGGGTGGGGGAAGAAGCTAATTAGAAAAAAGTTTGTGGTCATGATAGATTTTGAGTTTCTCTGGATGCTGTTAATGATGGCCGGAATTTTAGAATTCAGATTCAGCTACTCTTTGAATGTTTATTGTGTGCCAAGCACTCTCATTCCATTTAACTTTCATAATGCTCTGTGACAATATTTGCCCCATTTAATGAGTGAAGAATCTGAGGTTAAAAAAAATATATTTTTTTAATTGATTTATTCCGGGGCCTTACAGTTAGTAGGGAATAGGTTCCAGATGTTGATCCCAGGCCCTCCAGACTTGAAGTAAAGGAAGAAAATTTTTTGAGTACTTACCATGTCATTGTACAATAGTAAGCAATTAATTTAAAATAAATGTTACTATGTATATTTAAGATATACAACATGATGTTAATATGATACATATTATAATAAAATGGCTACTGTAGTAAAAGAAATTAACATCTCCATCTCACATAGTTACCCACCCCCTCTCCCTCGCCCCTACCAAGAGCAACTGTAATCTACTCAACTCTTAACAAAAGCCTAGATACAATACACTATTATTAACTATAGTCTTCATGTTGTACATTAGATCTTTTGACATGTTTATCCCAGGTATTTGCTACTTCCTATACTTTGACCTACATCTCCCCATTTCCTCCCCTGCTCAACCTCTGCTAACCAGTTTACTCTCTATCTCTGTATATTTGACCTTTTTTTGAAAAAAGATTTCACATATAATTGAGATCATGATATATATTTTTTTCTGTGTATAGTTTATTTCAGTTAATGTCCTTCAGGTCCATCCATATGTGTGTGTACACACACACATATATATATACACACACTGAAGTTTAACCATTCGTCCATTGATGGACACCTAGGGTTGTTTCCATATGTTGGCTGTTGTGAATAATGCTGTAGTGAACGTGGGAATGCAGATATCTTTACGAAGTGATGATTTCATAATATTTTGTATATACCCAAAGAATAATTACTGGGTCATATGATAGTTCTATTTTTAGTTTCTTTAGAAACCTCCATACTGTTTCCAGAGTGGCTGCACTAATCTGCATTCTCACCAACAGTGTACAGAGGTTCTCTTTTCTCTACACCTCTACCAACACTTAATCTCTTATTTTTTATTTTTATTTTTTTGATAATAGATATCCTAACAGGGGTGAGGTGGTATCTCATCATGGTTTTGATTTCCATTTCTCTGATGATAAGTGATGTTGAGCACCTTTTCATATACCTGTTGGCCGTTTTTTAGGTCACCTTTAGGGAAATGTCTATTCACCTCCTTTGCCCATTTTTTTTTTTTTTTTTTTTTTTTTTGAGACGGAGTTTCGCTCTGTCGCCCAGGCTGGAGTGCAGTGGCGCGATCTCGACTCACTGCAAGCTCCGCCTCCCGGGTTCACGCCATTCTCCTGCCTCAGCCTCCCGTGTAGCTGGGACTACAGGCGTGCGCCACCATGCCCGGCTAATTTTTGTATTTTTAGTAGAGACGGGGTTTCACCGTGTTAGCCAGGATGGTCTCGATCTCCTGACCTCGTGATCCGCCCGTCTCGGCCTCCCAAAGTGCTGGGATTACAGGCGTGAGCCACCGCGCCCAGCCGCCCATTTTTAAATAGAGTTATATGTTTTCTTGCTGTTGAGTTGTATGATGTTTTTATAAATCTTGAATATTAACCCCTTATCAGATATATGGTTTGCCAAAATGTTTTCCCAGTCTGTAGGTTGTCTTTTTATTTTGTTGTTTCCTTTGCTGTGCAGAAGCTTTTTAGTTTGATGTAGTCTCATCTATTTTTACATTTGTTTCCTGTGTTTTGGTGTCATGGAAAAAGTCATTGCCAAGACCAATGTCAAGGAGATTTCTCCCTATGTTTTCTTCTAGGAATTTTGTGGCTTCAAGTCTTATGTTTAGGTTTTTATCCATTTTGAGTTGGTTTTTGTGTCTGGTGTAAGATGAGGATTCAGTTTCATTATTTTGCATGTGGAAATCCATTTTTCCCAACACCATTTATTGAAGAATTGTGTTGTCTTGGTGCCTTTGTTGAAACATAGTTGACGGTCTATGTTTGGATTTGTTGCTGGGCTCTCTATTCTGTTGCACTGGTCTGTGTGTCTGTTTTTATGGCAGTACTAAACTATTTTGATTATAGTTGCTTTGTAATTTAATTTTAACTCAGGAAGCGTGAAGCCCCCAACTTTTTTTTTTCCTCAGAATTGCCTTGGCTGTTCAGAGTCTGGTGGTTCCATGTGAATTTTAGGATTGCTTTTTCTACTCTTGTGAAGAATGCCATTGGGATTTTGATAGGAATTGCGTTGAATCTGTTTTGTTGCTTTGGGTAGTATGATAATTTTAACAATATTCTTTTGATCCATGAGCATGGAATTCTTTCCATTTATTTGTGTCCTCTTCATTTTCTTTCATCAGTAGTTTTAGTTTTCAGTGTACAGGTCTTTCAACTTTTTGGTTAAATTTATTCCTAAGTATTTTGTTTGTTGATACTAACACAAATGGGGCTGTTTTCTTAATTTCTTTTTCAGCTTGGTCATTATTTGTGTATGGAAATGCCATGAATTTTTTATGTTGATTTTATATCCTACAACTTTACTAAATTAATTTATTCAATCTAACAGTTTTTCATGTGGTCTTTGGAGTTTTCTATATATGGGATCATGCCATCTGCAAATAGAGATAATTTTCTGATTTGGTTAACTTTTTTTTTCCTTTTTCTTGTCTAAATACTCTTGATTTAGACAAGCTCTTCCAGCACTTCTAGTATTCTGTTGAATAGAAGTGGTCAGAGTGGGCATCTTTGCCTTGTATCAGGTCTTAGAGGAAAAGTTCTCAGTTTCTCGCCATTGATTATGTAGTTAGCTGTGGGTTTTTCATAGATGGCCTTATTATACTGAGGAACTTGCCTTCTATATTTAAACTGTTAAAGAGTTTTTATCAAGAAAGTTTAACTTTGTTGAATGCTTTTTCTGTCAGTTGATATGATTGTGTCATTTTTCTTTCAGTCTCTTAATATATCACATTGATTCATTTGTGTATGTTAAACCAGCTTTGGATGCCCATATAAATCCCACTTGATCATGATGTGTAATTTTTTGATATGTTGAATTTGACTTGCTAATACTTTATTGAGGATTTTTGTATCATCAGTGTTCATCAGAGATACTGGCCTGTAGTTTTATTTTCTTGTAATGTTTTTGTCTAGCTTAGGTATCAAGGTGATGCTGGCCTTATCAAATGTGTTACAGCTCTATTATTTGGAAGAGTTTAAGTAGTATTGGTATTCTTAAAAAGTTTGGTAGAATTAAGCTGTGAAGCTGTCTGGTCCTGACCTTTTCTTTTTTGGGAGGATTTTAATTACCACTGGTTCAATCTTTTTGTTTGTTATGGGTCTATTTAGGTTTTCTATTTTTTTTCTGATTCAACCTTGGCAGGTTGTACTTTTTTAGGTATTCTTTTCTTCTAAGTTATCACATTTGTTGGCATGTAATTGTTCGTAACAGTTTCTCAGCGCTGGGTGTGGTGGCTCACACCTGTAATCCCAGCACTTTGGGAGGCTGAGACGGGCAGATCATGAGGTCAGGAGTTCGAGACCAGCCTGACCAAAATTAGCCGGGTGTGGTGGTGCGCACCTGTAATCCCAGCCACTCAGGAGGCTGAGGCAGGAGAATCGCTTGAACCCGGGAGGTGGAAGTTGCAGTAAGCCAAGATCGTGCCACTGCACTCCAGCCTGGGTGACAGAGTGGAACTCTGTCTCAAAAAAAAAAAAAAAAAGTTTCTCATGACCCTTCTTATTTCTTTTCTTTCTTTCTTTCTTTTTTTTTTTAGAGACAGGGCCTCACTCTGTGACCCAAGCTGCACTGCGGTGGTGCGATGTACATTCACTGCAGTCTCAATTCCTGGGCTCCAGTGATCCTCCCACCTCAGCCTCCTGAGTGGTACTGCAGATATGTGCTACAACGCCCAGCTAATTTTTGTATTTTTTGTAGAGAGAGTGTTTCACCATGTTGCCCAAGCTGGTCTTGAACTCCTAGACTCAAGTGATCTATCCACCTCGGCCTCCCATAGTGCTGGGATTACAGTCGTGAGCAGCGGCACCTGGCCAACTGTTTTTATTTCTGAGGCTTCTATTGTAATGTCTCCACTTTCATTTCTCATTTTGTGTATTTTGGACTCCTCTCTTTTTGTGTAGTCTAAGGGTTTGTTGATTTTATTTTTTTAAAAAACCAACTCTTTGTTTTATTGTTTTTCTCCATGGGTTGTCTATTCTCTATTTTAAGCAACTTGTTTGTATCTTATTTAATTTTCATCACAGTCTTCTAAGGCAAATTGAATTTATAAATGAGGAAACTGACGCTTACAGAGCCTTACACAGCCAGCAAGATGCATAGCCATACTTCGAACCTGTTCTCTTAATTGCTCCACTGTATGGCCTTTATAATTTGGAGAGGGAATAAGATAATTGCCCGAAATTGGAAGAATTAAGGTTTTTTAGGGTACGGCTTAGGAACTTCTACTTTTTGTAGTGTTACTTATGGAGGAGAAAGTAATTGTCAGTCATATATAAGTACAGTTTATTTTATTTTAAAATAAAAATTTTAAGAGCAAATACCTTGCTTTTAAAACTGATCTGGCTAGCTATAAAACAGTGGCTGTGAGAGATGGGTAAGAAGTGTAGTTGAAATCCATATTGCAAAATCAGTTTTGAGCCTGAGCTCCTATCCTTTTCTTTTCTTCTTTGAGATGGGGTCTTGCTCTCTTGCCCAGGCTGAAGTGCTGTGGTGTGGTTGTGGCTCACTGCAGCCTACCTCCTGGGCTCAGGTGATACTCTTGCATCAGCCTTTCAATTAGCTAGGACTACAGGCCCGCACCACCATGCCAGGCTTTTTTTTTTTTTTTTTTTTTTTAATTTTTTTTGTAGAGATGAGGTCTCCCTATGTTGTCCAGGCTGGGCTTAAGCAATTCTTCTGCCTTGTCCTCTCAGAGTGCAGGGATTATAGATGTGAGCCACAGAGCTCAGTCAGGATCACTTTAACAGATGAAACTGAATCTTAGAGAAGTTAAGTAACTCTTGCCAAGGTTTCATAGCCAGCAGGTGGCAGAGCCTGGATTCCAACCCAGGTAATTTAGTCTAGAGCTCTTATTCTTAACTACTTTACTGTCCTAAGAGTATGCGAATGTACAGAAATGGAGCCTTGCTACCTCTGGTAACTTGAAGGCACCAATTTTGCGTTCAGTTAACATATCATAGTTTGATCCAAGGCAAGAACAGAAGTGTTAACACTTCACCTGCCTCTGTCCTTATTATTTCCCATGGTTATTGGTCTCAATAATTTTTGTTGTTGTTTTATATTATTCTTGCACTGGAAAATCCTTTGTACTTAGTTGTCATTTAATAAATGATGAATGTTGAAAAATAAGCCAGAAATTGAAAACTTTGAATCTTAAATATAGAGACCAAATTGTAATACATAGTTGATTGTCATGTTTTTCTTTTTAAGAAGTTATTTTTATAGTGTTTGAAGATAATTATTATTATTATTTTTTTGAGACTGAGTCTTGCTCAGGCTGAAGTGCAGTGGCATGATCTCGGCTCATGGCAACCTCTGCCTCTCAGGTTCAAGCGATTCTCCTGCCTCAGCCTCTCGAGTAGTTGGGATTACAGGCACGTACCACCATGCCCTGCCAATTTTTGTGTTTTTGGTAGAGACTGGTTGTTCTCTACCATGGCGAACTACCATGGTGTTCGCTGTGTTGGCCAGAGTGGCCTTGAACTCCTGACTTCAAGTGATCCTCCTGCCTCAGCCTCCCAAGGTGCTGGGATTACAGGCGTAAGCTACCGTGCCCGGCCGAAGATAATTAAATATTAATAGAAAAGGTTGATTTATCATTTTCATGAGTTGGAGAAAATTTTCTGTGCCTCTGAATCGAACTTTTCTTAGTTGATGAGTGTTTTAAGTGTCAGTTTACAGTGAAATCCTGTGATGATACAAAATTTAGATATAGTATAATTGACTCTCATCCTCTGCCATGCCTATTGTCTGCAGGTGAGGGCCAGGCTGACATTTCATTTTTAATCATTGACTTAATATTCAGTAAGTAAACCTGATATGTGAACTTTTCTCTCCCTTTCCTTTCTATTCTGTAACTGGAAGACTAATGGAAAAATACAGTTTTCTGTTAACTTTGCAATAAGCCCTGTGTTTCATGTATTAATAGTTGGATTTTTTAGACCCCACTTAAAAGAGTATATCTGGGTTCTTAATGTGGTGGCAGTGGTCCCAAACCTTCTTGGCACCAGGACTGCTTTTGTGGAAGACAATTTTTCCATGGACGAGCGTGGATGGTTTTAGCATGATTCAAGTGCATTACATTTAATGTGCACTTTATTATTATTACATTGTAATGTATAATGAAATAGTTATACAACTCATCATAGTGTAGAATCAGTAGGAGCCCTGAGCTTGTTTTCCTGTGACTAGACAGTCCCATCTGGGGGTGCTGGGGAGACAGTGATAGATTATCAGGCAGTAGATTCTCATAAGGAATGTGCACCTAGATCCCTCGCATGTGTGCTTTACAATAGAGTTCACGCTCCTATGAGAATCTGATGCTGCTGCTGATCTTACAGGCGGCAGAGCTCAGGTGGTAATGTGAGCAATGAGGAGCTGCTGTAAATACGGATGAAGCCTTGCTCCCTTGCCTGCTGCTCACCTCCTGCTGTGCGGTCTGGTTCCTAACAGGCCACAGAAACCCCTGATATATAGCGTTTAATATATAGGATACTCATATAACCAGAGGTACTTATTTCCTAGCTCAACTATATGGAATTAAGATGGGAACTAGATAGTAGATAAAAATGAGCACTGAGGAGCTAAAAGAGTGATCACAGAATCTGAAGTAAAGTTGTTGTTTTTTTATTTAATCGATGTGAAAGTCCTTTGGCCAGTGTCTCCCACAGTAGTTACTCTAAACGATGTTGTGCTGTAATAAATAGTCTGTGGCCAAAGTTTAGGAAATGCTGCTTATAGCATCCCTCAAAGGACTGCCATTCTTTGGATCAGACTTTGGAAGCTCTGCATTAGGTGTATTTAGCCCTTGTTTTTATTTGAGAAGGGGAGGAAACAAACATTTAATGAGGATTTGCTCCACTGGGTCTAAGTGGTATCTCCATTTTGCAGACAAGGAGTCTGAGTCCCTGCTGGTGGGTAAAGGACACAAAACTAATAATGAGGCAGAACTCGGAATGGATCCCTAATCTTGCCGATTCCTAAGTTTTTGCCCTTTTGAACTACGTTGGCACTGTGTGGTTATAATGAACTGCTGTCTATTAGACTTTACTCCTTAGGAACAGCAATTTGGCAATATATACAAGGAAAAGACTAAGCTGCCCTACTTAGGGAAGAAGAAAAGGATAATAAGTTGACTATTCAACACAGGTTCCACATCATTTGCTTTGTATATTAATAGATGAACTCTGTGTGTTTCTATAGTGAAAGATTTCAGACACGACTGTAAAGTGCTTTTTGAGTGAGATTTGATACCATCTTTAGGTATTCCATACATTTTTTTTTTTTTCTGACATTGTAGGACCATTTTAGCCTCATCTCTGATCAGGTATAGTACAGCTTAGGTAAGATATTAACTTTTTATAGCTTCATTGTCCTTATTTGGAAGTGGTGATAGTAACTACCTTTCTGAGTGATTGTGAAGCAGGTAATTATGCATGTAAGATGCTTAGTACAGTGTCTGGCACATAGTAATCTTAGCTGCTGTTATTATTAGCAGTAATAACAATAATAAGGCTTAGGTTGGGTTGTTACCTTTCTATATCCTCTTTTTTTTTTTATTTAAACTGTTATATATACAGGATGTTTTTTTTTTTTGTTTTTTGTTTTGTTTTGTTTTGTTTTTTGAGATGGAGTCTTGCTCTGTTGCCAGGCTGGAGTGCAGTGGTGCAGTCTCGGCTCACTGCAGCTTCCACCTCCTGGGTTCAAGTGATTCTTCTGCCTCAGCCTCCCAAGTAGGTGGGACTACAGGCACACACCACCACACCCAGCTAATTTTTGTATTTTTAGTATAGACGGGGTTTCGCCATTTTGGCCAGGATGGTCTCGATCTCTTGACCTCATGATCCACCCACCTCAGCCTCACAAAGTACTGGGATTACAGGCATGAGCCACCGCGCCTGGCCTTCCCCTATATTTATTTAAGGAAAAATCATCACCAGATGCATTTTTAAAGTAATAGAAATTCCATCTTAAATATATTTTATAGGGCATTAAGAAAGTTGCAGTTGTCACTAGGGATCTGGAAGTTTTTAAGTGAGTATTCGTAATCAGGAAATGTTGGCCTAGTAGGTACCTTTAAAGTTTTGTTTGTGTTTAATGTGAAATGTGTATTTTCAATAGATGTGATGTTTGTATAGTTAATATTTTTAGACTGCATTTTTTTTTTTTTTCCAAAAACTGTTTTCAGGCTAGTCTGTATGCACTGGCAGTCTGGTTTGTATTGACCGTTAGGTATTGAGTTTTAATAAAATGTTCAAATATGATGGACATACCACATTATGGTGAGATGTGAATGAAGATTGTCCCCCACACCCCCAACTGGGTTGTCCACAGCTGTATTCAGTAGAATTAACTTAAATGGTCCAAGATACTCTTCAAAAATTTGAATAACTATTTGGGACCATTCAGTACCGTGAAGGCTATTAACTGTGAATTGAGTTAAGCAGAATACTGTATGTTTTAGTTTTTTCTTTAGTTTTTATTCTTCTCAATTTTGAGGAAGTTGGGGAGAGAAACCTTTCCCCTACTCTGAAAAATTTTCTCTTCCTTCCTTTTTATTTCCTACTTTGAAATAGCCAAGATCATTGGGACCTCTAAGAATATCAGATAATATTTACAGCTTGAG